>NC_000016.10:23941031-24244061 GCF_000001405.40 Homo sapiens
GCTCAAATTGTCTACCATAAAAGATAGACTGCCTAGATTAGGGGTTGGCAAATGTTTTCTTACAGGACTAGATAGTAAATATTTTAGGTTTATGGGGCATCTGAGCAACTACTCAATGCTACTATTGTAGCATGAAGGCAGCCGTGGACAATTTATAAAGAAGTGAGCATGGCTGTGTTCCAATAAATCTTTATCAAAACAGGTGGCAGGCCTGCAGGCTGTAGTTTACTGGCCTCTAGTCTAAACCAATAACAAGAAGGAAGTAATGAAAGTTTTCAAAATCCTCACCAAAACCTATATAACAAATGATCCTTTTGGTTTTTAAAACATTTCTCTAGACCATAGGGAAAAAGGACACTGTCTCACTTCTCTCCTCTTACCCTAGCATCATACATACACAAAAATCTAACAAAGATAAGGCAAAAAATAAAGCCATGGTCTAATTTCACTTATAAACACAGAGAAAACAGTCCTAAATAAAATCTTGGCAAGTTGAATCCTCTAGGATATTAAAAGAACAATGCATCATGATCAAGGAAGCTTCATTCTAGAAATACATTATGATTTATTATTAGGAAGTCTATTAATACGTCCCATCAATATGTCAAAGGAAAAATATGATCATAGATGCAAAAAAAAGCATTTGTTAAAATTTCAATATTTGTTCTTGGTGAAAATTCTTGGAGAAAGGACTAAGAACAAAAAGATACTTTTTCAGCATGATGAAGACTATATGTGGCCAACCAGTAGCCAAAAATATACTTAATTTTGAGATACTTAAGGAATTCCCATTAAAGTTAAGAATAAATGAAAGATGGTTGATAGCAACACTGTTATTTGTCATTGTTTTGGATGTTCTAGTCAATGAAACAAGAAAAGAAACATATAAATACTAATTACATATTGGAAAAATGAATACCAAATTAACACTATTCACAGGTTATATTATTTATTTTAGCAACTCTAAAGGAATCCATTGAAAAACTATTAGTACAAATAACAGAATTAGTTAAGAGGGCTGATTACAAAACATGTCAACCAAAATCAATAACTTTCTTAGAGAGCATCTCTAACTTGGTGGATGACATAATGGAAAAATAATCCCTTTTGGTCTCCAGATGCCACCAGCTCCCTTTTCCTCCTCCGCATGCTTGGCAGAAGGCCAGAGGAAGTACTGTAGTCCTCTACTACAGAGGGAAGTGTAGGAAACTGGAATATTAACCATGGATTGGCAATCTGTGTGTCTAAAGGAAAGTGGTTTACATTTTCTTTTAAACGTCACACTTGGCATGCCAGATCCCCATGGCGTTGGAGCATACCAAAGTGATAGAGCGTGGGCATAATATGTTTCAGGCAAAATGTTTAGCATTTGCACAGTTAGGTTCTCACCAATGGTGTGTTCCTTCCATAGACATGTGAGCCTGGAGCTTGGAGCATTGGAGTTTGAGAAATGGCTTGATGAGGGCATTGAGAAGCACTAGAAAGGATATGGATAGCAACTCGATTCAAATTTTATTTTTGTCTACTTTTCTAAGTTTGTTTACTTCAAGCACTTAAACTCCACTTCTTTGAGCCTTTGTTGCCTTGCCTACATACTGAGGATAATTAAACCTTTCTCCTAGGGTCTTGTAGCAGTAAATATGATTGGATGAAAAATACGAAAGCATGTCAACAACTGCTTGTTAAAAGTTAGTTACCTTTCTGCTTCCTTCTTATGCTTGACTAGCTCCCTTGACTCTTTGAAAACATCAGAAAGCCTAGCCTTAAACTCCTTTTTGGAAACTAAGCATTGGGTCCCAGAGCCTGAGGTTTCTTAACGTCTGCCCCTAGTCTGGTTCAGCTTCTGCCTGTTTCTCAACTTTGCTCTCATTTCAGGAAAGGAGACAAATGAATTATTCACGATTATTGTCTCTTGAGGGGCAGTGACTGTCTCTTCTATCTTGTTCTTCCACTCCCCTCCGGAGCATCCAGAGCAACTCTAGAAATAGGAGTGTAGAAATAAAACCCAGGAAAGAGGGACTTTAGAAACAAGAGGCAATGCCATGGACAGGGGTGGCAGAACTGTTGCCCTTCCAGTCTTTGCTCTGCCATCCACCAGACTTGTTGCATGGGAAACTCAGTCAAACTCTGAAGCTTCGGAGTGTTCTCCACTATAAAAGGAGAAAAATGATCATCTACCTTAGGGTGGTGTTGTAAAGGTCACATATGTGTGGCCAGGCACAGTGGCTTATGCCTGTAATCCTAGTGCTTTGGGAGGCTGAGATGGGAAGATCACTTGAGGTCAGGAGTTCAAGACCAACGTGGACAACATAGCAAGACCCCATCTCTACAAAAAAAGTTAAACAATACTAACCAGGCTAGTTGACATACACCTGCAGTCCCAGCTACTTGGGAGGCTGAGGCGGGAGGATCACTGGAGCCCAGGAGGTGGAGGTTGCAGTGAGCCATGATTGTGCCACTGCATTTCAGCCTGGGTGATAGAGTGAGACTCTCTCTCTCTCTCTTTTTAAAGATACATGTGTGAATGTGTCTTATTTAACTATGTTACACATACATATAAATATAAATTCTGTTTATTAATAGCTCATATAATATACAGACTCTGCGCCTGTACAAATGTAAAGGCAATGCATTTTACGTAGGAAAAATGGTTGAGTCGAATGATTTAATTTTTTTACAAATCACACAATACTTGCATGAAATAGCAACAGGTGCGAACCTCCTAGGCAGATAGGAGTGCAGTGCTTTGTTTCACAGATACCATCAAGCCTAACCTTTATTGTGGGCTTACTATGTGTCAGGCCTGTTCTAGGATCTTGTTAATGAACTGATTCATTTTTTTCTCATAACAACATAGAGGGGAAAAGATCACATGGGGAAGGCACCAGGTCCCTGGACTTTGCCTCGCGTGCTCCTGGCATTTTGTAGAGAGGTAAGGACTTGGTTCCTTATGGACTTTTAAGCTCATGATTGGTTTGGTCTGGTTTCAATTCTCATCTTCATGTATGCTCTTAGAAATAATCTCATTTTAGGAGAGAAATTCAGAGTCAACACGGAAACTGAAAAGCTCTAGTACTGCCTGAAGTCTCAGAATAAAGGGTGCCTTCATTTTCACTTTTCCAAATAATCTATGAGAGGGACTTTTAGTAGATCCGTAAGATGTGATACTAACATAGTATCTGCATATTGTGAAAAATTTATAACTGTATCCATAAAGGTTATTTGACTCCATTGCCTCAAAGTCTATATAATTAGAATTCCATGATGTCATCTTTGAGCTTTAATATAGCTTAAAATTATCCTTCTGTAGGTTGTGTTTCTTTCTGAAACATTTTAAATTTAGAAAATTAACTTGTTAAACTTTTTTAAGTTAAATCTTTAGATTTTTTTTTATTCACCCTGCTGTGGGGGAGTCAGAATGACAAATGCTTGAATCATCAAAGTCAAATGTTAGGGCATTTTAGCCCCTCTGGGAAAGCTAAGGTCTCCATGGCCCAAGAATCTAACTCTACTTATGGGGATGATGATCTCACATGATCTCATGATCTCTGTGTTTTGCCAACATTCCTTCTTGGCAGGACTTAGGAGTGCAGATGGGCCCCAGAGAGCATGCCTTGCTCAAGCCAGGTCCCCCTCCTGCTGCCACTTTGGGTGGCTGGAAAAACCTCACAAAGGGTGCAGTGTCTGCGGTTGGGAGACTGGTCTCAATTTTCCTCCATCACCTGCTCATAAACTCTCATGGGTTTCTGGGTCACAGTGCAGCCCTAGGTCAATCTTCCAAAAGCTGATTTGCTGAATTTCATGTGAATTGACTAGCTTCATGTCAGCATTTTAGGGAACATTTGATTGGTCTTCATGCCTGCTTTCTGCCTTTGCAGGCTGAGAAACAATGAGGGGAGAGAATGAGGGACAGAGAGAGGAGGGGACTGAGGGGCCAAGGAGGTTCCGATGAGCAAAAATGGAAGAGAAAGAACGTCAGAGAGGAGGCTATTGGGGGATGAGGAGAGAGACCAGAGATCAAGAAGCATGAAGGTATTGAGGGCCAGAGAGGGGACTTCTAGGGACATGGAGAGGCTGCAGGACAGAGAAAGGGCTAGGGGAACGGGACAGTGGTTCTTTCATTTCAATGATCAAAGTTCCCAGCTTTTTGACACCACAGGGGCACCCTGACAATTCTGGCAATAAGAACATGAAAGGCCTGGTCTTTATTTCACTCAATTCCTGCTATGTGTGGTGAGTGTGGGTGAGCCAAGGGGAAGGTGATCCTATTGTCAGGAGGTAATTTACCATGAATAGGGGATGATATGGAAATAATGTGTGTGATCCTTCCCCTGCCACTGTTGGGATGTCTTTTTAATTTCCTTCCCTCATTTGTCACAGCCGTGAAAATACTTTTTCTGATATGATGAATGACAGATGGCAGGGTGCCGGCAGCCCTTCTGGAGGGATGGGAGGTTGTGTGTGTCCACGATAGGGGCCCAATAAGTACTGGCTGAATGAGAAAATGAGGAGCCTCACTGTGGGCTTTCTTTGGGGTGGATGGAGGTGCTGAGTGACCTCTCAGCTTCCTAGAAGTCACAGGCCAGAAGCCGTGGAATCTCAGTGGTGGAAAGTCCTACTGATTTGAGGATCAGGGAGGGAGAGAATCAGCAATGGTGTGCTGATAAATGTTTAGTAGTTGGCTCTCTGGTAAAAAAGAAAAAGAAAAAGAAAAAGAAAACAAAAACAAAACAAAACAAAAAAAACAAACAATGAACAACCCTGGTATGCAGTGCTTGCCACTGGTCAGTTTCCATGGTCAGTTTCTCACCATGGGCAATTTCATGTGCCATCACTGAACACAGAGTAGGGAAGAGATCCACGCCATTGGCTCACAAGCTGGCCCTACCACACCACCAGGAGGAATATATATTGGGCAACGACTAATAGCAATAGAAAAACTCATGCTTCTTTCTCCTGGCATGACTTCATGTATATGACATACATCCTCTCATTTTATGCTTGTAGCAACTCTGAAACCTAAGATTTATTTCCTCATTGCAGGTGGGGAAGCCAAAGCTCAGAGGGGTTAAATAATGTTTCTGTTATTGTACAGCAAATCAGTGGCAGAGTGGATTCTAAGATTCGTGCCTTCTCTACTCACTTCACTGGGCTGTCAGAGGTTAAGGGAAGAGTTACATAAGCCACCTCTGATTATTAGAGAATGACAGGGCTGGCTAATTCTGCCTGGATAGTATTGAAGAGGAGCTTCATTCAGGGGCACCGCTTTGCTAAAGAGACCACCCAAAGAATGAGTAGTTTTGAGTCACCAGGTACCCTGAAGTGGTACCTGAAGGTACAGCTGGTATGATGGATGACAGATGCCGGTACCTTGCTGTCATCCATCATATCAGTTGTCAGTTACCAGGTAGACCTAGCGGTAAAGGGTAAGTTATATCTCTTGCCTAAATGTCAGTTTCCTCATCTGTAAAATGGGACCCTGAAAGTCTACTTTAGAGGGCTATAGGGTTGTTAAGATTTAATGAGTTAAGTCCATAAAGAACCTAACGTAGTGTCAGACACATAATAGATCCAGAGAAATGCTGATTCTTAGCAGGCTAACTTTTTCTTTTTGAATTCCTCTTTAGGCCAGAACTGACTAGTATAGGCTTTTCAAACTTTAGCGTGCAGAAGAATCACCTGTGGATCTAATTAAGATGCAGGTTGTGATCCAGTAGGTCTGGGGAGGGGCCGGGCCTGGAATCCTACATTTCTAACAAGCTGCCAGATGGTGCTGATTCTGCTAGTCCATAGATCACACGTTTTCTTTCATTCTTTCTTTGTCTTTGTCTTTTTTTTTTTTGAGACAGGGTCTTGTGCCGTCATCCAGGCTGAAGTGCAGTGGTGTGATCTCAGCTCACTGCAACCTCCACCTTCTAGGCTTAAGCGATTCTCTTGCCTTAGCCTCCCAAGTAGCTGGGATTACAGGCATATGCAACCACTGCTGGCTAATTTTTGTATTTTTAGTAGAGACGGGGTTTTACCATGTTGGCCAGGCTGGTCTCGAACTTCTGATCTCAAACGATCCACCTGCCTTGGCCTCCCAAAGCGCTGGCATTACAGGCGTGAGCCACCATGCCCAGCCCATGGATCACACTTTGAGTAGCAAGGGGCTAAGGGATCCTGACATAGCATTTTGGGGTCCTGCAGCTTCAACTTACTCTGCTGCCTGTTCCCATGACCTCTAAGACTGCTCTTCTCGAGACAGCATCCTTGTTCTGCACTGGTTCCTTTGGAGCAGCTGCTCAGCCCTGCTAAAGGCATCTTGCTCAGTGCAATATTAGTTTGCTGCGGAAGATCTGGGACCTGGGCTCCTCTCCTCATTCTCCTTGATCTTAGTTTTGGTTCTGCCAGGACTTTGCTGGGCAATCTTTGTCATGTCCTTTCCCCTTTTTAGATTCAATTTCTTGATTTGCAAAACAAGACAGTAGGAGAGAGTCACTTTCTAGTTTAGGCATTCTGAAGTTCTGTGAATCTGTGATACCAGCTGGTTGGTGCATTTTCCTGCCAGGCCATAAGCAGTACTTGCCTTTATTTCTGGGCTCCAGTGGGGGTCTTCAGAGATACATAGATGCATATAGTCAGGACAAGAGTTAGGAGGAGTAAAGGTAAGGGTTCAATCCAAACCTTTTGGAATAGTAACAGGGTGGCCCAGAGAGATGAAGAATGATTGGGGCACAGGAATCTTCTTGCTTTGGGGCCTAAACGACATCTCCAGGGAATGGCTACTCATTGGGCACATATGAGCCAGGCACTGTGCCAAGAGCTAATGGGAGACACTTGTCATTCTTTCTGGCCACACACTCTGGAGCCGCTTTTTTTTTTTTTTTTTTTAATATTTGTGAATTCGCCACCTCATAAACCCATGTCTCTTTAATGCACAACTCAGAAACCCACTCGCCCAACCTCCCTTGCAGCTAGAGCACAGACATGTGACCTAGGATCTGTCAATCAGGTGAGTCCTTGCTGGACTCTGAATTGGTGGCTAGAAGCAGCAGACACTGTGTTTGATCTGTTCTGGAGGGGGAGGTGTTAAGTATGTCCAGACTGCAGAGTCAGCTATGGTGGGGCTTCTAGCAAGATCTGTCCCTTGTGAATGTTGAATATTCACAGCATCTGTAGTGCAGATTGCCTGGTCTGGACTCTGGAGTGGTGGCAGCGGGTTCTGTACTGTGGTCAAGATGTTTCTTCTGGCTTTCTAAATGTGTCCTAATTGGATTCTCAGGGCCTCCCAAAGCTTGTCTTTCCTGGTTAAACTGGTTAGAGTGGGCTTCCATGTTTATAAATAAGAATCTTGACTGCTTACAACACTTTATGTGTGTTATCTCATTGAATTCTTTTTTTAATTTTTGAGATGGAGTCTTGCTCTGTTGCCCAGGCTGGAGTGCAGTGGTGCGATCTTGGCTCACTGCAACCTCCACCTCCAGGGTTCAAGCGAGTCTCATGCCGCAGCCTCCCAGGTAGCTGGGATTACAGGCACACAGCACCATGCCTGGCTAATTTTTGTATTTTTAGTAGAGACTAATAAGGTTCACCATGTTGGCCAGGCTGGTCTCAAACTCCTGACCTCAAGTGATCCACCTGCCTTGGCCTCCCAAAGTGCTGGGATTACAGGTGTGAGCCACCGTGCCTGGCCCTCCTTGAATTCTCACAGTAACCTAGTGAGGTAGGTGTTATTATCCTCTTCTTGTAACTGAAGAAACTGAGTCAAGAAGAGATGAACTAACTTGCTCAAGGTTCCACTGTCGATAAGTGGAGGCCCAGGATTTGAGTCCAGATCCTCTGGTTCCAAAGCACACATTCTTAACCACCATGCATCTCCTGTCAGAGATTTGTGGGTGTGGAAAGGTCCTTGCAAATCACTTGTCAGTAGTACAGGGTTTCATGAGATCTACACCTGGGCTGGGCACGCCTGTTGGTTTTTTACTGACAACGCATAATTTTTCGAGGAGTGGTAATCAGAGGCAACCGTTCTAGTGACAGTGATTCAGGCGTAAACACTTGGCTTTGGCCCAGAGGTTGCACTGTGTGAGACCACAGGTGAACACTAGAATGTTTACACTCTTCCGGAGTCTGTAGGTGGATGCCAGGGACAGAGAATGAGATTGTAACCCAGAGAAAGAAAGAAAAGAAAGAACGAACAAACAAAAGAAAGAAAGAACGAACGAATGGACAAAAGAAAGAACGAATGAAAGAAAGGGCCAGCCCCTGGGGCCTCCTTAGATAAGGAAGAGAAAGGAGACCTTGCCTCAAGCTCAGAAACTGGTTAAAACACGAGCCCAGTCACCTAGTGATAAGCAGTGCTTGGTTCTATTAACTCTGACAACATAGTACTATCTTGGGCAGAGCTCTTTGGAGAAGCAGGTTGGCTAACTGGCCAACCTCAGTTGATTCTCATGGTCTTGGAACTTTCCTGGGGGTCCAACTTCCTCCGTTCTGCCCCTCTTTTTTCTCTACCTTCTATCGTTTTATTCTTTGTCTCCTTTATTTTTCTTCAACAAATATTTTTGAGCACCTATTGTTAACAATTCAACCAATATTTATTGGGTGTTTGCTCGGTGCCACTTACAGTTCTAAGTGCTGGAGATACAGCAGTGAACTAGCCAGACAAGCTGTCATAGAGTTTCCAATTTAGTGGCAGTGGGGTAGTCCAGTAGGCATGAAGCCAGGCAGGTACCAGTTGTTGAGGTGGTGGTAGTTCCACCCAGTACTAGGAAGATAACATTCTTATCCCCATTTTACAGATGAAGACACTGAGGCAAGAGAGCTTAAATTAATTGCCTGAGGTCTCACAGGTAGGCTGGGATCTCTGTGAGATCTAGGAGTGCCAGAGCCACTTGGGTCCAGCCACCCACACCTCTTCCCTGTGCCTCAGGCTGGGATGACACCCAGAGCCTCTCCTTTCTCCCTCACCTGGGCCCAGAGACCACCTCCTTCCCTCTCCTTGCATTGCTGCTGCCCATGCTAACCGAAGGAGCCTCGCCGTGGGGCGGATGTGGCCTCCCCAGTGGCCCACTTCCTCCTGCTTCTGCCAACAGCAGCATTGGCCCCTATGATTTGAATTTTTTTTTTTTTTTTTTTTTTTTTTCTGTTGATCCCTCTAGCGGCACCAGATGTGGGTGGGGTGGAGGGTGGGTACACCCACACTCCCTTAAGCCTGGAAGTAACCTAGGTTCCAGACTCTGTGTGTCCCTGAATGGTAATAGTGACTCTCTTCTTAGCTGTCTGTCCCACTGGGTCCTCCCACTCCCCAACTGGTGCTCCTGCTTTTCCTCAGAATGGGGGACATAAATCTCCTTCTAGTCCCAACCCATTGTCAGGCAGGGCTTCCTCCTGGAGGGCTGACTTCCCAGGACTGGGCCAGCTAAAAGCTAAGCAGTATGGGTAAGAGCACGGGGTTCTGGAGTCAGACAGACCTAAGTTCAAACCCCAGTACTGCCGTGGACAAGCTGTGTGGCCTCAGACAAGTTGATTAACCTCTCTGAGTTCCTTTTAAAATAGGCTGAGGTCTGTAGGGATAAGGTACCTGAGGTCTTAGTGCCTGGCACAGAGTAAACCCACGTGTTGGCTGTTTCCATTATTGGGTAGAACAGAGGGGCCTCCTGGCATCAGTGGGCATTTTGGGCCTGCTGCTGTCTTGTCTATCTAGGCCTTGGTTTTGCCTTTCAGGCTGGTGCCTCTTTGCAGTTTCACTTTAGCAAGTGAAACTTTATTTTTCCTGTTTCTCCTGATCTGTTTCCTCCTTATTTTCCATAGTGAATAATCACACATAAGCCTTTCTTTTCTCAGGGCAAGGTTGCTGTCTGTGAAGGAGTGGAATGCCTGAGCATCCCTGGTAGGAAAGGAAGAGTGACCAGCATCAATGGGGTACTCTATTCCCTGAGTAGCAAGCCCTCTTCCCGCCTTGTCCCTGGCTCCCACACCTGTTATCCTGCCGGCAGTCATCTCCAGTATCCCAGAGGAGCCATAGGGATGGGTGTTTGAATATAAGAACACTCTGCAGCTCAGATATGCGGCATTACTTTTCCTGTTTGACTCAGTTCTGCAGAGGGTTGCTGAGTGACTGTCATGTGCAAAGCACGTGGGAGGAAAGATGAATAATGAGAGCAATCGAATGCCCATTCCCTTGCATCCAGGGTGCTCTACTAGACCTGCGTTCTTCCATCATTCTTTCAGCCCACGTGGTTGCCAATACTGGGAGTTATCAGTCTTTTCCATTTTTGCCAATCTAATGGATAAAATATCTTGTATTAATTTGCATTTCCCAGATATTCATGAGATTAGGCATACGCTTTTTGGGCACTTGTATTTTTTTCTCTGGGAATTCCCTCTTCGTATTACTTTGTCAATTTTTCTAGTGGCTTTTTTATTTGAGACAGGGTCTTCCTCTGTCACCCAGGCTGGGGTACAGTGTCCAGATCACAGCTCACTGTAACCTCAACTCCAGTGATCTTCCCACCTTAGCCTCCCTAGTAAATGGGACTACAGGCACACACCACTATGCCAGGCTTTTTTTTTTTTTTTTTTTGTAGAGACAGGGTTTTGCCATGTTGCCCAGGCTGGTCTTAAACTCCTGGGATCAACTCATCCTCCCAACTTAGCCTCCCAAGGTGCTGAGATTACAGGCATGAGCCACTGCACCTGGTCCCCTGTCTTTTTTTTTTTAATTAATTGATAGTAACTCTTTATATATTCTAGATGCCAATCCGTGATTTAGTCTAAAAATAAATCCCCTTGGTCTGTCCTATGTCTTTTCTTTTGGTTTATGAAATCTTTTGTAATACAGGAACGTCACACTTCCACAGTCAAATGTGTCAGTCTTCTAAATAGATATAGGTACCTTGTATATACTCCTTGATATATCACATTGATTGGTGGTGACCTGTTTGTCTCCCTGGCTGTCAGACTGTGAGAAACTTGAGGGCAGGGGCTGTACTTTATTCTTCTCTGTCTCTCTAGGGACTAGTGCAAAGCTGGGCACAGAGTTTTGTGCCTGAATGAGTTTTTTTTGTGTGTAAACGTGGTATAAAACAGGTCTTGTGACTGAATGAGGGAATGAATGAAAAAGCCCTGTCCTGCCCTCCCTGCAGAGATGGGGTCTGCTGCAGAGATGGGAGTGAGTCAGGGAGTGAATCACAAGCTCTTCCGTGGCTCAGCT
Organism: Homo sapiens; assembly: GCF_000001405.40. Classification (NCBI taxonomy): domain Eukaryota; kingdom Metazoa; phylum Chordata; class Mammalia; order Primates; family Hominidae; genus Homo; species Homo sapiens. The sequence goes on from NC_000016.10 coordinate 23,952,229, forward strand.
GACATTTCAAAAGCCCTGAGCAGAGAAGCCCCCCTCATTCCAAGAGAGCCTCCGCCTCTTTGAGCAGGCACAGTGAAGCTCTGCTGATTATCAAACTCTGTGTGTGTATGTGCACGCACGTCAGGGGTTTAGCAGTTAAAACTCTTAGTGCTGCATATTCTGCGTATGTGTGAACAAGGCTTTAAAAAATCTCTCAGAGGACCTGTGTATGTGTGTGGGTGCTGGGGGCTGCATAGAGAGAGAGTTAAAAGAGATGAGGGGGTGTTTAGAATCGTTGCAATGTATTGCATTTGTTTCTGGGAGGGTGGGGCGACTGGAGGGGGTTAAATAGCTCCCAGAGGCGCTCTTGTGAGCGGAGCTTCCTGAAATCTCTTTATCTGTGGCCACATGCTGTTCTTGGTTGTCCACGTGGTTCCCTGGTGTCCCTGTTGCTGAAGGCACTTCTGTTTTGTTCTTGGAGGCTTGGCTTCTCATTGCCATTTTCTAAAGCAGTAGAGAGTGCCAGTTAGATTGTTAGACCCAAATAATCTGAAATGTGTGAAAAAATAGTAAATATTTACTGTACCTTTTGTGGAACAGGTTATTGCCATGGAAATGCACTGTACACGAATCTGGATGATGGAGGGAAGCTGGCTCAGGAGCTATGGGAGTGTTTGGATACCATGCCGCCTGAATTGGCAGGTTTAGGAGTGAGTGCCGTGGGTTTAGAATCACAGTGTGGTTGGGTGAGGCTGAAACACTTGGTCCCCAGTCAACCTGTACTGAGAGGGGCATTTATTCATTGCTTCCCACATGCAGGGTGCTTCCTAGAGCATTCTCCATGCATTATTGCGTTTAATCATCATGCCACCCCAATGAGGTGCCATTATCCTCCCTGTTTTACGGAGACACAGAGTGTTTGATCTACTTGCTTGAAGGTACGCAGTCAATGAATGGCAGAGCCCCCTGACTCTGTTCTCTGGAGCTTGATCCTTCCCTGCTCAGCTGTTTCTCTCACTGTGATTTACCCTAGAGAAAGCTAACCAGCTGTCTACCGGGGTTTTATTTTCCAATATTGACTTCGGGGCTGACATTTAGAAACCATCAACAATTTCCAGCTTCTCTTGAAAATGTGCACAATCTGGCTACTGTGTGGGGCTTCCCTAGTGGCTGCTCCCGAGCAGCCATCCAGGTTAGCCGGGCATCAGCTCTGCAGTTGGCGCTGGGCATCCTCCTGTTGCAGCTGGGGAGAAAGCATGGGGTATCACACCCAGGGGCTCCTTGAATTAATTGAGAACTGTCTGTTGAGAGCTCCTCATCCTGTTAGACTTGACATTTAATTTAGCTGTTGTTTTCATTTGCCAATTAGAGCTTTTGAGATTCTTTTGATTTTCTTCCTGTGGTCTCAAGGAATTTGTGGGTGGTTGAGTGAAGATCTTCATGGCAGGAAAGGAAGGCTGCAACAGGAGATGTAATGCGTGAGCACATTCATTCATTCATTCATTCATTTACTTGTTTATTCATTTGTTCAACATATTCATTGAGTATTGGATGTTGAAGTTACAACAGTGGAAGTATGGCAATAAATAAGACAGACCCAGTCACTGCTCTCAAGGAGCATATAGTCAAAGAGGGCAGTCAGACATCAACTATGATGCACGTTACAGGGAAGGCATCCATCTTTTTTTTTTTTCTGTGTCACCCAGGCTGGAATGCAGTGATGTGATCTCAGCTCACTGCAACCTCTGCCTCCCGGGTTCAAGCGATTCTCCTGCCTCAGCCTTCCAAGTAGCTGAGATTACAGGCACCCACCACCATGCCCGGCTAATTTTTTTTTAAATTTTATTATTATTATATTTTAAGTTTTAGGGTACATGTGCACAATGTGCAGGTTTGTTACATATGTATACATGTGCCATGTAGTAGAGACGGGGTTTCATCATGTTGACCAGGCTGGTCTTGAACTCCTGACCTCAGGTGATCTGCCCACCTTGGCCTCTCAAAGTGCTGGGATTACAGGCATGAGACACCACGCCTGACCAGGGAAGGCATCGATCTTAGACTGACTTAGTGGTGTCTAGGTCTCTGAAGGAGGTGTCAGAGAAGGTCTCCTTGGCTAATCTTTGTGACCACCGGAGCTCTGTTAGTTTCATAAGACATAAGTCTCAGCAACTGTTGCAGAAAGACCCTTCCTCAGTAAGGATGATGGGCTCCTCGGGCTCTTGCCCTTCCCGTCCTGGGAGGAACCTTCTATCAAGAGCCATGGCTAGTCATTTCATCCATTGGGAATGAGCTTACTGGCTCCATTTATGAGAGTTAGTTTAGACTGAGGAGTAAAGGAGGAGTGAAGGAGTTTGGGAGTTGTCAGTGATAAGCATGCACATTTGGAGTTGACAGGACAGCATGGACACTAGAGCCTGAACACCTTAGTTCAGCTTAGCTGCACTGCCTATTATGTGATACTGGGCTGGTTTCTTAACTGTTCTATGCCTCAGTTTCCCCATCTGAAGTTGGGAATAAAATACTCATCTCATAGGGTTATTGTGAAGAGTAAATGAGTCAAGCTGGGTGTAGCGGCTCATGCCTGTAATCCCAGCACTTTGGAAGGCCGAAGTGGGTGGATGGCTTGAGGTCAGGAGTTTGAGAACAGTCTGGACAACACGATGAAACCCTGTCTCTACTAAAACTACAGAACATTAGCTGGGATTACACATATGCAGGTGTGTAATCCCATGAAACACATTTCAAATAATTGCTAAAATTTTTCAAGCTGTGGCATAAGAGACAACAGTCCTGAAGAGGACTGAAAGGTCTTGGGATGCAGGGGAGCTTAATGTATTAAAAGGTGACATTTTGGATCAGTAGGGAAAAAATTACACACAGGTGTGTGTGTAATCCCAGCTACTTGGGAGGTTGAGGCACGACAATCACTTGAATCTGGGAGGTGGAGGTTGTAGTGAGCCAAGATGGCACCACTGCACTCCAGCCTGGGCGAGCGAGACTGTCTCAAACACACACACATGCACACACACACACACACACACAGCCAGGCAAAGGATGAAGAGAAGCAGTTAATAAATGTGAGCCATTCACGTGTGTATTATGATTATCACGTGATATCAGCCAGTCCTGCTTGAGACTCACTTTTCCGACAGTTCTTTCTTCGGTGGACTGTACCCATGCCCCTGTGTGCCATATATTTGTGATTTCCAGCCTTCCTTTCTGATAACTTCAATTCATTGCTCTTCCCAGGCAAGTCCTTCAATGGTTATGGGGTGCCGCGCTTGCCCTCATCCCCAGCTGAGTGTTCTGCGTTTGGGGACTTGTGTTTATAAGTGTGGGAGGCTGTCCCCTGGGGGTTACTGCCCAGACAGTTAGGGTTGTCCATAATAACAGAAAAGTGCATGGAGAGAGAAGGTGCAGGTCCGCCTATTTGATGTTGGGTAGGATGTGCTGCTTGATGACCGGTGAAACATTTACTTCTCCCACCATGGGCGAGACCTTGGATGTGTCCTTTACCTCTCTCTTTGTCACTTCTGTCCTGAACTGCCCATGAGTGACCAGGGGCTTCCGACAGAAGTGTCTCACAATCCAACCACACAGCAGAAAGGCATTTTCCTTTGGATTTGAGCTTTGTCCCTGCACTGACTTTTTGTGTCATCTCCTCTTCATTCAATGTGAGATACTCACCTTGATTCATAGAATGTTTTCTCATTCCAGGTTTGTATTTTTTTAATCACCAAAAGAAGCACTTATCATAAAAGACTGTGATGATGTATAACTGTGTATTTAGTTTGAAAATCTTCACCTTATAGAAGCAATAAACAATATTTAGGTGTATTATCCTGTGAAATTTTTATAAATATAAGACTTTATTACGAATAAACAAAAAAAGAGATCATATCCTATATACTTTTTTTATAATTTTTTTTGAGAGAGGGCCTTGCTGTGTCATCTAGGCTGAAGTGCAGTGGTGTGATCTCAGCTCACTGCAACCTCCACCTCCAGGGCTCAATCCTCCCACCTCAGACTCTCAAGTAGCTGGGACTACAGGCACGCGCCACCACGTCCAGCTAATTTTTGTAATATTTTTTTTTTGTAGAGATGGGGTTTTGCCCTGTTGCCCAGGCTAGTAACTTTTTCCCTTATTAATACCTTATTTAGATCCACCTTATGTTTTAAATGGCTGCAGAGTGTTTCATAATATGGCCACCATATTATTTACATTCATATTTATAATTTGTCTAAAACATTAGCAATAGGCATTTGGATTATTTCCAAGTTTTCTCTATAATGAACAGTGCAACAGTGAACACTCTTGGGCACTGTAGTGGGGATTTCCATAGAACAATTCTTAGAAATGGGGTGTTTAGGGCAAAGGATATTAACATTTTTAGTTGTAATAGATATTGCTAAATTGCTCTCAAATGTTGTGCCAATTTATGCACCCACCAACAGCGCACGAAAGTGCCTCTTAGAAAATGTCTTTTAGAAGATAAAATACCTATTGTTAAGCCATGAAACACATTTCAAATAATTGCTAAAATTTTTCTAGCTGTGGCATAAGAGACAAGAGTCCTGAGGAGGACTGAAAGGTCTTGGGATGCAGGGGAGCTTAATGTATTAAAAGGTGACATTTTGGATCAGTAGGAAAAAAAATGGCTTATTTAATACATGGTGCTGGCATAATTGGGAGGCCATGTGGAAGGATGCTGAGTTTGATTCCTAACTCATACAAAAATAAATTACAGGTGGAGTAAGCTATAGGCAGTAAAAAAAAAAAAAAAAAAAAAAAAAAAGAATATTAGAGGAAGTTTTAGGAGCATACTTCTGTAACCTTGAGTGAGGGAAATCCAGAAGCCATAAAGAAAAAGATTAGACAGTTTCAATTATGTAAAAATAATTTAATCTTTTAAAAGGAGAATGTATTCATGAATTGCTTATGTAATAAGAAAGACTATTAAAAATAGGTCCAGTAGATAATGTACAATGGTTTCCAATGTGAATAAAGTTGAAGTTAATAAAGAAAAGAAAGTTTTAGGACATGTCAGGGAGTTTTTGTTCAAGGATTGAGATTCTGCAATGTTTATTCTAAATAAAGATGAATGATAGACTAGTGCACATGTAGTAAACTAGTAAATGTGTAGCCCATAAACCTTGTAAGCCCTGGAAGGGTAAAGAAAAAGGGAAGGAAATGTTGTTTTCTGCCTCTTTATTTTTTGTTGTTTTGAGAAAGTTGAGTACCCACCCAAAGCCCCAGGTGTCCCAGGAGAGAGAAGATTGAAAACATGCCATCAAAACAGGAGCTTCAGCCTCAGCCACAAGCTCCAGTGTTTACTGGGGGCCAGTGCCCTTATTCCCACGTGAAGCATCTGCCTTTTTTGCCCCCTTGAAGTCTGAGTCTCTCGTCTGTTCCTGGAGATTTTTAGCCAAGCCCCTCCTCCCCACCCCTCACCTTAGTATTTGTACCACCCTCTGAATCAACCCCAAAGACACCCCTTTGTACTCTTCCCTTCATCTGGCCATCACCAGGGTACTGTGGTCATTGAAGCTGAGTGTGTGCCCTCACTTTCCGTAAACTCACAGTTCCTTTATTCTGCACCTTCAGGGATTGCAAATCGTTAAGGGTATGCCTTCAAATACCAGCCCTCTGACTTCCTAGCTCAATAACCTCACACAGCTCTATATCTCAGTTTCCTCATCTGAAAAACAGTCATGAAATGGCACCACCTCCTAGCATTAATGTGAAGATTGTTATTATTATGTGTTATTAATTATTATTATGTTATCCTATTAATATATGAGACAGAATCTCACTCTGTTGCCCAGGCTGGAGTGCAGTGGCACAATCTTGGCTCACTGCAACCTCTGCTTCCCAAGTTCAAGGGATTCTCCTGCCTCAGCCTCCTGAGTAGCTGGGATTACAGGTGTGTGCCACCACGCCTGGCTAATTTTTGTATTTTTAGTAGAGACAGGGTTTCGCCATGTTGGCCAGGGTGGTCTTGAACTCCTGATCTCAGGTGATCTGCCCACCTTGGCCTCCCAAAGTACTGGGATTACAAGTGTGAGCCACTGCGCCTGGCCTATCTTATTATTATTATTATTATTACTTTTTGAGATGGGATCTCACTCTGTCACCCAGGTGGGAGTGCAGCAGTGCAATCTCAGCTCACTGCAATGTCTGCCTCCTGGGTTCAAGCGATTCTTCTGCCTCAGCCTCCTGAGTAGCTGGGACCACAGGCACCCACCACCATGCCCGGCTAATTTTTGCATTTTTAGTAGAGATGGGGTGTCACCATATTGGCCAGGCTGATCTCGAACTCCTGACCTCGTGATCCACCCACCTCGGCCTCCCAATGTGCTGGGATTACAGGTGTGAGCCACTGCGCCCAGCCTCTTTTTATTATTATACTTAGCACGGCACTTGGCACTTAGGAAATGTTCAGTATATGTTAGCTATTATTGGCTACTGTTATTTCTTCTTCTTCTCCTCCTCCTCTTCTTCTTTCTCCTCTTATTCCTCCTCCTCCCCCACTCCCTTCCACCCCCTCTTCTTATTCCTCCTCCTTCTCCTCATTATTATTTTAAGTACCTCCTTACCAATGCCTACAGAAATAGACTGACCTAGTACCAGGATCTAGAGGAGTTCAATCAAGTTCGTCTGTTGCCTTCAAGGTAACAGCGTAGTGGTGGTTCCGAGCCAGATGCCAGACCCAGTCTGCCTTTGTTCAAATCCTGGTTTTACACTTAATACTGTAGGTACCTCGGGCAAGTTACCTAACATTTCTTCACCTCAATTTCTCCATTTGTAAAATGTATATAATGATAGTACCTACCACGCATGGTTGTTAGGAAGATTAAATCAATTAATATTTGTAAAGTAGAGCAGCCGGCTCATTGTAAGTATTGGGAGTATTGGTTAAAATAATTACAAAATAAACAATCTCACTTAGATACATCCCTTACCCCCTGTGGATTATGTCAAGGGTGAAAGAAACAGTGTGCTTGAAATCCTGCTGTGCGCCGAGCTGTATATCAGAGGTGTTATGGTGATTCGTCATCATTCTCCTGACCACTTTCCATTTTTCTTTTAGAGTCAACACTGGCCAATCTTTAGGGAGGAGCTCTGATCATTGAGAAACTGACACTGTGGAAGGGGGCATTTCTGACTCTCTCTTCCTAGCTCCATTTGATCTTCCTAAATCTTTCAATAATGTGTCATTGGGGTAGGACCAAAGAAAAACGGGGTGAATGTACGGTTGCTGCTTTGTTTCCCATAGTGGGAGTGACTCTGATGTTTCACAAAGGCAGGGGTGGAGAGGCAGCGCCTCGCAGGAAAGCCTTCTTGCTAAATCGAGGACTTCTGCACAGAAATAGATACAAACTTGCTTACTGTTTAAATAGAATATTAGCGATTATCTTTTATCCAGCTGGAGTCTCCTCGGTTTGGTACTGCCTCAAATGAGCAGCCTGCAATCTTGGGTGTCACTTCCTCACTGGTTCTGCTTTCCATAACTGTGTTGAAATCACTCCCCCAGAAGGTCACCAAAAGGGAAAATATTAGTGTGTGTTTATTGGCACGATCTTGCAGGTGCTGGGCTAAGTGTAGACATGATTTATTTTCATTTAATCTTCAAGGTAGTTCTAGGCGATGTCCCCCCACTTTGCAGATGGGGACACTGATGTGCAGGAAATGAAGTGACATGCTGTAGCACTGTTGGTGCTCTGCTGTGTCCCCTCACCCTTCCATTTCATTGCATTCTGGCCTGGCTTCCAATGGGCAGCAACTGCAGCTGTTCACCTGAGGGCTTGCTCTGCCGTAGTCCATTCGGTCCATAGGCATGTCAGGCTGTGGAAGCACAGGAGGAGAGGTGAGGGATGGTGCAGGAGAGAGGAGAGGATGATTAATGTCCCCCAGGGCCCATCCTCAACCAATGACTTATGGGAAACAACCTCCTAGAGTTGTATTAAGCTCCAGTGACCCAGAATGGTAACAAGCTCACAAACACTTCCTTTTTTAAAAAATTTCACAAAAATACTTTATTATACCCATACCTCCTTGTTTTAGCCCATCCCAGTACGGTGGTATCTTCAGAACACTTCCACTTTCCCCTCTCCTCACCTCTTCCCTCCCACCCTTGAGATGTAATCTTTGGACCACTTTTACTTCTTTGCTTTCTCTCAGCACCCTTTCTCCCCTACTCTATGGTGACTTTGTGTTTTTGAATTGAAGTCGTTTCATGTCTGTGTCTTTTTTTTTTCTTCAACTGTTATTTTAAGTTCTAGGGTACATGTGCAGGATGTGCAGATTTGTTACATAGGTAAACACGTGCCATGGTGGTTTGCTGCACAGATCGACCCATCACCTAGGTATTAAGCCCAGCATCCATTAGCTATTCTTCCTGATGCTCTCCCTCTTCCCTCCCCACTCTGACATGGCCCAGTGTGTGTCATTCCCCACCACCAAATGTCCATGTGTTCTCATTATTCAGCGCCCACTTATAAGTGAGAACATGCAGTAAAACACTGCCTTTATAGGCTTCCTTCCCTTCACTGTCTTACTTCCCCACTCCCTACTGCTGCTCTCTGGGATCACCTCTCACAGAAGCTGTTTGTACTTTAATCATTGTCTGAGAGTCTGGGGTATCCCAAACTAAGATAATTGCCCAAGGTCTTAGCTAAATTCAACAGCCCTATTTGTCTTTATCCTCCTTGTGGCAATGCCACTACTAATGGATGTCCCTTCTTAAAATTCTTCCCCATTTTGGCTTTTGTGACACGTAATAGAATTCTTCTACTTCTGATTATTTCTTTCCTTTTTCATTAATTGGCAGCTCTTTCTTTTTAAAAAAATTTGCTAGATTTTTGCTTATTTTTTTTTTTAAGAAATGAGGTCTCATTATGTTGCGCAGACTGGCCTTGGAATCCTAGGCTCAAGCGATCCTCCCATCTCGTCCTCCGAAGTGCTGGGATTACAGGCGTGAGCCACTGTGCCCATCTTTCTTTTCCTTTCTTTAGCCACCCAGTTTTAGGTACCTCCAGTATCCCAGTATTTTAGTTGTAAGTGACAGAAAATCTGACTCAAATTGGTTTATGTATAACAAAATGTAAGTTATTGGATCACATACTTGGGAATCTTAGGATAGGTGGCTTCAGGGAAGATATGATCAAGGTGTTCAGCAATCTGATTCTCTCTCCATCATGATTCAGCTTTCCTCTGTATTGCTTGATTCTCAGGCATGTGCTTGACTAATGAGGCAACAACAACTTGCAGGTCCAATCTTATCTTCATCAATGGTATCTTAACTACATCAGTGGTATAGGACTGCTTCTTTCCTTAGAGTCCCACTGTAAGTTTTGGGTTTCATTCTCATTGGCCTGTGTTGAGTGATGTATACATTTCTAAACCAATCACAGTTGCCACGGAGATGTAATACAGGTTGAGCATCTCTTATCCAAAATGCTTGGGACCAGAAGCATTTCTGAGTGTGGATTTTTTTTTTCTTCAGATTTTGAACTATTTGCATTTTACTTGCCAGTTGAGCATCCCAAATCCAAAAAGTTAAAATCCAAAATGCTCCAATGAGCCTTTCCTTGGAGCATCATGTCAGTGCTCAAAAGGTTTTGGGTTTTGGAGCATTTCACATTTTGGGTTCCTGGATTTGGGGTGCCCTCATTTCCCAGGCTGGGTCACATAATCACCCTTGGAGCTAAGGTTAGAGTTGAGCCCTACTCCATAAGGACTGAGAGTGGGGAGAGGTGATTTCGCAAAGGAAAGTCAAAGTGCTGTCACATGAGGGGATGGGTACTGGAGAGGCAAAAACAACAGATGTTCATACTCCGCATCTCTGGGTTCATTTATCTGCTCTTCTCTTTCTCTGTGAATCATCTGATGATTTCCACTCCTGCCTGCCTGAGTAGGACTCTGAAACTCCTGCCTCCAGATCTGACTCCACTTCTGAGTTGTAGCCTCCTTTCCCCCACCCTCTAGAGTTAGGCATTTCCATTTGGTGGTGCCATGCAGACCTGAAACTCAGTGTGCCACAACCCTCGCCACCTCCCACCTGGTTTCGCTCCCTAACGTCCCTGTCTTTGTCAGTGGTGCCAGTTGGGTTTCCATCTCTCCCTCATCCGTCCCAACCCCCACCTAATTTCCAGCCCCATTGTGCTGCTTTTGATTCCTTGAATGCACCTTTGCAATGCTTTTCCTTGGTTTGTAACCCTCTTTAGCATATTCTTGGTTTGGTGAACCCCTGGCCATATTTAGATATCAGCTCAGAATTCACTTATTTGGGAACCTCTAACCTGGTCACCCATCTCTGCCAAGCCTGAGTTAGATGCTCTTTCCCTGAGTTCTACTAGGCCTTCATCTCGTCTACCACAGCACTTCTCACTCAGACTCCAATGACTGGCTCCATTGCCTGCCTTCCCCGTAAGGGCAGGGGCACATCTGTGTAATTCACCATTGTATCTTCAGCAGTCCAGCCTGACAATTGAGTCTAGGCTGGTGTCCAACAAACCAGTCTTTGTTTTTTTTTTCTTTTATTTTAATTTTGATAGTTTTGGGGGAGCAAGTGGTTTTTTTGGTTACATGGATAAGTTCTTTCATGGTGATTTCTGAGATTTTGGTGCACCCATCACTGTAACAGTATATGTGGTATCCAATATGTAGTCTTTTATTCTTCACCCCCTCCCACCATTCCCCGGAGTCCTCAAAGTCCATTATATCACTCTTATGCTTTTGCATCCTCATAGCTTAGCTTCATTTACAAGTGAGAATATATGGTATTTGGTTTTCCAGTCCTGAGTTACTTCCCTTAGAACAATGGCCTCCAACTTCATCCAAGGTGCTGCAAAGGCCATTATTTCGTTCCGTTTTATGGCTGAGTAGTATTCCATCATGTATGTGTACCACATTTTCTTTATCCACTAGAGATAAACCAGGTTTTGAATTCAGGATCCACCTCTCCTGAGCTGTGAGCACATGGGCAAGTTTCCTCACCAGTCCAAGCCTGTTTTCTCATCTCTAAAATGGAGACAATGACGGTTCCTCCCTCACTGAGCACTTGTGAGAAGTAAGTGGTGATCACGGTTACAAAGTGTTCAGCACAGTGCCTGGAACACGGTAAGCGTTCAATCAGTGCCAATGATCATTTATTATACTCACTATGAACATTATTTTTACCTCATGCAGTGTCTAGAACATAATCAACTCTCAACAAATGACAGCTCTTATTATTAGCCAAGAATGGAACCTGAAACATAGTACGCTCCATGGATCATTGAAGCTTTGTTTTTGAAAGTTTGAAATTAACAAAAAGAGCCTTTGATGTTTCCCTTGCTGCACATTCTTCCCCTCCAGGTGGAGTGGGCAGTTTCCACTGGGTGCTGGAACCAACCCTCCTGTAGTTGGAGGTGATCTTCTCTGATGTCACTAGGGTGCCGAGGTGATGTGTCACCAGCACTTGTTTGCTTGTGTGATGTAATGAGGGTGGACTTGCTTCTCCTAGGGAAGAGCCTCATTAAGGTTAGCAAGGGGCTTGTTCCTGGGAAGTTCTAAGGACCGCCTGGGGCTGCCACATAAGGAACTCCCCTTTTCTCATTTTGTCTCCGGTAAGTTGTTATTGATCTGTACATGATGTTTCTCTTTCTTACCAGCCGTGGGAATGGGCCATCCTCTGGCATCACTGTTGCCTTGAACGTTACCATCACCACCGTTGCCATGAAGTCATGACAGCAGCACCATTGGCTCTGGTTTATTGGGTGTCTACCATGGACAGTAGTAGGGCTAGACATTTAGTATACTCCAGGGCTACTGCGGGGATTAAATGAGGTATGAAGCATCTATAACCCCACGGTCCAATAGGGTAGCCACTAGCCATGTGTGCCTACTGAGATATACATTTTAATTAAAGTTAAATAAAGAAAAAATTCAATTTATCATGCACAGTAGCCACATTTCAAGTGCTCAGTATGTGCTCATGGCTGATGTAGCTGGCAGTGAAGATGGGGAACATTGTCATCATCACAGAAAATTCTTCCACAGCGCTGATCTAGATAGAACAGGATTCAGTCCGCTGTGGCTTGTGGATCCATGGACTGAATTCATACACACAGAATTTTGTGGGAACACAGCTGTGCCTGTTTGTTTATGCCTTATCTATGGCTGCCTTTGCGCTACAAGGATGGAATTGAGTAGTTGTGACAGAGACCATGTGGCCTGCAAAACCTAAAATACTCAGTCTCTTATCCTTGAAGAAAAAGTTTGTCAGCCTCTGGTCTAGAACATTGCCTGGCTCTTGGTAAGGTTAAATACATGTTTGGAACTTTTTATTTATTGAAAATAATATACATTTTGTTCTCCACCTAACCTTTTAAGGTAAGTATTGTTATCCCTGTCCTAGAGATGAGAAAACTGGGACTGGAATTCTGTACTGTCACTTCCAGGGGGCAAACACCTCATGAGGTTTTTTTTTTTTTTTTGGCAGTCTTGCTCTGTCTCCCAGGCTGGACTGCAGTGTCGCGATCTCAGCTCACTGCAGCCTCTGCCTCCTGGGGTTCAAGTGATTCTCCTGCTTCAGCCTCCCCAGTAGCTGGGATTATAGGTACCTGCCCCCTCTCCCCGCTAATTCTTGTATTTTTAGTAGAGATAGGGTTTCATCATGTTGGCCAGGCTGGTCTTGAATTCCTGACCTCAAGTGATCCACCCGCCTTGGCCTCCCAAAGTGCTGGGATTACAGGTGTGAGCTACCATGCCTGGTCTCATGAGTCTTGTTCATCACTTACCTCCTTTTGTTCTTCCAGCTTCAGTTTCAGGTTCAGGGGGTACATGTACAGGTTTGTTACATGGGTAAATTGCATGTCCCTGGAGTTTGGTGTACTAATGATTTCATCACCCAGGTAGTGAGCATAGTACCTGATAGTAGTTTTTGATCCTCACCTTCCACCCTCAAGGAGGTCTCAGTGTCTGTTGTTCCCTTCTTTGTGTCATGAGTGCCTGATGTTTAGCTCCCACTTATAAGTGAGAATATGCAGCATTTGGTTTTCTGTTCCTGTATTAACTCACTTAGGATAGTGGCCTCCAGCTGCGTCCATGTTGCAGCAAAGAGCATGGTTTCATTCTTTTTTATGCCTGCATAGTATTCCATGGTGTTTATATACCACATTTTCTTTATCCCATGCACCGTGGATGGGCACCTCCGTTGATTTCTTGTCTTTGCTATTGCATCACTTACTCTTGAATCTGGAGCAGTGCCTAGCACATAATAGACATTCAGGACATGTTTGTTGAGCAATGAATGGATGAGTTAGGAATCAATTACATATAAATCAATAATCAATAATCATCAATGATGAATTTCTATGAACAAATATGAAAATTAGATCGGCCGCATTGTAGAGATGAGGAGACAGCCCTGTAGAAGGAAAGTGCCTCATCAAAATGCAACATCGCTGTGAAAGTGTAGACTTGGAGCTCCAGCTGAAGTCATCTGTGTATTTTCTAAGCTGTCCCCTCTACCATCCTGCCTTCTCCGGGAGCTGCCAAAGTGCAGCGCTGATGCCTCCTCTCTCTGTCCCACAGCCTGACTTTTGTTCAGCTCCTGCTTCTCTTCTTCACCAACTGCCAGCTTCAGCTGCTTTGTGGCACCCTGGGGCTTGAAGCTTCATTTCTGGTGCTGTGGCACCACAAAGCTCTGCCCCAGTGTCACTTGAGTCCAAGTAGATCAGCCAAGTTTGAATGATCTCTCTCTTGGCCACTTCAGTCTATGAAGCTGGAGTTGAGACCATCTGTGATTTTACACATTCGTTACAGCAAAACCAAGAGGGCCATGGGGTAAGAGGGCCATTAAGCTAGAGGCTGAGCAAAACTCTGCTCTTGAAGCACCTTCTGAGATGGCTTCTCATGGAACGTCTGCGCAAAGTGGCTTCACATCCAATTAAGTCAAAGATGCATTAAATGAATCCAGTTTGTAACTGCTTCCAACCATGAAGTCACAGTTCCATCTCTTGCCCTGGGAGGGGCTTCTTTCAGGCTCTGAGGACTGGAGCCCTGGAGACTTTATTGCCTTACGGTTTCCTCCTCTACCATCAGATGTTTCTTTTTCATGTGTTCTGGCCTGGATTTGAATAGACTGCCTGGATTTGAATGCTGCCTTCACCTCTTTCTGGTGTGTAATCTTGGACAAGTTACCTTCTTTCTCAGTGCCTCAGTTTCCTCTTCAGTACAATAAGGATAATAATAAGACCTACCACATAGCTGTAGAGAGGATTAAAGGAGCCAATATGTGGAAAGTATTTACAACAGTGTACTGCATAGTAGCTTTTCTATAAGTGATTATTATTATTATCCCTTCGAATCTAAAATCCCTCTAGTTTGTTTCAGAGGAGCAAGGATTGTGTCTCGCCTGCCTTTAAATCCCTTTAAGTTGGGTGTCTCAAGCCCAACCATCTGCAGGAGACTAGAAGGGGACTTACATGAGTGAATTGAATCAGGTGTGGATTTCTGTGAACTAGAGAATGCAAGGCTGTCTGAAAGGGGAACTATTCCTTATTCATGCATCACATATACACTGGTGTGCCAAGCCCTGTTCTGCATCTGGGGACACAGCAGAGAATGAACCGGGCAAAATTCCCTGCCCCCTTGGAGTTGATGTTGTAGTGGACTAAGCTCTGATGACTCTGTTGCTGCATGAGAATGTGGGCCCACTGCTGACAAAACTTCTGATTTTTCTGTAAGAAAAGCCGGAAACCTGGATTTGTAAAAACCGTGAACTCTCCTAGCTTAAGAATTGGCAGTGGTTTCCATTTTTTTTTTTTTTTAAAGCACAGTACATGCTGTGAACCCAAGAGCCAGTTTGCAGCCCCTGCCTTAAGACACTCCTCTAATTGCTCTGGGAGGAGGCCTGTCTCTGCCCTGCAAATCAGCAGCTGGTCGGATTTCAAGGTCGTTGGTGTGGAGGGCGCCTCCTCCCTCTCCTGCGTGGAGGTTATTGTGGCTTTTTCTGCCCACAGAGCAGATGACGCTGCCACCAGGCAGTGAGTTAGAATATTCCTTCTCTTATCCTTCCTTTTGGATGGTGGCCTTGGCTGGGTTCCCAGCCCCCTGACAGCAGAAGACAAAAGGATGGAAGCAGCTTCCTCATAGTCACCCATGGGGGCGATAGGGTGGTGATGGTGATGTGGAGAAAATGCATTGGGTCAGGACAGCCACCTTTGAAGCCAGAAAATTAATGATCTCTGTTGCCTGAATCTTTTCAAAGTGGAGAAGTAATTTAAAAGCTTGTGTGGGAAGGATTGAGAATGGGATTGAGAAAAGAAGTTTAGGTTGCTATCAGGAACAATTCCTAACAGCAGGAGGTTTTTGGAGAGGCAGTGGTGAAATTCCTTGGAAATTTTTGTGTGGTGTCTTTTTTTCTTTTTTCTTTCTTTCTTTCCTCTTTTTTGTTTTTGTTTTTCTTTTTTTGAGATAGAGTCTCATTCTGTCACATAGGCTGGAGTGCAATGGCACAACCCCGGCCCACTGCAACCTCCACCTCCCAGGTTCAAGAGATTCTCCTGCCTCAGCCTCCCGAGTAGCTGGGACTACAGGCACCCGCCACCATGCCCAGCTAATTTTTGTATGTTTAGTAGAGACAGGGTTTTGCCTTGTTGGCCAGGTTGGCCTTGAACTCCTGACCTCAAGTGAGGTCCACCTGCCGTGGCCTTCCAAAGTGTTTGGATTATAGGCGTGAGCCACTGCGCCGGGCCTTTTATGGTGTCTTTGAAGTGCTTGTTTAAATTTACATGTGGTTGCCTCTCAGTGGGGTGCATGCTCTCTGGTTTTCCCCAAGCCCCACCACTCCCTGTTGTGCTTTACCCACTTGCCTGACTTAGTTATGCTTACTGGCCTGGCCTTTGTGGGTCTTTGAGTTTGTGCCTTCTGCTCTGAAGGAAGCATGCTTGAGATGATGGAATCTAGGTTCAAACCTACCTGCCCTATCTGCCCTTTACTGACTTGTGTGACTGTGGACAAGTTCCTCCACCCCTGAGGTTGTCAGGACCCTGCAGGAAATAGAACCATTCAGGTGGCTGCAAGAAGAAAGTTTCATGAAAGGACTATTTAGGGAGACTTGGGCAAGGTTAAGATTACAAATAAGGAATGTGGAAGCACCTAGGGCCTTGCAACAGCAGGAGGCGGTTACCGTCTGTAAAGAGGAAGAAGCAAGCGGAGGGAATAGTTTGGAGCCTATTGAGAGCTGGGGCTAAGAAGGAAGGCATCGCCAGCAGGAACCATGGTCCTGGAGGGATGAACCGCTTCCCAAATAGCAGTACCGAGGCAGGGAGGAAGAGGGGGAAGAAACACCCCAGCTTCTCTTCACCTCTCCCATTGCCTGTTGGCCTCACCCACTGGCTGAACCCAGCTGGAAACCAGAAGGACCAGATGATGAATTCTGTAAGGGTCAGCCTTTTGGGGCTCAGCTCACAGCAGAATCAGAGAGAAAAAAATGGATCTGAGAGGTGAAACAAGGAACAAGCAGCACGTAACTCTCAGCTTCCCTACCTTGAAAGTGGAGGAGAATGAGATAACTGACCTTGGAAGGTTATTGGGTGGCTCATGTACTCTCGAAGGGAAGGGCCTGGTCAATATTAAGTACTCATAAATGCTGAGATTCAGTGTGGGTTTCAAACCGTTTCTAGGAGCTAAAGGTCCTGAGAAAGGGCTTCAGTTTCAGTATCAAGAGACATTCTCAGGTGGGCAGATCTCTTGAAGCCAGGAGTTCGAGACCAGCCTGCCCATCATGGTGAGACCCCATCTCTACTAAAAATACAAAAATTAGCTGGATGTGGTGGTGGGTGCCTGTAATCCAAGCTACTCAGGAGGCTGAGGCAAGTGAATTGCTTGAACCTGGGAGGCGGAGGTTGCAGTGAGCTGAGATCGCGCCACTGCACTCCAGCCTGGGCGACAGGGTGAGACCCTGTCTCAAAAACCAAAACCAAAAAGACATTCTCCTCCTTCCCCTGCAGTGGGGCCCACTGGGAATGGTTGCATCTTCCATGGGGAGTTTAAAGTGAATGTGTAGTGGCTAAGAGCAAAGACCCTAGAACCAAGTAGGTGGACACTGTGGTAGTCCATCAGTGTGGTAGACACTGATCTTTCTGTTACTATAGATTAATGGCCTTGTACAGTATGCACTATTTTGTGTCTGCCTTCTTTCACTTAAAATAATGTTTTTGAGACTCACGCATGCATGTGCCTGTATTGGAGTCTATTGAGAGCTGGTTTCCAGTCCTGATTGCCACTGACAGTCAAGTTACTTAACTTTTCATGCCTTATTTTCTCATCTGTAAAATGAGGATGTTAGTAGTTTCTACCTCATTGGGTTCTGAGGATTAAAATGAGTTAATCTACGTAAAGAGCTTAACACAGTGTCTAACACATAGTAGACAATCAATAGATGTTAGCTATTGTAATTGCCATCATCGTCATCATCATCATCATTATCATCATCATCGTCACCATCTCCATGGATCAGCTCAAATCAAAACTGACCCATTGTCAATAGAAAAATTCTCTGTGGGATGAAGTCCATGCCACCAGGCCTCTCGGGAACTTCATTGATCATACCATTATCTTCTCATCCTCCCACAGATATGATATTTCAGGGAGTGATTGATAGGTGTGTGTGTGTGTACGTGGGGAAGGGTGGGCTTGTGCCTGACTCCAGGGACAGAGTGCTTTGTTATGCAGAATAGCTTGCCTGTCATCCCACTACAGGCCCCTTCCTTGAAAAGTTCCAGGCTATTTTTGAGCCCTCATGGCTCACATGTTCCTTTCTACATCATGTCAATGCCAGTACAGAAAAATTGAAACCTTTTGGCAGCATCTAAAGCAAAAGAGATTTCAAAGTGCATGGAGGATGAGTGTTGCTCAAATGACAGGGTATTAAAACGTGACAAGAAGGCTGAGTTAAGAGACTGCAGGCAGCTTGTGTGTTTGTATTTGGACCTTGCTGGATTTCTTGGGAAATCAGTGGAGTTGTCCAAGGTTAATGTCATCTCCAAGAAGGCACCAAAGGGTAGTAACACTCCTTCACCCTCATTTGTACATACACTCTGCAAGAGCGGAAGATGATGCAGCCAGTGGAGTGGGCGGTTGTCCCAGAGCACCACCTGGGCTCTGAGCTACAGGATTCTGCAGGGGAAAGCACCTGAGGACAGAGTGAGGTGGGTTGGTGCCACCTGGGAGCTCCAGGCTTTTGTGTGCTGATGTGCAGGCAGATACTGGAGCCAGACCGAATTGTGTGCGAAATGTGGGTCTAAGAGTGAAGGCACCAAACCCTCACTTTTTTTACTTTCATTCAGCCTTCCCATTTTTCTTCAAAGGGCAGAATATGACTTTGGAGTCAGGTAGACCTGAATTCAAATCCCTCTTCTTCTTCAGTGAGTAGCTAAATCTTTCCAATGCTTTATTTAAAAGGAATCACGATCACACTTTCAGGGTTGTTGAGAGGTTTAGAGATTGTGGTGTTACAGGGCCCCTGGGGCTCAAAAGGTGTTTGCTGAACCCCTGTCTTGTGTTAAATAGTCACAATAGTCCCAAGGGGAGGATGAACAGGTAGCACTGCCATTTCATAAACAGGTGACTGAGGTGCAGAGTGGCTTATCCATAATGACACAGGAGGTGAATGCTGGAGCTGGATTGAAGGCTGAGTCATTGGACTCTCCTCTGAGGGAGGCAGTACAGAGTAGTGGTCAGGGCTTGACCAACCTCTAGAGTCCATGGGCAGATTTTCTGGGCCTCTGGCTTAGTTTTCCTCATGCATAAATGGAATGTGGGGATTATAGTAGATGTACTTTCTATGGTTGTGAAGGTTACATATACATGAGATAATTCTATAAATTCTTAGCATGTGCTTGAGTTACAGTAAATATGCAATGAAGTATTCACTACTGTTTTAGTATTATTTTTATTAGAAGCCGTGGCAGTAGTTACCATCATTGTCACCATCTCCATCGATCAGCTCTAATCAAAACTGACCCATTGTCAACAGAAAAATTCCCTGTGGATGAAGTACATGTTGTAGGTGTAGCGGGCAATCGTGATCGCCATCAGAAATTCATATTGGGGTTTGGTTTACAAGTGTTGGCCTCTGGGAGTGTTTCCTACGTGCTCCTTCTCTCCTCCCCTTTGAGGACGGATGGTGTGATGGTTCCTCTCCATTTGGTCCCTCCTCTGGGACCAGCATTCTCCTGCCTTCTTTGTCCTACTCTGTGTCCCAGGAGGTAGACCCCTGTGGACTGTATCTCCTGGACTCCCTTGCTGGTTGACTTTTGTCTGAGTTAAGCCAAAGGGAGGTGGCAGCAAGAGACGAGAAGGTGGGAGGAGAGAGAGTTTGGGGTATTTCCACCTGCAGCTCCCTCTGTCCATCTCTGGCCCCGCTCTGTGATGCTAGCCCCCGCGAGGTTGCCCATCTCTCAGGGTTTCCTCTCTTACTTGCCCCTGTTACGTCATTTCATGGGACTATACCTTTAGCTTTAGGTGCAGAACAGTTTTCCACAGTTAAATGTCTTTAATTGAACATCTAGAATGCAAAACATATTATAAGATAATGTGTTGGATTGTTTTCCTTTAAAAAATGGTACAACCACTTTGCAAAACAATGGCAGTTTCTTATTAAGTTAAACATAGAGTTACAGTATGATACAGCAATTCCACTCCTAGGTATTTATCCAAGAGGAATTAAATTGTATGCCCACACAAAAAATGAATGAATAAATTAAGACTTATAAATGAATGTTCATAGCAGCTTTATTCATAATAACCAGATACTGTTAAAAAAACCCCAGAATATTGATCAGTAGATGAATGGATAAGCAAACTTTAGAATAATCATATAATGGAATATTATTCAGCAGTAAAGATGAACTAACTGCTAATACAGACACGTGCATGCGCGAGTCTCAAAAACATTATTTTAAGTGAAAGAAGGCAGACACAAAATAGTGCATACTGTACGAGGCCATTAATCTATATAGTAACAGAAAGTGGATCAGTGTCTACCACAGGCTGGGGGTGTGTACAGGGAAACTTTTTAGGTGGTGCCCATGCTCTGTATCTCAATTTTGGTGGTACATGCGTATAATACATTTGTATTGTCTTGTATCAAAGTATGCCTCATGAAGTTCAGGTATATGAAAATTTGTATTTGCTTTATTATATTTAAATATCAGAGAATGCAAAATTGTAAAAAGAAAAAGAAATCCTGAAAGTCCTTTTAACTAGAGACAACCACCACCATCCACATTTTATCTATTTCCTTTCAGTTTTTAATTTTTTCCTGTACTTAGGTTTTCCCCTTCACTGTCTTATTTAAATAAAAAAGAAAGCAAATGGAAAGTCTCCCATACGAAGGCCTTTTTGCTATGAGTTTACCTTGTCTAAGGGCATCTAGCATGATGGTGAGAAGGTTTTGTCTTGTATAACTAAAATGTATTGGGAGGAAATGAAAATGTTTAGCCTGGTGAAGGGGAAACATTGGGGAGAAAAGTGAGGGAGAGTGTGGTCTACAGTCGTGAGCTTTAAATCACAACCAATCAGCCAATTAAATACTGAGCTCCTGTTATGTGTCAGTATTAGGAAGACAGTAGTGAACAAAACATATGGCTCCTCTGATTTAATGGAGTTAACAGTCTGGGAGGGAAAGATATTTTTATTATTTGCAACAACAATAGTAATAGCTAATATTTATGATGAGCTAGTGCCTATTATGGTGTTAAGGTTTAGTTTTTTCTTTTAGTGTTTTTAATGTGTTGTCACATTTAATCCCAGCAACTCCATGAGTAGGTACTCTTAATTCTCATTTCATGGTTGAAAATAATAAAGTGGCTTGGAGATGTTAAGTCAAATGGGGTCATACAGTGAGCATGTTAAACCTAGACTGGCAGGTCAGGACGGAAGTGATATTTAATCCTCAGTGAAATGATTTTTTTCTTTTTAATTTTTATTTTTATTGAGACAGAATCTCACTCTGTTGCCCAGGCTGGAGTGCAGTGGCACAATCTTGGCTCACTGCAACCTTCACCTCCCGGGTTCAAGCAATTCTCCTGCATCAGCCTCCCAAGTAGCTGGGATTACAAGCACCCGCCACCACGCCCGGCTAATTTTTGTATTTTTAGTAGAGATGGGGATTTCACCATGTTAGCCAGGCTGGTTTCTAACTCCTGACCTCAGGTGATTCACCTGCCTCGGCCTCTCAAAGTGCTGGGATTACAGGCGTGAGCCACCGGGCCCGGCCTCTTTCAGTGTTTTTAATGTGTTGTCACATTTAATCCCAGCAACTCTATGAGTAGGTACTCTTTTTATTCCTACTTTATGGTTGAAAATAACAAAGTGACTTGGAGACATTAAGTCAAATGGGAACATACAGTGAGCATGTTAAACCTAGATTGGCACGTCAGGACAGAAGTGATATTTAATCCCCAAGAAAATAATATATTTTTTTTCTTTTTTTGAGACAGGGTCTCACTCTGTTGCCCAGGCTGGAGTGCATTGGCATGATCACGGCTCACTGCAGCCTCGACCTCCTGGGCTCAAGTGATCCTCCCACCCCAGCTACCTGGGTACAGGCATGCACCACCTTGCCCCGCTACTGTTTTGTGTTTTTGCAGAGATAGGGTTTTGCTGTGTTGCCCAGGCTGGTCTCAAACACCTGGGCTCAAGCAATTCACCTTTCTTGGCCTCCCAAAGTGCTGGGATTACAGGCGTAAGGCACTCTGACCAGCTGGAAATGATATTTAATCTGATATCTGAAGGATGATAGGAGTTAAACAAGAATCAAGTGTCAGAGACCAGAGATATGAGGTCTCATATATATATATTTGCTCAGGGCAGGGGGCTGGTTTTGGGTGATAATTAGGGGCTAGACTGAACAGAATTAGTGTTTGGAAGTGAGTGGTGGTGGTGGTGAGGGAGGAGAGAAGGGTGAGTCCCAGGGTAAGGGATGCAGGCACATCCTGAGAAATGAGGCAGAAGAATGAGAACTTGGCTTGGGGCATGTTCTGTTCATCTGAATGGTGGTGCTGAGGAGACAGGTGGACAGAGAGGTGTGGGGTTCAGGGAGGAGCACAGGACTGAGAGGGACCAGCAGGAATAGAATTCCTGAAGTCCCTTGGATTGACAAGATGCTTCAGTGAGAGAGAGTCCACAGGGTAGAGATCAGCACCTAGGACAGAGCCTCGAGAACTTCCTCTAGGATAGGGAAGGGCTGGAGAACAGGAGGAGGAGCCAAGGAGAGGAGGAAGGGGCCAAGAGGGCAGGATCAGGACTGAGGCAGGCCGACTTCTGCGCAGTTGAAGAACTCTAATGTCAGAGCTGTCCTTAGGAGGCAGAGAACCCCTCGTCCTGGAAGAGTGCAGGGAGCTGCTTGGTGACCATCCTTTGGGGATGTCATGGAAAAGATATTTGCATCAATCTGGGGTGAGATTAGGTGTCTGGATTGGTTCAGGTTCTTTTGTCATTTGTAAGCACACAAAAGAACTCTAGTTATCTAAAGGAAAAAAAAAACTGGAAATATTATGGGTTGGCACACGAGTGGTGCCAGGCCTCAGAGAGTACAGGGCCCAGGGTGGCTCTGGGGATCTGGGTGGCAGGAGCGAATGGATGACCTTCACAGGGTGACACCATCGGGAGGAATCAGCTCCAGCTGTTTTCTGTCCTTGTCCCAAGAATCAAATCCCAGGGAGAACAGTGTGATTCCCCAATGTTGTGAGGTTCAGTCATGTGCAAGGGGAAAGCCGGGCACCTCGATTGACAGCCCCACCAGGACTGCATACCGTGGAGAAAGGATGGCTTCCCAAAGAAAAACAACATTCCAGCTACCAGAGAAAAGGGAGTGGACGCTGGGCAGGCAAAGCCAACAGACACTTTTTGTAGTCTCCATGGTCCTGTGTATGATTCAGTGATTTTTGCAGTATTCACTTAGCAAGTCATTCCTCGTTGCAGAATTGTTGCTAGTGTTTTTCCTGGCTGGGGATTAAGCTTTTTCCATTTGCCTATTTTAGAGTGAGTTGGGGGCCTGGGATTGACACGCATTTGTCTCTGGGCTTCAAGGTAGCCCAGAGATTATGCCACCTCAGGAGGCACAATTTGGTGGCTGTCACTCCTTGTCATGTCAACAAAGGGTGTGGCTTGTGGCTCTGTGGCCTCTGCTTTACCAGCAAGGGGAGGATGCTGGTAGTAGCAAAGGGTCTAAATCGCTGTTGCATCAGCGAGGTGGATGTGCCTATCCTAAAGGCACCTACTGAGAAGATGCCCAAGTAACAGACACTCATGGGCACAGTAGACCTGTCAAACCTCATAGTTCCTGGCTGACTCTCTTTGGGTGACCTGAGTCACACGCCCACGCCTGAACACCCACTGAAACTCCTAGGTGCATTACGTCTTCTGCAATATCTAAAGGAATTAAGGGAAGGATGAAACTCTGTATCTCAACTTTCCTGAATTCACCAGTATGGACTGATGGAATTGAGTGCTAGTAACACCAAGCTCCTAAATAATAATAATAAAGGCTTACTTATAGGAACGTACGAAGCACAAGAGAAATAAGGGCCCCCACGGCCCACCCTTCAACTTCTCACATTTGGTTTGTTAGTCAGGACTCCTTTGGTCACAAGAGACAAAAAAAACAATTCAAGTTGGTTTAGGAAAAGAGGCATTTATTGGCTTGTACAGAGGAGTTGAGAGTTCTTTAGGTCTGGCTGGATTTAGGTGCTCCAGCATGGTCATGGGGCATCTCTTGGCTCAGCTTTTCTCTGTGTTGGCTTCATTCTCAAAAAAACTTTTCCTTGGTGATGGTAAAGATGGCAGATGCAGCACTTTGGGAGCCTGAGGCAAGAAGACCACTTGAGGCCAGGAGTTCGAAACCAGCCTGGTCAACCTAGTGAGACCCCATCTCTACAAAAGAAAAAAAAATTCAGGTGTAATGGTGTGCACCTGTAGTAGCTACTAGGGATGTTAAGTGGGAGTTGCATGAATCCAGGTGCTCAAGGTTGCAGTGAGCCATAATCGCACCATTGCACTCCACCTTGGGTGACAGAGTGAGATTCTGTCTCAAAAAAACCCACAAAAACCGCCCCCCCAAAAACGGATGGCAGATGCAAATTTATTCCCTACCAGTTTAACAACTCTGCTGGAAAATAAACCCTCTTTCCTAATAATTCCAGCAAAAGTCCTGAAGCTGATTCTCTTTGGGTGTCCTGAGTCACACGCCCATGCCTGAATCCCCACTGTGGCCCAGGTCCCATGTCCACCCTTAGAGCCAGAGGATGAGGGCAGCCTTAGCTGGCCCACACAATCAGTGAGCCAGTGAAGAGCGATTCCTCACAGGAGAAGCATGGAGGATGGGTGCTGTCAGGCAGAAACAAGACATGCCACCACACTTGGTTTTGGGGTTAGGCCTGCTTCTGGTCTGAGCAATCTGCTGCTGGATATGGCTGGTGAGTGAAGAGATATTGATGTGTCATCCCCTTAGACCATGGCATTGTGTCCTGCTCTCTGCATCTTTGGGGGCCTGATCAAAAGCGGGAAGTCATGGGGTCAAGGACAGTCTCCACGTGCCACCCAAACAGGAAGGATGTCCCCAGCAGGTGTTCTGCTCAGGGTCTGGCTCTCCCAGGGTTGTTACTGCAGAGGGAAGGGTAGGGGCAGCTTTCTTCTGGTGGATTTATTTACTTCTCAGGCCTGTTCTTTTCCTCATGTTGGCTCAACTGTTTTATCTTGCTTAGTTAAATAAATTTGGTAACATTATAAAGGAAAACAGTCTTTTCCGGCAGTTGCTGACCACTGCAAAATTACTGCTCTTTCTTTTGTTTTTCCTTTTTAGTGCTGGGCTGTGAATAAGCAAATGAAGTTTGCTATCTCTTCCTCCCCTCTTCCAGGAAGAAATAATCACCATCAGAACTTTAAGAGTTTCCCATAAGACTGGGCAAATTAGAGGAAGGACCTCTATACGGTGGAACAGATGCAATTGTGCAAACAGAATGGGGTTATTCTCTACATATGGAGATGGAACAGACCCTCCCAGATGTGTTAGTGTGGGGAAAAGCAGGTGGTGGAGGTGCGTTCAGAGTAGCAGTGTTCAGCTCTCCCAAGCACATTCAAATCACCCAGGAGCTTTTAAAACGTACTGATGCCTGCCCACCACCCTCTCCTCACAGCCCCATTAAATCAGAATCTCTGGGAGTGGGACTTGAGCACTTTTCATTTTAAAAGCTCCCTGGTGACTCCTGGGGAGCCAGGACTGAGAACTAGTGCTGTAGAATTGTATATGGGCAAAACAGCAGGGATCTAGATAAAAAAAGAAAACTGAAGTAGGGAATATCTCAGTCCGTACCTACAGATAGCCTCACACATGTGGTCGCGCATACAGAGAACGTCTCTAGAAGGATACACAGGAGACTGGAAAGAACGGTTCTCTCCAGTGATGAAGTACAGTGGTGATTCTCAACTGTATACTCGTTTGTAATGTTGGAATTTTGAAGCCACAAGCATAAATGCTCACTGTGTACTGAAAGCTGGCCAGACAGGGCTGTAAGATGACCCCTGAACTCTAGCTTGTCTGTGTTGGGGCCGGCTGCCCACAGATTCACACAAACCATCTCCCTGCCCGTGGTCTCTGCTTGCCCTCCTCTACTCAGCTGCAATGAGTGGTTTCCGAGTGTGGGAGAGACCAGAAGAGCTCATTCATTCATTCATTCGCTCACATTTTTAGTAAGAATTAGGTATAAGCCAGGCACGTGGTAGGCACGTGAATCTGATCTCACCTTCACAACCGTATGTGAAATTGGTGGTCTTATCTCCATTCTAAGATTGGGGATATTTTAACACAGAAATTCATACAACCAAGCTGTAAATATTTGAGGCCGAATGACCAGCTAAGAGAGCTTATAAACTGGCAGCACTTAGATGTGTTTGGATGGCCTGTACAGAACTTTTTAAAAAAATCCTATTTCACGACTCTGGACCAGTGAACCCAGGGCCACTGTTGGCTAGAGCTGAGTGTCCCTTGGAAGGGCATATGCCCCTCAGTTCAGCGCAGTCCCCCCATATCCCTTCCCTTCTGTGTCACACCAGCCTTGCATCACTCAGTCACAGGCCTAGCCTCTGCAGGCATTTGCGTTTGTCACCCCTGTGTTAAGGTAGGTAGGATGAGTGAACTGTCGTCTGTCCTGCAGGGATGCTGAGCTGAAGTGTCCTGTGGAATGTGCCATTTCTATTCCAATCTGGCCCTCTGTCTGCTGGCTGGAAAACCAAGCTCCTTTGCTTTAAGTTTCATTTGTGGACTGCATGGGATGGGCTGTGGGTATTGATTTGTTTGTGGAAAAGATGTGCACAATAGGGAATGTGTAAAATACATCATGGAAATGGATGGTTAATGCCGCCTGGCTGGAGTGTGGGGCAGTGGAGTGACAAGAGATGAGAGTCAAGTTAGATGGTGGGGTATACTGTGGGTAGATGCCGGGCTAAGCATTTTGAACTTTAACCTTTAGGCTACTGCTGTCCAATAAGACTTTCTATGGTGCTGGAAATTTCTTATATCTGTACTATCCAATGTTGTCTCCAGACGCATGTGGCATCAAGCACTTGAAAAGTAGCTGGCATGAATGAAGATTTTTATTGGCATTTTAGATTTTATTTAATTAATTTACTTTTACATAGCTCCATGTGGCTGGTAGCTACCACACTGGGCGCTGCAGATTTAGGCAATAGCAGTGGATGTGTTGGAGCAGGGAAATAATATCAAAGCTGAATCTTCAGAAGGTGATTTTTCCAGGAGTGTACAGGCCGCATGGGGTGAGCAGAAGTAGGTAGGGATAATATTGACACTTCTTAGCATCTATTAGGCACTTCTTGTGTCCACACACTGTGCTAAGATAACTCACTTATTCCTCATAACAACTCTATGAGGAAAGTACTATCATTGTCCCTATTTTATAGACTAGAAAATGAGACACAGCAAAGACAATGGGCATATTCAAGGTCACACAGCTAATCAACAGTGGCACACGGTGTAGAATCCAGGCAGCTCAGCTGTAGAGCTTGTACCATGAATCCTTCCATCCTGGAAGGAAATAAATGAACCTTCATTGAGAATATACCTTCTGCTGTCCCCTGGTGCTGGGCATTCACACGTAAAATCTCATTTAGATTTTTGTTAACACTCATGTGCCATTCGGTGGATTTAGATCCTTTGTGTTTATGGAAACTTGGGCTCATAGGGATGAGATATCAAGGCAACTGCAATCTCTGTGGACACCAGTTAAGGCTTTATTGTAAAATTCCATGCCTGTGGGGGAAATCACAGGCTGTGGGAGTCGGGGGGAATGTACAGGAAGATATGGCATAAAAGGTGTTGCGAAGGAAGAATCAGTGGGATTTAGCAACTGACTGAATGGCGGGGGTGAGGAAAGCGGGGGAGGCTTTCTCCTGGAACAGTGAGATGAATGACAAACACACATGTAACTGCACTGTGTGAGTTGAGAGTGTGGGCTCTAGAGGAAGACAAACTGGTTTCAAATACAAGTGTTAACACGGACTAGCTGAACAACCTTGGGCAAATTACTTCTCTCCGAGCATCAGTGTCCCTGTTAATATAACGAGGACCGAAGGCAGGAGGATCACTTGAGGTCAGGAGTTTGAGACCAGCCTGGGCAACATAGTGAGATCCCGTCTCTAGAAAAAACTTAAAAAATTAGCCAGGCATGGTGATGCATGCCTGTAGTCCCATCTACTCAGGAGGCTGAGGCCAGAGGATCACTTGAGCCCAGGAGTTTGCGGCTACAGTGAGCTGTGATTGCACCATTGCACTCCAGCCTGGGTGACAGAGCAAGACTTTGTCTCTATAAAAGATATAATGAGAATCATAGCACCTTCCTCACAGGACTGTGATGAGGCTCAGGTTAAGCACGGATATGAAAGCCCTTTGCAAACTCAATAGCATGACCCTGTGAGTCACTCTTCTTAGTGCTGGTGAGACCAGCCATTGGGCAGAAATGGTGACCAGAACTTTCTGTCTTTGATCATGGAAACAGTTCGGGAAATTGCCTGGGGGAACCCCACTTCATCTTAGGTACTTGGTAGAGTTTAATGCGGATAAGTCTGTGGGTCAGCTTTGACCTAGGAGGAAAGAGTGGTTCTCCCAGCAGCTGTAGAGCAAAATCTGCATGCCAGTGGCTCCAACTTAAATGCCCTTTTCCACCAAACAGTTTGCATGTGTTGTCTTATTTGAGCTGCACAACAACCTTATATACATAGGTACTGTGATAAAATAAGGCTCAGAGAGGTGGAGACACTGAGCTAATGTCCTTCAGCTTATAGGTAGTAAAATGAGTGTTCAAACGAAGGTCCTCCTGCTTCCAGAAACTTAGCCTGTAATTCCTGTAGGTGATGGGCTTCTCATTTCTTCTCCTACCACAGATATCTGCAACTAGCGCTAGAATTTCTATCCCAGATTGACATGGATTTAAGGGTAAAGGTTGCTTCCTAAGAATGTCAGTTTTCCACTATAGACCCCAGTAAGAATTGTGTACAAGAGGGGAATCGACTCCAAACAGAATATATATATATATATGATTTAATTTAGTCCTCTTTGGAATGCAATGAGTAAATTTTAGTGGTTAGAGTAAACCACTAAAATTTGGGAGTTAGGGGTGAAGTGCAGTGTGAAGCAGAGTTGAGATCTCAGTGCTTTTCCTGGGGCAGAAACATCCGAGAGGGCCCCTGTCACCCAAGCTTTTGGCTACAGTCTACTCCTTCCATCTGGGATTAACCAGGCGTTTCTTATCCTTGCTGATCTAGTGTTTCTTATTGCTGCTGTAACAAATTACCACAAATTTCCTGGCCTAAAATGGCACACATTTATTATCTTATACTTCTAGATGTCAACATTCTGAACAGCAGGTCTTCCGGGGCTGAAATCGAGGTGTCAGCAGGGCTGCCTTCCTTCTGGAGGCTCTAGGGGACAATCTGTTTCTTACCTTTTCTAGAGGCCACCCACATTCCTTGGCTTGCGTTCCCTTCCAGAAATGGCACAATTCCAACCTCTGCTTCCATCATCACGTCTCATCCTCTGACTCCGAGTCTCTTCCCTCCCTCCTATAAGGACCCCTGTGATCACACTGGGCTCATCCAGATAATCTAGTATAACCCCCTTTCTCAAGATCCTTAATTTAATCACATCTGCAAAATCAATTTTGTCATGTAAGTAATATATTCACAGGTCCCAGGATTAGGACACGGATATCTGGTGGTGGTGTCAGGGGGTCGGGGGTAGGGGATGGGAACATTATTCTGCCTACAGAGCTGGCAGGTGGCCTTTCTTCTTTCCTTTCTTTTCCTTTCCTTTCCTTCCCTTCCCTTCCCTTTCCTTTCCCTTTCCCTTCCCTTTTTTCCCTTTCTTTTCTCCTTCCCTTCCTTTTTTCCCTTTCTCTTCCCCTTCCCCTTCCCTTCCCCTTCCCTTCCCCTTCCCTTTCCCTTCCCCTTCCCTTCCCCTTCCCTTCCCCTTCCCTTCCCTTTCCCTTCCCCTTCCCTTCCCCTTCCCTTCCCCTTCCCTTCCCCTTCCCTTCCCCTTCCCTTCCCCTTCCCCTTCCCTTCCCTTCCCTTCCCCTTCCCCTTCCCCTCCCCTTCCCCTTCCCTTCCCCTTCCCCTCCCCTTCCCCTTCCCTTCCCCTTCCCCTTCCCTTCCCTTCCCCTTCCCTTCCCTTTCCCTTCCCCTTCACTTTCCCTTCCCCTTCCCTTCCCTTTCCCTTCCTTTTCCCTTCCACTTCCCCTTTCCCTTCCACTTCCCTTTCCCTTCACCTTCCCCTTCCCTTTCCCTTCCCCTTCTCTTTCCCTTCCCTTTCCCTTCCCTTTCCTTTTCCCTTCCCTTCCCTTTCCCTTCCCCTTCCCTTCCCTTTCCCTTCCCTTTCCCTTCCCCTTCCCTTTCCCTTCCCTTTCCCTTTCCCTTCCTCTTCCCTTCCCCTTCCCTTCCCCTTCCCTTCGCCTTCCCTTCCCCTTCCCTTCCCCTTCCCTTCCCCTTCCCTTCCCTTCCCTTTCCCTTCTCCTTCCCTTCCCCTTCCCTTCCCTTTCCCTTCCCTTTCCCTTCCCCTTCCCTTTCCCTTTCCCTTCCCTTTCCCTTCCCCTTCCCTTTCCCTTGCCTTTCCCTTCCCCTTCGCTTCTGCTTCCCTTCCCCTTCTCTTCTCTTTTCTTTTTTTTCTGGAGTCAGGGTCTCATTCTGTTGCCCAGGCTGGAGTGCAGTGGTGCTAACACAGCTCACTACAGCCTTGATTTCCCAGCCTCCCGGGTTCAACCAATTCCCCCCACCTCAGCTTCCCAAGTAGCTGGGACCACAGGTGCCCACCACCAAGCCTGGCTAATTTTAAAAATTTTTTAGAGATGGAGTCTTGCCATGTTGCCCAGGATGGTCTTGAACTCCTGGGCTCAAGCAATCCTCCTGCCTCGACCTCCCAAAGTGCTAGGATTATAGGTGTGAGCCACTGCACTCAGCTGCAGGTGGCCTTTCTGATCTTGCCTGTAATAAGGGAGGGTGGGAGGTGGATAGAGCCGGAGACATCTTTTTCATTCTCTGCTGGAGCTGAGTAGCAATTTCCCCTTTTAAACAGGCCATGTGTGCAGTCCCCTACCTGGCCGTCAGACATTTTCATTGCTCACCTGGCCCCTAGGCATTTGAGTTTCAGACCCCATTTTGTAGTTCTAGTAAAGCCTTGCTATAGACTGGGGTCAGAGGGCTGCAGGCTTTCAACCTTTGTAGAGCAAGGGGTTATTGAATAAATTATGAAGCATCTGGAGATTCTGGGCTCTTAACTGGGTACCTGTTTGAAAGTAGGGTCTAGTACATTTTTTTCAGTAGCTCAGTAAATGTTGCCTCTTCTTAAAAAAAAAAAAAACAGAAAACAAAAACTGGTCTTACTCTGAATTTGCCAAATAGAAATGAGGGGGCGTTTATTTGTGTCACAAAAGGATTTGATTTCTTTAAATAGGCAGCCCTACTATTTTCTTCAAAGTGTTTTAGTTAATGGGAAATTTGATTTGCACAACTTTTCAGAAACACACTGTGTAAAGGAATTACCTGCACCAGAAGCTCATGAGGTTTTTCAAAGTCTGTTCTCAGCTTCTCTGCACATCATGCTGGGGTTCACTTGGCCTATTGATTCTGCCTCAGTGGGGATGGACTATTCATTTCTGTGGGTAATTGGAAGCCTACCTAAAGTGACCTTGTCAATGGTTGGATTGACAAATATCCAGGCTGGTGGGATGTCAGGCGATCATCCAGGAGCTACATCTACCATGAAGTTGGTTATGTTTTCTCCTTTTTCTATGACTGATGATATTCATTTTTTGGTTCATTCATTCACCAAACATTTATTTACTGAATATCAATTATGTACCAGGAATTGTGGTAGACACTAGGAGACTAGAGATGAGCTATCTTTATCCCCTTCTGTCTCCAAAGGGGATAAAGATGAATAAGATAATAATTGATTTTTTTTTTTGAGACAGAGTCTCGCTCTGTCTCTTAGGCTGGAGTGCAGTGGCGTGATCTCGGCTCACTGCAGCCTCTGCCTCCCTGGTTCCAGTGATTCTCCTGCCTCAGTCTCCTGGGTAGCTGGGATTACCGGGGCCTGCCACCACACTTTGCTAATTTTTGTATTTTTTGTAGAGAATAACTGATATTTTAGATGTTTGGAAGAAAGGTTGTAGAATAAAGCACCTACTTGAAAATGGGGGAAACTACTTTCCTAAATATTTCTGGGTCAAAGAATAAATTAAAACCATACTAATAGACCACTTAGAAACTTGATACAATGATGGGACTAAATATAAAACATAGGATGCAGCCAAAACTGTACTTAAAAGAGGGTTTTTAGCCATAACATCTTTAAATGTTTAATGAAGAGGAATGGGAATAAATTAATTGAGCAGTCAATTCAAGAAGCTTTAAAAAGAACAGTGGATAATATTAGCTGACATTTGTAGAATAGTCATGATATGGTTGGCATGGTTCTGGGCATGGAATAACTCATTTAGTTCTGACAACACCACTGTGATATGGGTCCTATTGTTGCTGTCATTTTCCAGAGAGGAAACTGAAGTACAGGAAGATGAGGTAGTGTACCTAGTCTTAGAGTTTGCAAATGATAGACACAGGATATACACCTGATCATCAGACTCCAGAATTCACATTCCCAACCAATAAGTAATACAAATACAAGTAAGCAATACAATCACAGACACACAGAACAAAAAAAGTTAAAGTAGCAATTAATAAAGTAGGCTAAAACCAGGTAGAGTTGATAAATATAATCATAATCTGCTTCTTTAACATGATAGAAAGATAAAAATAGACAAGAAAGAACACAAACTTCTGGAAAAAAAATAACGAGAGACTACCTAACAATGCAATATGAAGAAAGAAACAAAGAAAGAGAAAAGGTGTAATATCATCCCAGATAAGATGCTACAATTTAAACACGTTGAGAAGAACACTGTGGATAATTTCCAAGGAAAATATAAATTCCAAAAGTTTGTTTGAGTAGAGGTGAAAAACTTTCCTGTGTGGTTGAAGTGTAGAGAGGGAGAGGGAGGTGAAGCTGGGGAAAGCTCAGGGATGGGGCGAGACTATGCTGTCATCCCTTTACTTTCATGTTGAATAAAAGGGAAAGTTAAACATGGAACTACGACAGGGGGAAAAGAGAGAATAATAAAAATATTATTTGGGGTAATACGGTTTTCTATCTGGAAAACTCAAAGGAAGCAACTAAAACTCCACAAAAGCTATTTGAGTTTTTTTAAAAAATGCTTTAAAATAAATATGCTAACAATCTATTGCTTTCCTATTGTTTTTGTTTGTTTGTTTGTTTTGTGTTTTGAGATGGAGTCTCGCTCTGTTGCCCAGGCTGGAGTGCAGTGGCATGATATTGGCTCACTTCAACCTCCGCCTCCTGGGTTCAAGCAATCTACTGCCTCAGCCTTCCAAGTACCTGGGACTACTACAGGCACCTACCACCACGCCCAGCTAATTTTTTTTGTATTTTTAATAGAGACGGGGTTTCACCATGTTGGCCAGGCTGGTCTCGAACTTCTGGCCTCAAGTGATCTGCCTGCCTCAGTCTCCCAAAGTGCTAGGATTACAGGCATGAACCACTGCGCACAGCTATTTGCTTTCCTATTTTTAAACAATGACCAGTTGGGAAACAAAATGAAGACATGTCAAATTTACAATAGCATAAAAAAGAATCCCTTAGATGATGCTAAAGGGAAAATGTGTAGGACTTATATGGAGAAAATAAGAGTTCAACAAGGGGACAATCATTTCCTGATGGAAAGACTCATTGTTGTCAAGGCATCAATTATCTTGAATTTAATTTCTAAATTTAACACAATTTCAATCAAAGTCCCAATCATTTTTTGGAGGCTGAGGGTTGACTGAATACAATCCCAATAAAAATTCCATTGGTATTTTTAAAATCTTGATAAACTGATTCTAAAGTTTACTTGGAAGAATAAATATGCAGTGATAGCCAAGAAAATGTTGAAAATAAGGATAATGAGGGTGGACTTGCCCTGCCAAGATATAACATATTACAGAGCTACTATAATTAAAGCCCATATTGCTATACTAGAAGACAGATCAGTGGCACAGAATAGAAGGCCCAAAGACAGACCCCAGTATATATAATTATTAAACATATAATAAAGTTGGCATTTGAAATCAGTGGGGAAGGGATGAATTATTCAATAAAGGATGCTGGGACAATTGGTTACCTCTTTGGAAAAAAATGGCAAATTGGATTCCCATTTCACATCAGATTCCAAGAAATTAGACATGGATCAAAGAGTTTAAAGTGGAAATGATGCCATATAAAAGTACAAAAAAACTCCAAAGAGTAATATTTATATGACCTTGGAGCATGAAGAAGGCTGTTTGAGGTGTACTTGGACTGTCTTTCTTTGTCCAGTTTTCCCTTTTAGTGGTTTAAAAGGAATACATAGTAGTTTTTATATTTTTATTTATTTATGTATTTATTTTTGAAACAGGGTCTCATTAGGTCACCCAGGCTGGAGTGCAGTGGTGCAGTCATGGCTCACTGCAGCCCCAACTTCCTGGGCTCAAGCGATCCTCCCACCTCAGCCTCCGGAGTAGCTGGACTGCAGGCATGCACCACCATGTCTGGCTAATCTTTTATTTTTTGTAGAGATGGGGTCTCACTATGTTGCCCAGGTTGGTCTTAAACTCCTGGGCTCAAGTGATCCTCCTGCCTTGGTGTCCCAAAGTGCTGGGATTACAGATGTGAGCCACCACACCCGGTTTCTATTCTTATTTTTAATACTTAATTGTTAACACGTATATTTAAACTTATAATGTCCTATATGCAATTTCTCAATATCAATAATCTTTTGAGGAATATAAGACTCAGCACATTTTCATCTTGTAACCCTCCTGCAACTCCCATTTCTTATGACTTGGGTTTTCTCTACTTCTCTATCTCTTCCTCTGTTGAAAACTTTTCATATTATGGAAAAAATTAAACATATATAAAAGTAACATTAGTATAATGCATCCTTGTGTATGCATCACCCAGTTCAATAATGACCCATCATGATCAATTTCTTTTTCATCTGTAATCCTCCCCTTTCTCTCCCCACCTTGGCATACTGAATTATTTTAAATTATTTTATCCATAAAGATGTTAATGTATCCTCAAAGATAAGGATTCTATAAGCAAAGAAAAACAAGACCATTATCACACCAAATATTTTTCATTCCCTAATATCAGTAACAATAATTCCCTTATGTCATCAGAAAGTGAGTATATCCATTTCCCTGATTGCCTTACAGTTTTTTAAACTGTTGGTTTTTTTCCACTTAGAATCCAAACAAGGTCCACATGTTAAATTTAGTTGATATGGGTTGATAGGTGCAGCAAACCACCATGGCACATGTATACCTGTGTAACAAACCTGAATGTTCTGCACGTGTATCCCAGAATTTAAAGTAAAATTAAAAAAATTTAGTTGATATGTTTCTTAAATTCCTTTGAAAATATACGTTTCTCGTCCTATTTTCTCCCCACTTGCAGTCCTCTCTTGTAGTCTATTTGTTGAAGATACCATATTCTTTGCCTTGTAGTTTTCTACATTCTGGGTATTTGGTTGGGGTGGGGGGGGGTGTGTTTGCTGATCGCATCCCTGTGGTGTCATTTAATATGTTCCTCTGTCACTTGTATTTTCTGTAAATCTGTATTTGCATCAAGAGACTTGAACCAATCATATTTGATTATTTGACAAGTGTACTTCATAGGTAGTGAAGTGAGCTTTCCTCTGTAGGCAAGTGGTATCTTTTTGTGACCTTAGCAACCATAGATGAATGTCACCTAGACTCATTGTGTCACTAGGGATGGCCTTGAGGTTTCCTGTTCTATTTTCATTTACTAAGCATGCACTTTAGAAAGGCTCTGAGCTGCTCCCTGAAGCATGGCACCCGTCCTCCAGAAACCCGCAGTCTAGAGGTTGTAAAAGAAGATTTGAACACCAAGACTGTAAAAGATGATTTGAACAACAACAACAACAACAAAGCAGTTTTATTTTGTATACATTCTTTCATTGTACCTCCCCCAGAGGGATATAACCTCCAAATAGGGGAGCCATACCATAGATGCATTAAATTCACACCAATTCAAATGTGTGTATATATGTATTTGCTTGCAGACTACTAAAGTGACAATGTAAACGTTGCTGCCTATTTTTCCCACTCTTCTATTAGATTGACGTTGCTTTTGGTGAGATGGGGCATGAGTCCACCATCCTGTCCCCTCTGTTTCCACATGACCCTCATCGTATGAACACCTCTCTTAAGTGTGATTCTAGGATTTAAAGATACATATTTCTTATGCATTATGCACCTAAACACAAGCCAACTACTTCATCTGGCACCTGATCCAAGAAACAACATTCTGTTCCAAAATCAATAGAAGACAAGGCACTTTAAGGGATCTTCAAGGGAGTGTAATTTTGAGCATATGGAATCTTTCTAACCCTAGCTAACTTTAGAAGTTTAACTCCTATGCAAGATGAAGCATCTATGTTCCCAAGAGTTTGACTTCAGCAAAGGACAAGCTGCAGAAGCTGACATTATTGTTTATTTTGGCATAAAGGCTTTACTTGTTGGTGAAGTTCAAGTTTAATGATCTCTTCCTCCCTTTCTCTCTCTTCCTCCTCTCCGCTTTCCTTCTTCCCTTCCTCCCACCCTGATTTTCTCTTTTGCAGTTTGCTGCTTTGTGGTGCACAAGCGGTGCCATGAATTTGTCACATTCTCCTGCCCTGGCGCTGACAAGGGTCCAGCCTCCGATGTAAGTAATGGGCATCGATTGCTTTTCTCTGTCCACAGTCAATGCTGCCTTGTGATTAAATGTGAGTGAGCATTCTTAGACGAGTAAGTGTGGACGATCTCACTCTAAGGCATGTGGTGGTCCCTATAGCTTTTGAGACAGTTTTCCTTTTAGTGGAAAACAAAATTTTGGAGGGAGTGTGGCTGGATAGGAAGTCAGCTAGTTTGTCTACTATGATTTTGCTAATGTCTTCACTTTGAGAGCTGGAGCACGGAGGGTGAGAGGCAGGGGCCTACTTGGTAGTGTGGCTGCAAAAAGGTAGTTTCGGTGGTACTTTGCAGTGCACGTTATGGCACTTTGTTAGGGTGTTCTTTCTTTTGTTATTGTTATTATTATTTTTATTATTTTTCAGATGGAGTCTTGCTCTATCGCCCAGGCTGGAGTGCAGTGGAGCAATCTCAGCTCACTGCAAGCTCCGCCTCCTGGGTTCATGCCATTCTCCTGCCTCAGCCTCCCGAGGAGCTGGGACTACAGGCACCTGCCACTATGCCTGGCTAATTTTTTGTTTTGTATTTTTGGTAGAGACGGGGTTTCACCGTGTTAGACAGGATGGTCTCGATCTCCTGACCTCGTGATCCGCCGCCTCGGCCTCCCAAAGTGCTGGGATTACAGGTGTGAGTCACTGTGCCCGGCCTATTATTATTATTATTTAAGAGTGTTGCCCAGGCTGGTCTCAAATTCCTGGGCTCAAGCAATCCTCCTGCCTTGGCCTCCCAAAGTGTTGGGATTCCAGGCGTGAGCCAGTGCACCCTGCTTGTTAGGGTGTTCCTAATATCAGGGCCCAGGAATGAGGAGGAAATGAATTTATCCTGCTACCATGAATCTCAAAGTATGACTACTGCTAGTGGGACAAGAGATGCTTGTAGGTAAAATGTGCAAAAAATTTTTGTTTTAATCATTATAAATGTATTTTAATGTGGATTGGGAAAAATGTATCTAGTAGTGGTTTTGCATTTATGATAAGGATATAGAATTTCCTACCTAAGTAAAGATTTTTAGGTTAAACAAAAGATAAACTGATTTGAGGACAATATTAAGTGAATGACAGTATGGGTGATATAAGGATATGGCAAAAGTTTTGGTACAAATGTGTTTAAAGTTTAGGGTACATTGTTGATTGGCCTACCCAGCAGCCATTCACAGCCTTCATCCTTCTGGCAGAGGCTACCTCTCATGATGGAAGCTAAAAATGCCTAATACTTGCTTTTCCCGGCTCTCTTGTAGCTGCTGAATGAGGATGTGACCCAAT
The DNA here is from genome assembly GCF_000001405.40 of Homo sapiens. NCBI lineage: Eukaryota > Metazoa > Chordata > Mammalia > Primates > Hominidae > Homo > Homo sapiens. The sequence continues at coordinate 23,989,879 of NC_000016.10, forward strand.
CCTGCTAATGGGAACTGAGGGGAAGACCTGGGAAAGAGTCTAGGAAAGATTTTTCCTTTCTGATAAGAGAGAGACATCCCTTCCCTTGTCCTCTTGGGCATTTTTGTACAAGGATATAATGCTTGGAGTTGTGGCAGCCCTTTTGGGTCAATGAGGGACACATTGCCGACATCCTGAGCATGGCAGAGTGGAAAACTTAAAAGAACCGTGGGTCCATGATGATGCTGATGAGCTGTTGATACCACTCACAGTCCTTTTATCCCCAAGCTGGATAGATGGGAGAAGAAGCTTTTTTTTTGGCCAGGCACGGTGGCTCACGCCTGTAATCCCAGCACTTTGGGAGGCTGAGGCGGGCAGATCACAAGGTCAGGAGATCGAAACCATCCTGGCTAACATGGTGAAACCCCGTCTCTACTAAAAATACAAAAAATTAGCCAGGCATGGTGGTGGGCGCCTGTAGTCCTAGCTCCTTGGGAGGCTGAGGCAGGAGAATGGCGTGAACCTGGGAGGCAGAGCTTGCAGTAAGCGGAGATCGCACCACTGCACTCCAGCCTGGGCGACAGAGTGAGACTCTGTCTCGAAAAAAAAGAAAAAAAAGAAGCTTTTTTTTTTTTTTTCTTTTTTTTTTTAAGCAAAGTCTTACTCTTTGAAGCCTTCTCTTTTATTTTTGTTTTTTTCTCTTTTGAGACAGAATCTTGCTCTGTTGCCCAGGCCAGAGTGTGGTGGCATGATCATGTCTCACTCACTGCAGCTTAACCTCCCTGGCTCTAGCAACCCCCCCACCTCAGCCGCCCACGTAGCTGGGCCTACAAGTGCATGCCACCACACCTGGCTAATTTTTTATTTGCTTGTAAAGATAGGTTTTCCCTATGTTGCCCAGGCTGGTCTCGAATTCCTGGGCTGAAGCCCTCCTCCTACCTTGACCTCCCAAAGTGCTAGAATTACAGGCATGAGTCACTGTACCTGACCCTGGGGGCATTCTTTTACATGCAGCTGAAACTGTCCTAGCTGAGAAGGCTTTCCACCATGCACAGTCTTTCATTGCCCAATAATGAACTGCATTCAGCATACCCCAATGCAGCCATCACCCCTAGTTCTCTTACTTTGTTTCTGCTTTGAATCCCCTTCTTGAAATTTCTCCCATTGGCTTTGTCTCCATTACTGGTTCTGTTACCCACTTAGACTTGACAGCTGACAGCTTGCCCAAAGTGAGTAGTGACTATCTTCTGTCATTGGATTTCTTTAGCTCCTGCTGGTCTTCTGCAAATGGTCATCTGCCAATTTGCTGCAAACTGGGGTGGGAGTTTGTGGGGAGGGCATATCTGTTGCCATAGCAACACAAAGATGCTGGAGCATATGTTGGATATTCTTTGCTTGGAAAATGTGGTAATTGAGGTTAAGAACTCCAAGAAACATGGAACAACCAAAGTCCTTGGAAATCTGTTTGCAAAGACAAAGTTTGAGACTGTTTGTCATGTTCTCTCAGATCCTATGCCCTAGCCCTTGTAGTGCAATTTCTTCTCTCCTCCCTAGCAAAATAGGCAGGGGAGTTTGGGGAGACTGCCCTACTCAGTATGCAGCTCTGAGTGTTCATGCAGACTGAAACTTGATACTCAACTTGCAGCCAAGAAGATGGTGTTTCCCATATTCTATCTATCTGCTGAATGTTTCTGTTGCCTAAGACAGAAACTCAGCTCAAACTGACTTATATGAAAAGGAAAATTTTGGGTCCTTGAAATAGAAAAGGCCTAAGGGTTGACTTGGCTTCAAGCACAGTGAATCAAAGTTCTAAATAATGTCCTCAAGAACCTGTTTCTCCCCTTCTTGGCTTAGCCTTTGTCTGTGTTGATTTTATTTTCAGGAAGGCTTGTCTCCTATGCGAGCATGGTGGCTGCAACACCTTTAATCTTATATCTTATCAGTGCTGCAGTGCAGTAACAAGAGCTAAAGTCTCATTAGACCATGAATCACATATTGCCAGAAGAATGGGTTATGCTGATTGGCCAGGCCTGGGTATATGCTGCTGTGGTGTGAATGTTTTGTTTCTCCAAACTTATATCCTGAAATCCTAACACCCAAGGTATGGTGTTAGAAGGTGGGCCCCTTGGGAGGTGATCAGTTCATGGGGGAAGAGCCCTCATAAATGAGATAGTGCCCCTATAAAAAAGACCCCAGAGATATCCGTCACCCCTTCTACCATGTGAGGTTGCAATGAGAAGACAGTTGTGTATGAGAAAGTGAGCTCTCACTGGAGACCGAATCTTCCAGTGCCTTGATCTTGTACTTTCTAGCCTCCAGAACTGTGAGGAATAAGTTTATCATTTAAAAATCACTCAGGTTTTGGTATTTTGTTACAGCAGCCAGAAGGGACTAGGACAGAAAATTTTGGTACTAACAGTGTATAGAGGAACAAAATTTTAAGGATGGGTTTTCTGAATTGGTTTCGGGGATTTGGTAATTGGCTGCCAAATCTGATTAGATTTAAGAATGCTAATTACCCTATTTCTAGTAGTAAAGAGAGCCTGGATAGTCCGTGGCATGATCTGTTTATAGAGATACACAAATCATCTGCATTGGATACTCCTAATCAACCATTTATAAGAAGCAAGGAGCCAAGTGATTCGATATATGATACCCAAACACTTTTGGAAAACTAAGGCATATAATGACTTGCTCCTAATGTCTCTGGACAAAGTGGAGAAAGAAAAAGATGAGCTCAGGGATTTGAATTCCCAGCTCAAAGAGTTTCATAAATGATCTAAGAGCTTCTAGGTGTGCCCTGAAGGAGAGCCTTCTAGCCTGTAGTTGCAGGGCTGAAATTTCTGAAAATTAAATGCACAACCTCATCCTGCAATTGGCTGAATTACAATGCAAATTGGACTCCCCACCACACAGGGTGTCTGCTCTAAAAGCAAGGGCAAGGGCATTGATCAGAAAAGAATGGGATCCCATAAGGTGGGAAGACTCTGATGAAGACCCTAATGAAGCTGGGGACATTGAGCCCCTAAATTCTGACAAGTCTTTTTTTTACCAGTGGAAGTGGCCTCCTTACCTCAAGCAAAAGTGTCATCCCCACTCAGGGTGGCATTGGCCTTTCCATCTTGTCTAAGGGAACTAACCCTGCATTGCCCTAAGAAACAGTAATGGCTTTCCCTGAGGCAGTTGCCATGCCAGGCAATGCTGATTCTTGTCAGCACCGAATCCCACCACCCCTTCAAGTCCTAGCAGGCTCCTAAACGTGAGATGCACTGTGTGACCCACGGGGAGGTATGCTATACCCCAAAAGAACTATTTGAGTTTTCTAATTTATACAAGCAGAACCATAGGGAATATGCATGGGAATGATATTAAGGGGGTAGGATAATGGTGGAAGTAACATGAAGTTGAATCAGGCTGAATTTATTGATAGAAGTTCACTAAGCAGAGATTCTGAATGTAATGTTCCAGCTTAAGGAGTTAGGAAGGGCTCTAACAGTTTAGCTGGTTGGCTGAAACATGGATTAAAAGATGGCCTATCATGAGTGAGTTGGAGATGCCTGACCTCCCCTGGTTTAATGTAGAGGAAAGGATTCAAAAGCTTAGGGAGATTAGAATGCCAGAGTGGATTTGTCATTTAATACCCGCTCACCCATGCTGGGAAGGTCAGACATACCTTTAAGAAAGGTATGTCTCTGTCAATACTTTGAGAAATATATTTGTGAGGGGAGCCCCAGCGTCCTTTAAGAGCTCTGTGATCCCTCTTCTCTATAGACCAAACCTTACTATGGGAACCACAGCCACTTAATTGGAAAACTTAAATGCAATGGGAATAATTGGGTCCTGGAGTATCAGGGGCCATTTGGTGGCACTCAACTGTTAAAGGCAAGGTAGGTGCGGTTACCTTAATGGATCGCAGAGTTACAACAACAATCGGAATAGCCTGACTCATGCAGACCTATGGCACTGCCTAATCATGGTGTTGCTAGAAGTGAAATAGGTGGGAAGCCTACTAAATTCTTACTTGATCTGTATAGCAGAAAAATTCTAGGTGAAGTGAACAGAAGTCTAACTTGAATCATAAAAATAGAGAATCATAGCCCCTCAGTCCATTCCCAGACTTGAGCCAGTTTATAGACCCAGAACCCTTTGAATGAAAGGGAGGTAAAATTTCCTTGAGAAAGCGATTATACTGCTAAAAGTTTATCCTGTTAATCTTTCTCCCAGCCTTGCCCAAAGGGACCTACTGCTTTTTATCAGGATAACTGTGCACTAGAGAAAAGGAAATGATGAGACCTTTTGGGGACTACTGAACACTAGTTCTGAACTGACACTGATTCTAGGAGACCTAAAATGTCACTTGTCCCTCCAGTCAGAATAGGGGCTTATGGTGGTCAGGTGATCAATGGAATTTTAGCTCAGGTCTGTCTTACAGTGGATCCAGTGAGTCCCCAAACACATCCTGCAGTTATTTCCCCAGTTCCAGAATGGATAATTAGAATAGACATACTTAGCAGTTGGCAGAATCCCCATACTGGTTCTTTGACCTGTAGAGTGAGGCCCACTATGATGGGTGAAGCCAAGAGGAAGCCATTAGAACTGCCCCAGCCTAGGAAAACAGCCAACCAAGAGCAATACTACATCCTTAGAGGGACAGCAGAGATCAGTGCCATCATCAATGACTTGAAAGATGCAGAGGTAGTGATTCCCACCATATCCCTTATTCAGCTCTCTTATTTGGCTTCTGCAGAAGACAGATGAATCTAGAAGAATGTCAGTGGATAATCATAAGCTTAACCAAGTGATCACTCCAAGTGTAGCTGCTGTATCAAATGTGGTTTCATTGGTTGAGCAAATTAATTCATCCTCTGGTAGCTAGTATGTAGCTATTGATTTATCAAATGCCTTTTTCTCCATCTCTGTCCATAAGACCCACCAGAGCAGTTTTATTGCAGCTGGTAAGGCTAGCAATACACCTTCACTGTCCTACTTCAGGGGTATATCAACTCTTCAGTCGTATGTCATAATTTAGTTTGCAGGGATCTTGATCATTTTTTCCTTCCACAAGCTATGACAATGGTCCTTTACATTGATGACATTATGCTGATTTGTCCTAGTGAATGAGAAGTAGCAACTACTCTAGACATTGGTAAGACATTTGTGTGTTAGAGGATGGGAAATAAATCCAACTAAAATTTAGGGACCTTCTTCCTCAGTGAAATTTCTAGGGGTCAGTGGTGTGTGGCATGTTAAGATACCCCTTTTAACGTGAAGGATAAGTTGTTGCATCTGGACCCTTCTACATCCGAGAAAGAGACAGATGGCCTACTGGGCCTACTTGGATTTTGGAGGCAACACATTCCTCATTTAAGTGTGTTATGCTGGCCTACTTACCAAGGGGCCCCAAGAGCTTCTGGTTTTCAGTAGGGCCCAGAACAGTAGAAGGCTCTGCAACAGGTCCAGACTGCTGTGCAAGCTGCTTTGCCACTTGGGCCATCTGACCCAGCAAATCCAATGGTGGTTGGTTAGTGGCAGAGAGGGATACTGTGTGGGGCCTTTGGCAAGCCTTTATAGGTGAATTGAAGCACAAGTATTTAAGATTTTGGAATATAGTCCTGCCATAATCCACAGATAGCTAGTTTCCTATTAAGAGACAGCTCTTGGCCTGCTACCGGGCCTTCGTGGAAACTGACGATTTGACCATGGGCCACTAAATTGCCGTATGACCCGAATTGCTCTTCATTAACTGGGTCTTATCTAAACCACCGAGCCATAAAGTGGGCATGCACAGCAGCACTTCATCATCAAATGGAAGTGGTATGTATGTGATCAAGCCTGGGCAGGCTCTAAAGGCACAAGTACGATACATGAAGAAATGGCCTGGATGCCTGTGCTCCCCACTCTTGCTACCCTGCCTTCTCTCTCCCAACTTGCACCTTTGGGCTCATGAGGAGTTAGTTCCCTATGATCAGTTGACAAAGGAAGAGCAGACTAGGACCCAGTTTACAGATGTTTCTGTACGGTGTGCAGACACCACCCAGAAGTGGACAGCTACAGCACTGTAGTCACTTTAGGACATCCCTGAGGGACAATAGTGAAGGGAAATCTTCTCGGTGGGCAGAACTTTGAGCAGTGCACCTGGTTGTGCACTTTGCTTGGGAGGAGAAGTGGCCATACATGTGACTATATCCTGATTCATGGGCTGTAGCCAATTATTTGACTGGCTGGGCAGGGACTTGGAAGGAATATGATTGAAAAAATTGGTGACAAAAAAGTGTGGGGATGAGGTGTGTGGATAGACATCTCTGAGTGGGCAATAAACATGAAAATATTTGTGTCCTAGGTGAGTGCTTACCAAAGGGTGACCTCAGCAGAGGAGGATTTTAATAATTGACTTGATAGAATGACCCGTTCTTTGGATACCAGGCAGCCTCTTTCCCCAGACACCCTGTCATCACACAATGGGCTCATGAACAAAGTGGCCGTGGTGGCAGGGATGGAGGTTATGCATGGGCTCAGCAGCATAGACTTCCACTCATCAAGGCTGACCTGGCTATGGCCACCGCTGAGTGCTCAATCTGCCAGCAGCAGAGACCAACACTGAGTTCCTGATATGGCACCATGCCTAGGGGTTATCAGCCAGCTACCTGGCGGCAGGTTGATTACATTGGACCCCTTCCATTATGGAAGAGGCAGCATTTTATCCTTATGGAAATAGACATGCTGGATACAGATTTGCCTTCCCTGCCTGCAGTGCTTCTACTGAAACTGCCATTCATGGACTTAGAGCATGCTTTATTCACTGTTATGAAATTCCACACAGCATTGTGTCTGATCAAAGAAATCACTTCAAAGCCAAAGAGGTGGGCAGTGAACTCACACTCATGGAATTCACTGGTCTTACCATGTTCCCCATCATTCTGAAGCAGCTGGCTTGATAGAATGGTGGAATGGCCTTTTGAAGAGTCAGTTATGTTGCCAGCTAGGTAGCAATACCTTGCATGCCTGGGCAAGATTCTCCAGAAGGCTATATATGCTCTGAATCAGCATCTAGTATATGGTGCTTTTTCTCTGATAGCCAGAAATTTATGGATCTGGGAATCAAGGAAGTGGAATGGGAGTGGTACCACTCATTATTACCCCTAGTAATTTTACCACCAGCAAAATTTTGCTTTCTTTTCCCATGACTTTATGCTCTCCCAGCATGGAGGTCTCAGTTCCAGAGGGAGGAATACTTCCAGCAGGAGACAGAACAATGATTCTATTGATAGTTAACACTGCCACCCAGCCACTTTGGGGTTCCCATGCCTCTGAGTTAACAGGCCAAGAAGGAAGTTATGAAGTTGGCTGGAGTGATTGATCTGGACTACTAAGGGGAAATTGGACACTACTCTACAATGGAGAAAAGGAAAAATGTGTCTGGATACAGGAGATCCCTAAAGACATCTCTTAGTATTACCATTACCTGTGATTAAGATCAATGAAAAACTACAACAACTCAATACAGGCAAAACTATGAATGGCCCAGACCCTTTAAGAATGAAGGTTTGGGTCACCCTGCCAGGTAAGGAACCACCACCAGCTGAGGTGCCCACTGAAGGTAAAGGGAATACAGAATAGGTAATAGAAGAAAGTAGTTACAAATACCAGCTATGACCGTGTGACCAGTTACAGAAACAAGGACTGTGATTGGCATGATTATTGGCATTATTTTGTTATGGATATGTTTGTGTGTATATATACATATGGTGAGCAAATATCTTTGTTTTCTTTGCTCTTTTAGTTCTTTATCATGTAACGTAAGATGTATTGACTTTATATCAGTATTTTTATGTCTTAGTATTTAAGTTATAGGATACCAGGACAAGAGGAATCATTACTCAAGGACTTCATCTCCTTTTCTGGGGAGGGGATTATTGCATTTTCAGTTGTACAAAGTCTAATTGTATCACATCAGGTGGAATTATGTCCTTGTTATTCTTTATTTGGAGGTTCTTTATTTAAGAAGGTGTGTATGGATGCCAAGTTGAGAAAGGGTGGACTTGTGATGGTTAATTTTGCACATGCAGTTAACCTTGACTGGGCTAAGGGGGGTACCCAGATAGCTGGTAATACATGATTTCTGGGCATGTCTGTGAGGGTGTTTTCAAGAAATTATCATTTGAATCAGTAGACTGAGTAGAAAAATTGCCTTCATTGACATAGGCAGGCACCATCTAATCTGTTGAGGACTCAGAACAAAAAGGCAGAGGAAGGGTAAATTCACTCTCTCTTTTTGAGCTGGAACATTAATTTTTTCCCGCCTTTGGGTGTTGGTGCTCCAGGTTCTCAGTCCTTCAGACGTGGACCAGGACCTACTCCATTGGCACCTATGGTTCTCAGGTCTTTGGGCTCAGATTTCAAACATTGGACTAAACTATACCCCTGGCTTTCTTGGTTCTCTGGCTTGCAGATGGAAGACTGTAGGACTTCTTGGCTTCCATAATTATGTACACCAATTCACGTTATTGATTTTTTTTTGGAGAACCCTGACTAATACATTGTGCCTACACCGTAGATGAGGGCGTGAGTGCCCCTTCCATGGATTGAGAGTGGGGAAGAGGTAGTTTCTCTGAGGAAAGCTAGAGAAACGGTATTGTGTCCTGGTTAAAATCACGGATTATGGAGCCAGCATTCCTAGCCTCAGATCTGTGTGACCTTGGACAAATAACTTAAATCCATTTATGCCTTAGATTCCTCAGCTAAAAAATGAGTTAAATAATAGTTTCTACTTGATAGCATTGTTATGAGTATCAAATACATAGATATCTGTAAAAGCACTTAGGACAGTGTCTGGTGCATGGCAAGAGCTATATATGTGATGATGATGATGACAATGACAATGAATAACAGTGCACACATGCTGAGCAGCCAGCAAGGACAGGTGTCTTGTCAGACAGACCAGGAAAGGGTGAAGAATGAGCAGGTTCTCTGTCTGCCACCTGGCAGTCCTTCCTAGAAGTGTGGAGGCTCTGTAAGTGGCATGAGACCCCTCTCTGTATGAATGAAGGAGTGCAGCCATTCATTGCCTTGAGCATGAGGAGAGCAGGAAGTACTCCCTGCAGCCAGCATGCATAGGATTTGGCAGCCTACCTGAAATGATTCTATCTCTGGATACAGTTCCAAAAAGGTCAGTTGGCACCAAGGATGATGAATTGGTCCAGACACCTGAACTGGCTTGACTCAGTTCATTGACCTTTTTCTGCTCATGGTTGGAGGCATGATTAAAGACCTAGCCACACCTGCTTGCCCACCTGGCCAGACTCTCCTTTAGCTGCCCCTGATACTCATGCAGGTATGGAGGGGTGCCCTCTCCTTCTGCATGACCTTGGAGGAACTGGTGTGCAGCAAGTTCGTGAAGCAGAAACACACAGGCGGTGACCTTGGACAAGGCTCCATCCACGATAAAGGATGTGCTTGGTTGCATCCTCTACCCTCTGCTGTTCCAAGCCCAGTCTGAGCCAGGCAATATTATGGATATTAGTAGAGCTTTGTGCTGTTGGCATTATCCTACAGCTATGTTCACATCATATCACATTGAGGCAATTTTATGAACCAGGCACTGTCCCGTGAACCTAGCTACTGAGCCAACCATTCAATAACAATGAGAATAGACAACATTTATGGGCACTCGCCATTGGAGGGCCACAAAGTGTGGCAGAGTTCATGGATGATGCTCCTGGTCACCCACAGTCATCCTTCTTGTTCTTGATCTCACCAGGCAGGAAATCCTCAATTCATCTGTCTCTTGTACCTCTTAGAGAGACCAGGTCTCTGGTACTGTCATAAGCATTACTTATGGACATTATAGGTTATTCAGCACTCAGAATACTGACCACATACACAGCCTCCTGTGACATCTCAGAACAAGAAACAGAGGAGTTGTCTCTGAGGGTTGGGACTAGGGTGAGTCAAGTGAGGTACTTTCCCTGGGCACAGTTTAAGGGGTTCTTGTCTGTGTCTGTGGATAGCTGGTTGGTTGGCTGGTGGGTGGATGATCTAAGATGGCCCCTTTCACATGACTGACGACGAGCAGGTTGTCGGCCTGTGTGATTTGGCTCTCGTCCATGTGGCATCATCCTCCATCCAACTGGCTAGCTCTGACTTGTTCATATGGTGGTTTCCAGGCTCCAAGAAGAGCAAGAGAGCATCTCCCAACACTTTTTAAGCCTTTGTATCATGTTTGCTAATGTCCTAAAAAGCTAGTCTCTGGCCAAGTCCAGATTCAAGTGGTAGAAAAATAGATTCCAGTGCCTCATTGGAGAGGAAGTATCTATGGTTAATCTATTGCAGATCCTGTTAACCCAAGAGGCCATAGCAGAACAGAACCCCTGGAGACCATCACACTGGACTTTATAAAAATCTGCATGTTATAGTGTGGCTCAGAGTCATAGATGGCCTCATCAAAAGAATGCACCTAATTTATTCCCTGCCTCAATCGCCAGTGGACTTAACCACCTCTAGCTATAAGTGGTTAATGTGGCAGTTTATTGATCACGTCAATGGTGGTTAAGAGTATGGACTCTGAAATCAGACATACCTGAATTTGAGTCTTGATTCTGCCCAGATACTCATTAGGAAAACTTGGGCATGTCGTTCGACTTCTCTATGCCCTAGTCTCCTTATATGTAAAATAGGATGTTAGTACCAACCACATAGGTTTATAGTGATAATTTTAAAAATATTTAAAATGAGAAAGAGTTCACAAACAAAAGACAAATGAATTTCAAAGCCCTTACATGAAAGCGCTTGGCACAGTGCATAGCAAGCCCTTGGTACATGTAGCTAAGGCCATTTCCATTGCTCCACCTAGGTCCATAATCAAGAATGTACTGACAATTCTCTACATTCTTCCACCCAGAGCATGCCCTTATGAGGTGATTACAGTTTCCATTTCCATTACTTCACACAAACCTCAAATTCTGTGATGCAGTGCTAAGAAAAGAACTCAAACTTTGGAGCCAGAAAATGCTGGTGTCAAATTCCAAATGGTCTCTGCTATGTATTGCTCCAATGACCTTGGGAAAATAACTTTAAGTTCTGTGACCCTCAGTTTATGTCTTTAAAATAGAGAAAATAATACCTAAATAAAGCGGTTTTTTTTTTTTTGGTAACTATTCAATAGGAGACTGCTTGAACCATCCCTAGAATAATGTCTGGCACAAAGAAGGCACTCAATACCTGGTTTTAAAATCATTATTAATGTCTGGAGGAGCCTCTCCTGCTCTATAAGGGATACAGGTTACCCTCTGACCTGCCAAGAAATAATAGCTAATAATAATAGCTAACTTTATTGAACAGGGTCTCTGGGCAGGCAGTACAAAAGGACTCTTTGTCTGGTTTGTCTAAAGATACCTTTTTCAACACTTTATGGCTTTAGAAATAATTTCTTATGATTTATAGTCAAGTTACTGAGTAAAACCCACTGTTAGGTCCTGTGATCTCCTAATTCCATCACTAAATCAGGTCAATTAGAGATGGTAGACACTAATGTTGACCTTATCCTTTTGATCAAGTCTCACTTTGTGATAAGATAGATTAAAAATCATAAACTTGTTAAACTTGTTAAATGTTGAAGATTTGATAAAACAGAAATGAAAGTATTAAATGTATGTATACATTAAAGTATGTAAATAAGTGAGAACATGTTTGAAAATCTGGTTGAAATGGATGATTTTCTCATAAAATTGTCAATTTTGTCTCAAAAAGAAATTGAAAACCAGAATAGGCAAATAACCGAGAAAGAAATGAAAACATTATTCAAGGATCTTTTCTTCTCGTAAAACCCCAGACAAATATGTTTCATGGGTAAAACTTCTTAAATTTTAGAGCAACGAAGAATTTCTGTTCATTTAAAATTGTACCTGATTACAAAGAAGAAATAAACCTTTACAATTTTTTTTAAATGAAAATGAGAGAAATCCAGCTCAAATTAGCAGTAGGAAAAGAGGGCCCATTGACTCCTGAGAAGGACATTGGGAGTAGAGTAAGAGCTTCAGGACCAAGGACCTCAAAGGCTGGAACTGAAGCTCCAGTACTTGCAAGATACTTTTCCATTTCTGCTTTATTGGTTAGTTATTTTGCTCTGTAACAAACCATTCCAAAATTTAGTGGCTTGAAACATCAGTTATTTGTGGTTTCTCATGATTGTGTGGGTTACTTGGGTGATTCTTCTGACCTGGGTTTATTTGGGTAATCCCTGCTGGGCTCTGTCCTGGGTCTTGGTCAGCTAGTGGCTGGGCCGATGCTGGATTACCTAGAACAGCCTTGCTAGCATTGACTGAGGGCTGGCAGGCTGTCGATCTGGGCATTTCATTTTTCCTCCATGCGTCCTCTTTTCCTCCACCAGGCTAGCTTAGTTTCACGGTTCCAAGCACGGCAAGAGAGGGAAATCCCAAAGCACAGGTGTGTGTGTGTGTATGTGTGTGTGCGTGCGTGTGTGTGTGTGCGTGCGTGCGTGTGTGTGTGTGAAATGGAGTCTCTTTCTGTTACCCAGGCTGGAGTGCAGTGGTGTGATCTCGGCTCACCGCAACCCTCCCAGATACAAGTGATTCTCCTGCCTCAGCCTCCTGAGTAGCTCGGATTATAGGCACCCACCACCACGCCTAGCTAATTTTTGTATTTTTTGTAGAGACGGGGTTTCACCATGTTGGCCAGCTGGTTTTGAACTCCTGACCTCAAGCGTTCTGCCTGCCTCAGCCTCCCAAAGTGCTAGGATTACAGGTGTGAGCCACTGCGCCTGGCCAGCATAGGTGTTTTTTAAGCCTTTGTTTGTGTCACAGTGGTTATGGACAAGATCAGATTTGGGGTGGAGAAACAAACTTCATCTCTGGATGGGAAGAATAGCAAAGTCACATGGCCAAGGAGCATGCGGGGATGGGAGACATTGGTGGCCATTGTGCAGTCTACCACACTGACCCTTATCTGCTGTGCCAGATGCCTCGTTTGCCCTTCCAATCCACTCTGCTTTCTCTGAGAGACTAAGCCATAATGACTGCTTCAACTGGGGCTCCCTTACCCTCTGACCTGACCTCTGGTTGGACTCAAGGGGAGGGGCTAATAGGAGACTTGGGGAGGGGAGAGTGAGACCCTCCCCGAGTCAGTCAGTATTTATTATGGAGTCATCTTCACTCTACCTTTTGACTATAGGTTGCTGCTCCTCTACAGATCATCTTCTCTATGTAATTCTCTCCTTCTGGGTTCCAGGAGCTACTCCCTTCCTTTGTCCTCTGGCTCTTACTAGCCTCCAATCCCTTATACTTTCCCAACACCATGCCCACACCTTTAGAAACAGTCCTTTCATTGAACCTTTCTTAAACACTCTTCACTTTAGTATGCCATCTGTTTCCTGCGGGGCCCCTGACTGATGCATCTGCTTTGTCTTGCCTCATTTGCTCCTGCTGTAGATGGAACATGTCTGCAAACATCGTTACAGTTGACCCCATGGAAAGATGGCAACCCTAGTGGAGGAATTAGCCTTCTTCCTGCATTCGTTTTTTTTTTTTTTTTGAGACAAAGTCTCGCTCTGTTGCCCAGGCTGGAGTGCAGTGGTACGATCTCAGCTCACTGCAACCTCTGCCTCCTGAATTCAAGCAATTCTCCTGCCTCAGCCTCCCAAGTAGCTGGGACTACAGATGTGCACCACCATACTCAGCTAATTTTTGTATTTTCAGTAGAGATAAGGTTTCAGCATATTGGCCAGGCTGGTCTCGAACTCCTGATCTCAAGTGATCTCCCTGTCTCAGCCTCTCAAAGTGCTAGGATTACAGGCGTGAGCGACTGCACCCAGCCATCTTCCCTGCATTCATAATTGATCTCAGAAAATGTTCTGATGGAGTTGGTTCTCTATCACTGGGAGAACGAACTCTTATAACCTCAGACCTGGATCCCATGGCATCCCTTTCACCCAGGAGCAGTGTATGTTATAAGAAGAGTGAAGGAGAAACTTTGATGCGCTGATGAAAGTAATAACTAATTATTATAAGCTTGCTTAACCACAATAACCGCTATTACCTAGTAAAGTTGGCATAAAAAGTAAACTACAAGCCAGTCTCATACATGAGTCTAGATGAACATATCCCAAATAAAATAGTGAATGCTATTTTATTGTTGTCACGGACATTATGCATTCAAATAATGTGGAGGAAACAATCTAGAGATAAAACAACAAAGAAAATTATGATCAATATAACAAAATATAGGAATAAAGATAAAAATATGCCAGCAAGGAACCGTGGAATCTGGAAAGCATAAATTTAGATGGTAGAAGTGATAGCAGAATGTTACCCAACCAATGTAAATGGATTGAAATTCTCTACTGAAAGGCAAAGACTATGAGATTGGATGAGCAATGTACAACTCTTGGCAGTGTATAAAAGATGCTTAAAGCACAGGTTTTAAAAATAAAAGGGACAAAAGTGTATCATGAAAATACATATATAAAAATGAAACATGGTCTTAATAATGATATCAAAAGAAATAGGACTCAAAACAAAAAGCATAAACGGGGGCAGATGTCCCAGCAGATCACTTGAGCTCAGGAGTTTGAGACCAGCCTGGGCAACATGGCGAAACCAAGTCTCTACAAAAAAAAAAAAAAAAAAAAGAAAAAATTAGCCAGGCATGGTGGCATGCACCTGTAGTCCCAGCTACTCAGGAGGCTGATGTGGGAGGATCACTTAAGCCTGGGAGGTGGAGGCTGCAATGAGCTGTGATTGCACCACTGCACTCCAGCCTGGGCAACAGAGTGAGATTCTGTCTCAAATAAACAAAACTAAACAAAAACATAAAACAGGGAAGGAGAAAACATGAACTCTAATGCATTACTGGTGAGTGGCAAATTAGTATATGTTTTCTAAAGAGCAAATTTTCCATACATATCCAGAGCTTTAAACACATTTTTGACCTAAGAATTACTAAATCTAATCATTTTGACCTAAGAATGACAATTCTAGGAATTTTTGGTAAGAAACCATTTCAGGATAAATGCATAGATTTATCTAGAGTGATATTCATTGCATCAGTATTTATAATATCAAAAATTTGAAAATGACCCAAGTCTCACTACCAATTAGAGTTTATATAAGTAAAATATATTACAGTCATATGGTGGAATGCTGGCCAGTGATTCAGTGTCACAGTGTCTGGGGATAAGGGGAATGTTCTGTGTCTTGACTGGGATGGTGCCTATACAGGTGTACACATTTTTCAAAACTCATCAAACTATATGCTTAAACTCTGTACATTACTGTATGTAAATTATACTTTAATAAAAAGTCACAGTGATTAAAATGCCATTGGCCTGGAAATGCAGTCATAATATATTGCTAAATGAAAAAAAAAAAGCAGACAACAAAACATTAGGTCAGGTATGATAGATTTAAAAATATAAAAATATATACACATGTAAAGCCAAAGGCCACATTCCCTAAATAAATTTTCGTGAATACTTAATTCTGTTCACTGTCTTATGCCAGACTTGTTACCTGCAGAGCTCTGAAGGTCACTTTGGGATGTTCTGTAGCTGGTTTCTCCAGTTTTGTTTGTTTCTGGGGCCACTCCACCTCTAGTGCAGACTCAGGTTTCCCACTTAGTTCAGTGAGGACCAAACTTGAGTGGCGGTTCCGGCGTAATCGGGAGTCACTTACAGTTCCTTCCAAATGTGGTTACTCTTGAGGTCCTCCATCCGCTGGGAGTCAGCTCAGTTCCTGGACTGAGCATCTTCAGGTGCTTCTAATAAGATTCTGGCCTCTGATAAGTCTTGACTTCAATTCATTTTTGGCCCCAGAGAAGGGGAATCTTGGCTCTGCCAACAAGGCCCTGTCCATTTCCTGCCTCAGTGTGAGTGGCAGGAAGACCACCTTGATCTTCAGGGCAAAGGCTCGCTTCCTCCTCTTGGTGTCATCCGGTCTCCTTGGCTCAGTAAAGCAACGTAACAGTCAAGTGCACTTTTCTCAACGCCTGGTTTCTTCTGTCTTACATAACCCCAAGTGGGGACACCCACAGTGAACTTTCAAAAATAATGCTCCTTCCAGGGAGCGAAGCAGCAATGAGGGTTGAACATCTCTCTTGGGATGACCATCACCTGGACCAAAAGACCCATTTACATCTCTCAAGGATAAGTAATGTCAGGGGCAATTTAGTCTAAATGATACAGTCTCCACCTCCCTTCCTCCCTTCCTCCCTTCTTCCCTCTCTCACTTATCTATTATCTCCCTACATCTGAAAGTGCACCATCCTGCTGAAATCACATCCTGTTCACATAACACTGCAGTCCATAGCTTCTGAATCCACACAGAAGTTCTCGTGGGCGATACCAAATGCCAAGAGGATGCCTTAGAAGGAGTCTGGAGATACTCGAGGATTGGCCTCTCTAGCTCAGAGGTTACACTGTCATCAAATGTCCAAAGAGCTCTTGTACAGAATTTTTGTGGTGCAGTTCTAAAGGAGAAGTAGGACTGAGGTCCATCTGTGCAGGCTAACGAAGAACAGCCCATACTGACCAACTGGTTGCTACATAATAATATTAGCTCCCCATCCGAGGATAGTAAAGCTCAATTGCCAGGCATGCTGTAGAGGGCATAGCTGTGGTAGATGTGGGTTTCTACCATGTTGGTGGTTCTACTAGCTTTTGTTGTTTTGTTGCATGCAACAGAAACCATCTTTGGTTAACATAAGTTGGAAAGGAATTCATTGGAAAAGATGTGGCATCCTTCAGAGCGTTGAAAGAAAACTTGAACAACCAGACCAGTTCTATCTGATTTTGGTTCTTGTGTTACATTCAGCCTAAATTCAAATTCCAGAAGGAGAGAGATTATCTGGCCGAGCTCAAGTTGCCTAACAAACTCTTGGGTCGGGCTTTTAAAATGTTCTTTCAAAGACTAAACGCTGTGGGGGTAGGATGGCTTTTCAAAGGAGAATCGAAGTACTGATACGGGGAGCAGGGGGTGGGGAGGGGGAAGAAGGCACAGATGTTGCGCCAATTGGAACAACGTGTTTGCTACAATTTCTAAATGCTACATTGCAGATTGCAGAGAGATTGGATGACAGGCTTCACCTGAAGAGATAGAGATCAGGACCTGGGAATCCATGTGTTAAAAAGTTCTTGGGTAATTCTGATGGATAGCTGGGTTTAGAAGCCAGTGTAAGGCAATATGTATAAAAGCTCTGAAACCAGAATGACTGAGTTTGAATTCCAGTTTGGCCACTAACTAGCTGATAATCTTGGGCTAGTTACCTAACCTCCCTGCTTCAGTTTCCTCATCTATAAAAAGAGGATAAAATGGCACCCACCTCATAGGGTCCACGTGAGGATTAAATGAGTTAACCTAGATGGTAAGAGCTTCATGCCGTAACTGGCACATAGGACATGCTAGTTAATATTATTGCCACAAATGATCCTTTCAAGTCTTAGATTGTGCATTTCAAAAGTCCATCCTTATTTTTGGAATTGCATGCATTTATCTTGCTTTCTGCAAAATGGAAAGGCATCTCCCATGGGCTGGTTGGAGAGAGGGGCTGATAAAATGATGGTAATGTGATAAAATGCAGTTCTCTTGATTGTCAAGTGAATTCTGCATGATTCTTCTGCTCTCATTTGCCACGGGCTGACTGCTTCTGCAATGCAGAACCCGCTTGTAAAGGTCAGAATGAATTGCTTCCAAACATCCCTTTGTCCCTCACTGTCACGAAGACACAGAGCTGCATGCTGTGGAGGAAGAAGCAAATCCATGATGCTGGAAGGCCAGAGAACAGAAACCAACCGTGCACAGAGAGGCGAGCTGCTGGGACTTGAATGAAGCTGATGCGTCCCATCTATAAATTATTGTGGCTTCTCCTAGTTGGGAGGCAGGACCAGCCTCACAATTTCCCAGAAGACCGTAATTTCTGGAGCCTGCAGGCCTGGGGGCAAATGGAGAAATCAAAAGGCAGATGGCCTTGGAGATAGGCAGCCAGAAAGGATGTGAAAGGCCCTGGTTCTGGACTCAAGAGACCTCACGTTTCCTAGTCTTCTTTCTGTCTCTGCTCTTTTGTGTTCATGAGGTTCATGCCCTCATGAGGGCTCCCCCACCTCCAGTGGTCTAGGATTCTAGGATGTCTTGGTATTCTTTTTCAAAAAAAAAAAACTAAGAGCCAGCATTTATAGATATAATTCTGTCCTAAACACTTTACATATAATAATTCTTCATTCTTCATTACACCCTGTGAGATAGGTTATCATTGTTATAATTCCATTTCACAGATGAGGAAACTGAGGTACTCAGAGACTAAATGACTTGCTCAAGGTCACTTGTGAGAGGTCCAGCTCTAGGCCCTCTGGCCCGTGGGGCTATGCTCTTACCTAGTACCTCAAACTGCCTGGTAGACCTCAACCCTGTGTACCTGCACAAATGGTCCTGAAGCAGGCAGCTTTCTTCCCTGAGAGCTGCCTTTCCAGATATGCACTGCCAAAGGTCTGTGACCCTACAGCCTTGGCCTGATTTGGTCCAGATGCGTGTGGACATCTCTCCCAAACAGGATCAAATTGGCCTCTTCTAGGAGTTTAGAATTTGGAATCAAGGGTGCTGGTTTTAGTCTGGACTGGTCACACAGTTTTTGACAACTGTTTATTGTACGGGAAAAGTGTCCAGCTTGATGAATTCTCACACAGTGAATTTTTCTTTGTAAGCAGAGCCCCAGAAGCCCTTCTTTGCTCCTTCTAATCTCTACACGTCCCTCCCCATCCATCAAAATAACCACTACCAGACCAGCAATCCTTTGGCTGCTTTTCCCCCCACCCCCAGTGATCTATTTTATTTTATTTTGGAAAGAACACGTAACATGAAATCTATCCTCTTAACAAAGTTTTAAGTGTAAAATGCATCATTGTTGATGATGGATGCAGTACGAGACAGCAGATCTCTGGGGCTTATTCATCATGCTTGACTGAAACTTGATGCCCATTGGTAAGTAATTCCCCATTTTGCCCTTCTTCCAGGCTGTAGCCACCACCCTTTCACTCTGATTTTCTATCAATTTGACTATTTTTGTTACTTTACGTAAGTGGAATCATCTAGTATTTGTTTTCCTGTGACTAGTGTTTTTCATTTACCATAATGTCCTCAGGGTTCATCTATGTTGTCTCATTGCAGAACTTCCTTCTTTTTGGGGGGCTGAAAAATATTCCATCATATGCATAAACACATTTTCCTTATCCATTTGTTCGTCAGTGGACACCTAGATTGCTTCCACGTTTAGCTGTTGTGAAGAGTGCTGCAATGAACATGGAACTGCTAACATTTCTTCAGGATGTTAATTTCAATTCTTTTGGGTAAATACCCAGAGGTGAGGGTGCTGAATCATATGGTAGTTCTATTTTTAATGTTTTGAGGAACCTTCACACGGGCTAAGGACTTGAATAGGCAGTTGTCCGAGGAAGACATACAAATGACCAAAAGGCATATGAAAATTTAAAAAGCTAAACATCACTAATCACTAGGCAAATGCAAATCAAAACCACAATGAGATATTATCTCACACTTGTTAGGATGACTATTTTTTTTTTTTTTTTGAGATGGAGTCTTGCTCTGTTGCCCAGGCTGGAGTGCAATGGCGTGATCCTGGCTCACTGCAACCTCCACCTCCCGGGTTCAAGTGATTCTGCTGCCTCAGCCTCCCAGAGTGCTGGGATTACAGGTGGGAGCCACCACGCCCGGCCTATTTTTTTTTTTAAAAAAGACAAGTGTTAGCAAAGATATGGAGAGATTGGAACCCTTGTACACTGTTGGCAGGAATACAAAATGTTGCAGATACTATGGAAAACAGTTTGCCTGCTTTTGAGCACTTAAAAAACAAAACTAGGCTGGGCCCGGTGGCTCACATCTGTAATCCCAGCACTTTGGGAGGCCGAGGTAGGGGGGATCACTTGAGGTCAGGAGTTTGAGACCAGCCTGACCAACATGGCAGAACCCCGTCCCTGCTGAAAATACAAAAACTAGCCTGGCATGATGGTTTTTGTATCTGTAATCCCAGCTACTCAGGAGGCTGAGGCAGGAGAATCGCTTGAGGTTGCGGTGAGCCGAGATCATGCTACTGCACTCCAGCCTGGGTAACAGAGCAAGACTCCATCTCAAACAAAAACCAAAAAACAGAATTATAGAGTAGACCATCTCTTGTGTCTGGCTGGTTTCTTTCATATGTGTGTGTGTGTGGCCACATGATATTGAAAGGACACATAGCATCCTGTTCATCAGGATGTCCAGCTTCAGAGCCAGCAGGGGCCAGGCAGGTGGGTGAATGAGTGACGTGTGTGACCACAGGCATGTCCCATTGGCCCATTGAACACCCTATCTGAAAGGGGCAGCGGCACTCAGCTCCGTTTCCTAATTCCTGCTGTTTAAAGGATGAAGGTCTAAGTTTTCCCATTTTTTTCCAGAGAAATCTGAAATCCCCTAAATTTAGATTTTGACAGAGAATTCAAGAATTACAACTGTGGTGTATTTTAAACACATTTTTGGACTGGATTCCTTCTGTGAACCTCCGGTTTACAACTTCTGCATTCGTAGGTGGGGACTGTCAGTGGAAGGTCTCCCCCACCCCACATCGGAGGGGAGAAGGGAAAATGTAAATTTAGTCAAATGGGCTTTCTTTGGAGAGTAGAGAGTGTGCAATAGTCCAAGGCAGGGAGCTTTAAAAGAATGCAGAAGTCTTTTTTCTCTCTTGGTGTCTGAGCTCTAAATTGGCTGGGACATATCCTTAGTTAGGAGTCAGTGGCTATAGCGCCCCCTGCTGTCCTTTAGCACCCTCTTCGTGTCCAGTGAGATCTGCAGGTGAGCCTGGAAGCCACTTGCTTCTCCTGCAGGTTTTGGGAGGAAGATTCATCATTTTAAATATTGCTCAAGTGCCTGCTGCTGCCAGTGACTTCATAGGCTCCTGTTAGACTCACCTTCACTTATATTTGGTCAATTACCTACTCCCTCAGTCAGACCTTGCCACTCGATTTTTTTTTTCTTTTTGATACAAGGTCTCACTGTGTTGCCTACGAGTGCAATGGTACCATCACGGCTCACTGCAGCCTCTGCTTCCCAGGCTTAAGTGATCCTCCTGCCTCAGTCTCCCAAGTAGCTGGGGCTACAGGCATGTGCCGCTACGCCTGGTTGATTTTTTAATTTTTTTGTAGAGATGGGGTTTCATCATGTTGCCCAGGCTGGTCTCAAACTCTTGGGCTCAAGCAATCCTCCCACCTTGGCCTCCCAAAGTGCTGGGACTACTCAGGCATAAGCCACCATGCCCAGCCACCACTCTATTTTTTTTTAAATTGGAGGTAGGGTAAGAAGGACTGGGCCAGGTCGTCCTTCCCACAATTCCAGTCTCACTGTTTCTATCTATTGAAAAGCATTTCTGGCATTTGCTTGGTACCTTTCCCTGGTTTCTGGGCTGAAATAGATTTTATCCCATTTTTAAACAATTCCTTCTGATACTTTCAGGGGTAGTTTGTGGATGAGAGCAGAGTGAAATGCATAGGCTCAGGTTTGTGGCCTTGCAAGTTAATAAAGAGTGTGGACTTTGGAACTAGCCTGCCTGGGCTCCAATCTTGGCTCTGGTACCTACTAGCTGTGTATCATTGTTTTCATTGTTTTGTTTTGTTTTATTTTGTTTTGTTTGAGACAGGATCTCACTCTGTTGTTGGGGCCAGAGTTCAGTGGTGCAATCATAGCTCACTGCAGCCTCCAATTCCTGGGATCAAGTGATCCTCCCACCTCAGCCTCCTGAGTGGTTAGGACCACAGGCATACACCACCACACCTGGCTAATTTTAAATTTTTTTGTAGAGATGGGGTCTTGCTATGTTGCCCGGATGGGTCTTAGCCTCCCAAAGTGCTGGGATTACAGGCATGAACCATTGTGTCCCACCTTAGCTGTGCACTTTAAATAAGTCACTTGACCTCTCTGTTCCTGTTTCTTCATTTACAAGGTGAAGATGATAATATACTACTTCTTAGGGTGAGTATTAAATAAGTTAACCTATGCAAAGAGGTTAAAACAGTGCCTAGCATATCATAGAAATGTTTGCTTGACCCAGAGGCCTGAACCTGCTTTGCCTTCAGTGTTGGTCTTTAGGTCCTGGCTTCACTCCTTAATGCTGCATCTCAGCCTTTCCTCATGAAACTTTCTGTCTTTGATCCTTTTCACTCCTTAACTGTGAATCTCCCAAATTCCACTGAGCAGTGATCAATTCTTGGGGCATCTTGCTCTGTGTTCCCAGACATTCCTTCACCCTCATTTTCTCTCCATGGCCAAATCCTATAGTGCCTCCTAAATAATTATAGCTGACATGTATGTAGCACCTATCATATGCCACGTGCTGTTCTAAGTGATTGATATATGCTAACTCATTTAATCCTCACCCTATGAGAAAGATGCTTTTTTAACACCTATTTTATAGAGGAGGAAACTGAGGCCCAGAGAAGTGAACTGACTTGCCAGGTCACATAACTAATAAGCAGAGTCTGGATTTGAGTTTGGCTCTAGAGCCTGCTCTTAGCCACCATGTCCCATCCTCACTGAGAGGACCCTTGTTCAACTCCACTAACCCTCTCTGGACAAGTAGCCTCTGGTCCTGTCTCCCTGCTTCCTCTCTGTCTCACTGGCCTACCCTTTCCACACCTTTCTAAAAACCAAATGTGATCATGTCATCCTCTTTGTTGAAAACATGTCAATGGCTTCCCATTGTTCTTGGGACAAAGTAAATACTCTTTGAAGTGGCTGCGAAGCAGGGTGGACATACGTCCTCCTCTGCCAAGCTTGCCTATAAACCAAATTGGTTTGTTCTGTTGTGTCAGCGTACCACAAGGCTGGTGCCCTTGTCATCCTCACAAGAGTCCCTGTTGGAAGATACAGGATATGATTGTCCTACTCATGAGGCCCTGCGTGCTCTGGCGTCAGGGTCCCTCCAGCCTTTGCTTGACCACTCTGAGTACCTTCGTTCACTCCTCTGTTCATCCTGCCACCAGGCATTTGCACATACTTCTCCCTTGGCTGAGATACTCTTCTCTCTCTTCTTCCCTGTGAGTTCAGTGGGTCTCAATTCTAGTTGCATTGTAGAATCTTCTGCAGGGCTTTTTAACTGAATGCAGTGTCTGCACCCATTCCAGACCAACTAAGTCCAAATCTCTGATTGATTCAGAACCTCTCAGTTGCATGCAGGGTTAAGGGCCCTGGTCAACTCACGCTGGTCCTCTAGACTGCAGCTCAAGCATCACTTCCTCAGGGAAGCCCTTCCTGACCTCCCTGACCAGGCCCATTTCCAATATTTTGTACTCAGCACACCACATACCTCTTCTTGCTGTCACATATCTTAGGGACATCTAAATATTAGGTTGGTGCAAAAGTAATTGCGGTTTTTGCTATTGTAAATAATGGTGCAATAGTAATTAGTTAAAAGTAATTAAAAATAATGGCAAAAGCACAGTTACTTCTGCACCAACCTAATATTTACTTACATGGTGACAAAGAACCCAGATTCTGGATAAAAATGAATCACTAGCTGTGTGACCTTGGGCGAGTTACTTAACTTCTCTGTGTCTCAGTTTTCTCCCCTATAAAATAGGAATAGTCAAAAACCTGTTTTACATGGTCGTTGAGGATCAAATTAGTTCATAATATGTAAGGCGCTTGGAACAGTGCCTGGCACATGGTGAGTGCTGTATGTGGTAGCTGTTACTGCACTAGTAATTATTACCCCCTGCTGGGATCTGTAAATCCCTGAAGGTGGGGTTGGCATCCGTTGTTTGATCACTCCACACCTAGGATGCTGCATGAACATAATAGCTCTTCAATACCTGTCTGTTCAGCAGAGTGGCGTCCTAGTGAGGTTCTTGGTAAAAGATGAAAGGTGAGATGTGGAATTGCAAAAAAAAAAAAAAAGTATAGACATCAGAGTTGGCCTGCACAGAATTCACCTTCCTCAGTTAGGGCCCTTGTCTATGCGGGCCTGCTGGTTCAGGGTCATTGTTTCTAGCGGTCATGAGGATCAGAGCCTGCCTGGACTTGCTGTGTGCAGAGTCCCCGGTGCAGATGGCCACCTGGCAGGCATTTGCTCCAGCAGCATCCTTTGCAGGAATGGGAGGCTCCTCTGTAATTCACAAACTCACCGTGTCCTTCTATACAGAGGATCTTTCTGCTCTTCTGAAATGCAGACTTGGGTGTGCTGAGAGCTTCTGTGACAGAGGGTGCTGTCAGGAAGCTGGGCATCCAGGGCTGCACCTGGAAACCAAGCTGGCAGCGGCTTTGCAAGTTGAATAATCTTATGTTGTGATCTTGCATTTACGGGACCCCCCACTTAGCAAAAAGGGGTGCTCAGACCACTTCCCTTAGTTGGCTTACGGCACTGCAGGGGGAGAGGGGTGGGGAGGGGAGGAGATGGGTGTGGTTTTGTGGGTGATGGAGGATTTATTTATAATGTGGGTGTGATCCGTTGCCATGTGACTATTCCCTGAAACTACTGTACACCCTGAGCAATGAATGCACAACCCGGCCTGCACAGGAAGAGGTGGGGCTCACTCTGTGAACAGCCTCCACCAGAACTCGAAGGCCCCCTGGGGAATACCAAGCCTAACCCCTTTGTTTTCAGAAGGAGGAACTGAGACCAGACCATGGCAGTGACTTGCCCAAGATCACAGATGTCATTTTTATTCTAAGCTAACATTTGTCATATGGATACTACATGCCAGTCACTGTGCCAAGCTAAGCATCATCATTGTGATTTCATTAATCTGTACACATCTAGAAAGCAGGCTCATTATATTCAGCAAACACTTGCATAGTGTATATATGATGTGCCAGGCACTGTGCTGAGTCTTTTACAAATATTAATCCATTAAATTCTCATAATCCTATGAGGATTTAGTGTGATTATTATTTCCTTTTATTTATTTATTTAAGACAGAGTCTTGCTCTTGTCACCCAGGCTGGAGTGCAATGGCATGATCTCGGCTCACTGCAACCTCCACCTCCTGGGTTCGAGCAATTCTCCTGCCTCAACTTCCTCCCAAGTAGCTGGGACTACAGGCACCCGCCACCATGCCCAGCTAGCTAATTTTTGTATTTTTAGAAGAGATGGGGTTTTACCATGTTGGCCAGGCTGGTCTCGAACTCCTGGCCTCAAGTGATCCGCCCGCCTTGGCCTCCCAAAATGCTGGGATTACAGGTGTGAACTGCCGCGCCTGGCCTTATTTCCATTTTAAAGATGAGGACCCTGAAGCTCAGAGAGGTTGGGTAACCTGTCCAAAGTCACACAGCTGGGAGGTCATTGAGTTGGGAGTCAATCTCAGACAGTCTGGCCTTGAAGTGTCTGCTCCAGCACTGTCATTTCTCTCCATGTGACAGCTCTTCTCTCCATTTTACAGGTGAGAAAATCAAGGCTTATATAACTCAAGTAGCTTGCTCGAGGCTGCACGACTGGAAATTACCAGAGCTGGTGTTGAATTTGCACATTCCAGCTATAGAATCTGACCCCTGATCTCATGCTAAACTCCCTCTCAGTGGGGCTAGGGTCTTTTGGCTGAGGGGTCCAAGCTGGGAACAGGTCACGGGGGTTGAGGCAGAGCCTGAAGCCAGCAGGTGGAGGTGGGGTGGTGTCAGCCAGGTCTACCTGGGTTGACTCTGAACCTCATGCAGTGGAGCAGTTACTCCCTTCCCATGGGGCAGAGCCCCAGCTAGGTGGCCATCGCCTGGTTACACCCTCTAATTCCTTAAGATTTCAGCTTAAACTTCATTTTCTCAGGGAAGCCCTCCTGACTCTATCCAGCCGACACTCTCCTTGTAAATTCTCTAAGCACTGAGTGTCTCCTTTGCAGCTGTTGGAAGTGTACATTGGTTTATGCTTCTTTATTGTTTTCCCCAACTAGACTGACATAGGGAAGGTACTCAACGAATATTTGGTGACTAAATGGTTAAATAAGTGAATGGCTTATAGCTGTAGTAGAAGGAATTGGCACAGGAAATCAAGACTGAAGTCCAAGAAGTGGAAATATATATAAGGTTTATTGGGAAAAGTCACAACTCAGTAGGCACAGGGATGCCCTGAGCAGTGATAATTAATAATTAATAGTTAATAATAATAGCTTGTACTTATTGAGTGCCTGCTCTGTGTCAGGCAGCTGTTTTAAAGGTTGTGGGTAATTCATTCCCTAGAACCTCACAAAACAAATATTGTTATCCCCTAGGGATAACTACCGCTAGGGTTATTATCCTAGCTCCCCCTAGGGTTGTTGTTCCTAGACAGTTAAGGTTAACTAGGGATAACATCAAGAGAGCTGGCCCAAGGTCACCATTTCTTCCCAGCTTTTAACCAACGTTTTGAGAATACAGTATTCCCCATCAAAATCGTGGCTCACCACGGCTGTGAGTTTCACCCAGCGGCCTGGGTGGTCATGGTGAAAGCTAGAAATACATCTCTGGAAGACATTTTCAGGTATGCTACAGAGGCTGGCATACCCGGGCTAAGAGCTGCTGGCCTGGCTAATGAACTAAGATCACTCGTTGAAACAACAGGTATAAATCTCCAAGCAGAAAAGACTCGCTTAACATGGATGGCAAATGTTGTCTACCAAGAAGACCCAAGAAAATAATCAAATACCCTTTGCCAAGAATGTCTGGTTATAAAATAAAGATATAAATGACAATAACTTTTCTGTATTTTAGCAACAACCAGTTAAAATAAATTTGAAAAAATCCCAGTTAAAATAGCAATAAAGAGGTAAAATACCTAGGAATAAATACTTAGGCCCCAACTAAGAGAGTTTATGGGGGAAAAAATCTTTTCTGGAAAAACACAAGAAGGCTCAAATTACATGTGAATTCCACCCCTAGCTCCCCCAATCTGTTTTTCTCCTGGCAGCCGTGGTTCTATATCACATCCCACCTCACCCCTTAGCTCAGCCACAGCACCCAGCTCTGCACAATTCCTTATTCTAAATTCTGATTGGCCCAGTTCTTCCTTCATAAATTTCATATCACTGACCCAACCTTGGTCTATTCAGCATTGGCTGGAAGTATGAGGTCAGATGCTTTACTGTCCACTGAGCTGGTGCTGTAGGTTGGAATTTTTCTAGAAGGGTCAATAAGTTAAGCAGCCAATGATTGGCATTTCCAGCACAATCTGGGAGAATACATGGATAAGAATAACCAAGAAAAATTTGAAAGTAAGCAGGAATGCTAGGGGAGGGGCCAGTGGGTATAAAGGTGTGTGCCTCTAGATACCAAGAGCTTATACTATGGTATGGTGCAACGGTGGGGAGAGAGAGACAGATCAGTGGAGCATAAGACAATATTAAAAAATGAGCCGAGAATACATAAGAAATTCGTGTATCATAAAAGAGGCATTTCAAATCAGCAGGGAAAAGATGCATTTCATACATTTGCTGTCTAAACATTAAGAGTAGAAATAAAGGTCTTTCTTGAGAGCTCATGCTAAAATGAATGCCAAGGGAAATGATGATTTCAATGTAAAAAAGTGAAACCATAAAAGACTACCAGAAAATATCAGGAAGGACTTTCTAAATACGACAGCAGAGACAGAAACCATACAGGAAAAGGGAAAAATTTGCACTTTATTAAACACGCAGGCACACACACACACACACACAGACACGCACATGCGTTATACGTTGAAAAAAGAACATCGACAAAATTAAAAGGCAAATGAGAAACTGGGAAAACATTTACTGCATATATCATAGGTGAAGGGTTAATATCCTTAAATAATACACAGGAAAATTTGTTACAAATAATTTGAAAGAAACAAACTTGAATTTTAAAACAGGCAAAATTAATGATAACAGTGAACATTTCTTCTTTTTTTGTTTGTTTGTTTTGGAAGCAGGATCTTGCTCTGTCACCCAGGCTAGAGTGCAGTGGTGTGATCCTGGTTCGCTGTAGCCTTGAACTCCCGGCCTCAAGTGATCCTCCCACTTCATCCCCACAAGTAGCTGGGACTATAGGCATGCGCCACCATAACTAATTTTTTTTTTTTTTTTTTTTTTTTTAGACAGAGTCTCGCTCTGTGGCCCAGGCTGGAGTGCAGCGGTGCAATCTCAGCTCACTGCAAGCTCCACCTCCTGGGTTCATGCCATACTCCTGCCTCAGCCTCCCGAGTAGCTGGGACTACAGGTGCCCGCCACCACGCCCAGCTAATTTTTTGTATTTTTTAGTAGAGACGGGGTTTCACCATGTTGGCCAGGATGGTCTCGATCTCCTGACCTCGTGATCCGCCCACCTCGGCCTCCCAAAGTGCTGGGATTACAGGTGTGAGCCACTGCGCCCGGCCCATAACTGGCTAATTTTTAAATGTTTTGTAGAGATAGAGACAAGATATTACTATGTTGTCCAGGCTGGTCTCAAACTCCTGGGCTCAAGCAGTCCTCCCACCATGGCCTCCCAAAGTGCTGGGAATACAGGCGTGAGCCACCGGACCTGGCAGAACATTTCTTAAATGTTCATCTTCACCAGCAACTTTATGCAGTTTCCATGCAGTATCTCACTGAACTCTTACTAACCTAGGAATTAAGCATTATTATTATTCCAGTTTCCACACAAGGAAACGAAAACTTAAAAGGGTTAAATAACTTTCCCTAGAGTCAGAAAGTTAATAACTGGAAGAGCCAAGAGTTAAGCTTAGATGTGGCTACTAATTCACCCCTATATTGACATGGACTGCAGTGCAGATCTTAACCCAGGAAATGGTATTTTAAATTCTGCCAAAGTTTATACAATAGAAGCTTATCCTTCAAATGGAATAATTACGTATTCGCCAAATGGGCGGGGTTAGAAGAGGGCAGGGTATATCAGGCGGTTGAAGCAAATCGTCACCCAACACACAAGTGTTTACATGGTGTTATTGGCTCTATTCATTCTCCTCTCCAGGAACAAAATGAAAGATCGTCACCAAATTATAGTGTCCCCTTTTCAAATGTGCCATGCGTGTGTAATTACAGCTTCTAACATTCTCCACTTTTCATGCTCAGACAATCTCCGTCCACTCAGTCTCAATTAAGGTTTCCCTACTTTTTTTGTCTTTTGCAAATTTTTGGCCTTTTGTTTGCAGTTGTGGGCATGGCAGTACTGATGTGTTACTCACGGTGGTAGTACAAGAGGTGAGATTTTTGTAATACCCAGATAAACCCTAAAATATTCTACTTTACATCAAAAGTATAGAAAAGTCTGTGCTGAGAAGTTTTACTCTCTGTCTACTTTATTCTCTCTTGCCTCCATAGATGAACACTTGTATTAGGTTTTTTTTTTCTTTTTTTTTTTTTGGTGTATCCTGCCAGAGGTGTAATTAAGAGTCGACTTTCCCCGGTTACTCAGGAGGCTCAGGCAGGAGGATCACTTGAGCCCAGAAGTTTGAGGCTCCAGTGAACTATGATCTCGCCACTGTGCTCCAGCCTGGGCAACATAGTGAGACCTTGTCTCTGAAAATAATTTTAAAAAGAAAGGATACACACTTAACTTATTGCACCTCGCTTTCTCACACACACAAAAGGTACCATGTAATATACACACCTCAGCACCTTGATTTTTTTGTTTGTTTCACTTAAAAAATACAACCTTGGTCGGGTGCAGTGGCTCACGCCTGTAATCCTAGCATTCTGGGAGGCCGAAGCAGGCGGACCACTTGAGCTTGAGCTCAGGCGACCAGCCTGACTAATATGGCGAAACCCTGTCTCTGCAAAAAATATAAAAAGTAGCTAGGCATGGTAGCGTGCACCAGTAGTCCCAGACACTTCGGGGGCTGAGGCAGGAGGATTGTTTGAACCTGGGAGGTTGAGGCTGCAGTGAGCCGAGATTGCACTGCTGCACTCCAGCCTGGGTGACAAAGTGAGGCCTTGCCTAAAAAAAAAAAAGAAAAAAAAATGAGATTTTTTTCCATATTAATGCAGAGAACTTCCTCATTGTACTTTATACCTGAGTAGTCTTCCATTATGTGGCTACACTATGATTTATTTAAACAACCCTTTCCCAGTGACACTTAGCGTGTTTAAATCTTATGCTACCCTAAACAGGGCTTCAGTGAATAACTGTATCTGTATATTACTTCCTATGTATGCAGGTTATTTTACCTTCGTCCAACGTGATGGAGTGAAAGGTGAAAAGAATTTGTAATTTTACAAAAGCATTTGTACTTTGGATAGGTAGTGCCAAATTGCCCCCACAGGATGACACCAATTGGCCCACCCACCAGGAATATGTGTCTCTGTTTCTCCACAGCTTTTCAACAGAAACTGTCGGGATGAACATTTAAAATTTTCATTTTAAAATTTTAAATTGTCTACTTCATTTTAAGGTGCATTAGAAAAGGCAGTTTGCATATTGATCCCATGAGTTCACACTCTTAGTTTCATTTTTAAAAATAGGTTTATTTAAATAAAAATGGCAGTACTGAATTGAAGAAAAATATCAAGTAAATATTATGTTGGTGCAAAAGTAATTGCGGTTTTTGCCATTACTTTCAATGGTAAAATCCACAATGACTTTTGCACCTACCTAATACTGTTACAGGTTGAATGCAGGCATGCGAAGTTATGACAGCTCATGACTGAAGCTGGGGAAATGTTGCCATGATGATTTTTTCTCTTGGGAATAATAAAATCAAGAGGTTTTATGTTCTGTGTGCAGGACACTGTGCTTGAGGTTTTATAAAGTGGATACGGTTATTGGACCCATTTTATGGCTGAGGAACCAGAGACTCAGGGTGGTTAAGTCACTTCCCTGAGGTCACACAGCTAACTCTGGAGCCTGCGCTTGTTAATTTCCCTCTGTTCTGAGGGTATTTCCAACTGGGACCTTCAATTTAACCTTGCCTACCTACCCCATGGGAAGTAGAGCCTCAGGAGCTTTCATAGCTTGTAAATGTCCAGGGATGACACAGTCTGAACTTGCAATTTGCTTTTCCTTTCTCCTCTATGGATGCTGTTAGCTTGTGTTTTCTCTCTGTGTGCCTCATTTCAGCTTCCTTATTCCTGCAGTTTTACTTCAGCCCAACCAGATTTCAGCCCACCTGTGGGCAAAGCTGCACAGCCCATTCAGACTGAGAGAGACTTTTCTTTTTCTTTCTTTCTTTCTTTCTTTCTTTCTTTCTTTCTTTCTTTCTTTCTTTCTTTCTTTCTTTCTCTTTCTTTCTTTCTTTCCCTCCCTCCCTCCCTTCTTTCTTTCTTTCTTTTTTTCTTTCTTTCTTTCCTTCTCTCTCTTTCTTTCTTTCCTTCCTTCCTTCCTTCTTTCTTTTCCTCCCTCCCTCTCTCCCTCCCTTCCCTTCCTTCCTCTTTCTTTCTTTCTTTCTTTCTTTCTTTCTTTCTTTCTTTCTTTCCTTCCTTCCTTCCTTCTTCCTTTCTTCCTTTCTTTTTCTTTCTTTTCTCCCTCTCCCTCCCTTCCTTCCTTCCTTCCTTCCTTCCTTCCTTCCTTCCTTCCTTCCTTCCTTCCTTCCTTCCTCCTTCCCTCCCTCCCTCCCCCCTCCTCCATCTCTCTCACCTGTGCTTCCTTTCCTCTTAGCTGCCTGTGTCTGGGATTAAGTGATGACCTAGGATCTGCCTGTCTTTGATGCTGGGGATTGTTTTTCACTATAAAGACTCTGGTTTGGGGGTGGCAGGGACCCAAGTACTCTGTCACTGGCCGGTGCTGAATTTGTGTGAGATGAAGAGTGTTATTGTCTATAACCCCCGTGTTAGGTGGGAGACTCTCTGGGGAGGCTGAGGAGCAGGGGGGCAGCCAGGGGACACTGAGGGGTTCCCACTCGGCTGGCTGCATTTCTGGAGTCTGACAAACTTGGCTTCCAGTCCTGGCTCTCCCATGTCCTTGCTTTGTGACCTTGGGCAAGTTACTTCTCTGAGCCTCAGTTTTCTCATCTGGAATACCAGGATAACAGTCTAACTCCTCCATCACTGGGCTGTCAGGAGAATCTGGGGACATGACATAGAGGACTCAGCACAGTGCTTGGCAGGTAGTATGTGTTCAATTCAATAAAATTGGTGGCAGTAAAAGTCACATTCGACGGTTATTTTGTTGTTGTATTCAACAATCTCTTGAATAAAGATTGGAAATGGAAGGAAATTTGGGAATCCAAGCTTGCCTA
Source organism: Homo sapiens (assembly GCF_000001405.40). Taxonomy (NCBI): domain Eukaryota; kingdom Metazoa; phylum Chordata; class Mammalia; order Primates; family Hominidae; genus Homo; species Homo sapiens. The sequence goes on from NC_000016.10 coordinate 24,021,997, forward strand.
ATACCAGGCATGTGGAGATGGAGCCTCAGCAACAGGAAATACTGGGAAGAGGAATCGTGCCAGGATCCTGTGGAAACCTGATTTCCAGGGGTGGGCGAGATGACTGGGGATGATCAAGGGGTGATGCTGCGGCAGGAGTGTAATAGTTTCAAACCTGTTTTTGAGAGCACTTGAGACTGAGTCAGACAAACTCACTCGGGAGTTTAGGGGATGTGTTCACATGGGGTTGGATTCCAGCACTGTTGGGAAGAAGGTAGGGAGTCTGGCAGAGGTCCCAAATCCAAATTCCTACAGGGTCCAGGCAGGAAAGGGGAAAGAGAGAAGCAGGCCTGGTGTAAGACAATAGGGAAGAGTGGGGACTGTGGAAAACTAGAAAGTTTATTACTTATCTAAAGGGGAAAACCACTGCTCAGCCCACAGAAATGAGTGTTCTGTGTTGTCACAGCTGATGATTTCTCAAAAGGAAGCAATATTTCACATTTTTTATTCTTTCTTTCTTTCTTTTTTTTGTTTGAGACAGAGTCTCGCTCTGTTGCCCAGGCTGGAGTGCAGTGGTGCGATCTCAGCTCACTGCAAGCTCCGCCTCCCGGGTTCATGCCATTATCCTGCCTCAGCCTCCTGAGTAGCTGGGACTAGAGGTGCATGCCGCCACGCCCGGCTAATTCTTTTTGTATTTTTAGTAGAGACAGGGTTTCACCGTGTTAGCCAGGATGGTCTCGATCTCCTGACCTCGTGATCCGCCTGCCTCGGACTCCCAAAGTGCTGGGATTACAGGCGTGAGCCACTGTGCCTGGCCAAAATTTCACATTTTAATCTGATAGTTCCTGACTTAAATATAGTAAACTTATTTGGATTTCTAAGAAGCACCTTGTTGGCCAACGGTAGCTTCTTTACAGGCTTGATATAGCTTCTGGGTTCCACACTGTGGCCCCTGGGCATGAAGGAGGGCCCAGGCCAGGGATGGGACAGGCTCTAGGTGGCCTGGAGGTGTCTAGTCAGTGTGGCCTGGGTGACGAGGATCTGATGTAAAATGAGACTAGGGGAGGGATTGAGGCAGAGATGGAAGCTGTGTCTTTTTTTTTGTTTTTGAGTCAGAGTTTCTCTCTGTCACTGGAGTGCAGTGGTGCCATCATGGCTCACTGCAGCCTTGAATTCCTGGGCTCAAGCGATCTTCCCACCTTGGCTGGGATTACAGGCATGAGCCACTGCTCCCAGCCAGGAAGCTGCATCTTTGAATGCGATCAGAACCAAACCCCATAGAGGGAGTGATGGCTTACAGGCCATGAGGATTCCCAGACTCATCTCAGGCTTGGTCAATACCCACAGCATCAAGGCTAGGAAGGGAATGTATTTTGGTTAAAGGCAGGACTGATACTTATTTATTTATTTTGAGACGGAGTCTCGCTCTGTCACCCAGGCTGGAGTGCAGTGGCGGGATCTCGGCTCACTGCAAGCTCTGCCTCCCAGGTTCACACCATTCTCCTGCCTCAGCCTCCTGAATAGCTGGGACTACAGGCGCCCGCCACCACGCCCGGCTAATTTTTTGTATTTTTAGTAGAGACGGGGTTTCACCGTGTTAGCCAGGATGGTCTTGATCTCCTGACCTCGTGATCCGCCAGCCTCGGCCTCCCAAAGTGCTGGGATTACAGACGTGAGCCACCGCACCCGGCCAGGCAGGACTGATATTTAACCTGCATGCCCTGGCACTACTGTACCAGTGGTGGAAATATTGAAATACTCTGAAACCGATGGGTAAATAGCCACTGGGTCCTCTGGGCCTTTTCCCCCAACCTTCCACTTACCCATATCTGCCTCTGCCAGCTCCTACCACACCCCCTCCATGACGTGGTGACTAGAGTGCTAACTCCCAGCACAGCCAGGCTCTGCTGTCCATTCCGTTTGGTCTGTGGGCAGTCCCTGAGCCAAGGCAATTATAGATATCTTGACTCACCCCTGGTTGTAGGTAACATGCCTACCTGGATTGGCTGAAGCACAAAGGACAAATTTTAGAGGACACAGGGAGGCAGATGGAATTGGAAGGCAGGATGCCAGAACCCCAGGGACCAGAACCAGGAGCTTCATCCCTGGGGTCATGTAGTCTTTGTCTTTGTTTCTCCAGGTTCCTCAGAGCGCACCATAAAAATCAGCACCAACTGTCATTTGCTACAATGTGGATGAACCTGGAGGACATTATGCTAAGTGAAATAAGCCAGGCACAGAAAGACAAATACTGCATGATCTCACTTAGATGTGGAATCTAATGAAGTTGAACTCACAGAAGTAGAGAGTAGAATGATGGTTACCAGAAGCTGGGGGACAGCAGGAGGCAGGAGTAGGGAAGAAATGGAGAGTTGCTGAGCAAAGAGTACAATGTTTCGGATAGGAGGAATTGCCTTTGAGATCTATTGCACAGCAGGGTGACATTAGTCAATAATATGTATGTTTCAAAGTAATTAAGAGAGTAAATTTCAAATATCTCAAGCTAAGAAAATGATAGGCAAGTTAGGTGATGGATATGTTAATTTTCTTGATTTAATCATGCCACATTGTGTGTGTATATTCAGAACAATCAGAACAATCACATTGTACCCCATAAATGCATACAATTATAATTTGTCAATCAAATATAAAATTAGCAGCCTCAGCCCTGGAACTGTATGTCTGCTGGCCTCAGGACTGATTACCTGTGTCCCAGCCACTCAGCATATGTGACCCTTGAGCCAAGTGTCCACCTCTGCCCCAGTCAGCTGTGTTCAGGGAATGTGGATGTCTCAAAGTACAAGCATGGCTTTTGGGAGGTGCCCATCTCAGAGATGGCATTGGGCTCAGGCAGGCATGGAAAGGTACCCTGAAAGATGCACCTTGAGGGTCGTGGAGGGAGTCATGAGGACCACAGGTGTAGGAGTGTGGCTTTAAGCTCTTTCAGGTAGCAGGAAGGAGGAGGGAAGAATCCACTGAGGATGACCTGGTTTGTCTGGTCTGAAGGATTGGGGCAGTGGGTGGGTAGAGTTGGTGCCTACAAGTATGATCCCTCATGAAAGCGGAGGGAGGGGAATGAGGTCAGAGGAGCTCTCCAGCAGCCTCTAAATAAGCCGTAAGAAGTCAATGTTTCCCTGCAACTTGCCGATTGGTTTTCCTGTCTCTCATCTGGCTCTAATCTGTGCTGCACAGCCCCTTCTAAGTCATTTTCCTAAAATAGCATGTTTATGGTGCAGGGGTTTGCAGTGGCCAACAGCGATGATTGCAGCCCTACAGCTGTCACAACAACCCATTGACCACTGTGTGCAATGCTGTGCTTGCCACGGGCAAAACACTTCGTCTCTTAGTTCTTCGGTTTCCTCATCTGTAAAACAGGGGTAGTAAGTAGTATGTACTTTATAGGGCTGTTATGAGGATCGAATGCATTAATGCCTGATGAATCCCTTAAAATAGTCCCTGGCATGAATAAATGTTCCATAAATGTTAACTCTCACTTATTAAGTATTTATTGAGCATCTTCTGTATGCCAAGTACAGTTTATGCCCTGAGAGTATAATGATGAGCAAAATTTCCTCACATTGCATGCAGTGAAGTGTGGAAGAGATGCAATTAAGCGTGCATTTATAAGTCAGTGGTTTAAGTGCCGTGATGGAGAGGATTTAGAATATAAGTTCCATGAAAGCAGAAGCTCTTTTGTTCACAGCTGTATCCCCAATGCCTAGGAAGAACTTGACCCTCAGTATACATTTGCTAGGTGAATGAACGAATGAGTCAAGTTCTATCTTAGCCGCACATGAAGATGAGGTGTCAATGGAGTAAAGTTGGGAGTGAGGAGAGAAGGGAGGGGAACTTGGTGTGAACCCCATCTCTGCAAGGGTCCAGCTGGGTGGCCTTGGTGAAGTTACTCTGTAGTTAGGATCTGTTTCATTGTTGCTAAAATGGGAACAAATGATACCTTCTGCATGGCATGTCATAAGGATTGGAGAGAGTACATGTGAGACACCCAGCGTACACATGTAGCTCTCAAGCAGTGTGTTGAGACTGGGTGTGGTGGTTCACACCTGTAATCCTAGTACTTTGCAAGGCTGAGGCAGGCAGATCACTTGAGCCCAGGAGTTTGAGACCAGCCTGGGCAACATAGCAAAAACCCTGTCTCTACAAAAAATAAAAATTAGCCAGGCATATGGCATGTGCCTTCAGTCCCAGCTGCTCAGGAGGCTGAGGTGGAAGGGTCGCTTGAACCTGGGAGGCAGAGGCTGCGGTGAGCTATGATCGCACCACTGCACTCCAGCCTGCATGACAGAGCAAGACCCTGTCTCAACAAGACAAAAAACAAAACACACACAAACACAGAAATGTGTTTCCTTTTCCCTTCCCATTCTTTGTGCTTCTTGGTATCTCCTCTTGTTTAAGAGACTGTTGATATGGAGAAAGGTCTGGATCATTTTTGGTCAGAAATGCTTGAATCCTTGTCTTGGAGATCGCTCAAGAAAATATTTACATGAAGAAAAGTGCAAAACCAACAGAGGCAACTTATTATTAGTTGTGATTTTGCCCCAGATCTTAAAGTAGAGCTCACAAGGCCTTGAGGAACTCCTTTCTTCTCTACTAGGCAGGACTAAGGAAATTCAAACCTGAACTCAAACCTAACTCTTGGCCTCTGTAAGATCAATATATCAGAGAAACCAGAAGGGACCACAAGAGCCAAGAGTAGAGACAGAATGTGTCCTAGGTCTTGGAGAGGAGCTGGCTCAGGCCACTTCTACCAAGGGTCTCAGGGCAATACTATAAGACTTGGACCCAGTAGCGTCCTGGGAGAAGTGAAGGATGTAAGGGAGAAGGAGAAGAGAAAGATGGCAAGGATGCCTTTTAACCTCCATGCGAGCTCCACCACTGGGGTCTGGCCAATCCGTGTCTTGGAATCCATCCAATTAAATCAACTCTGCCTCCTTAGAGGTTAAGTAGGGGTGTAAGAGAACCTGGAGCTTCTCCTACAGGCCAATACCAGTCATGAACAGGGGTTCCTTTTTTATTATTATTATACTTTAAGTTCTGGGGTACACGTGCAGAATGTGCAGTTTTGTTTCATAGGTATACACCTGCCATGGTGGTTTGCTGGACCCATCAACTTGTCATCTACATTAGGTATTTCTCCTAATGCCTCCCCTAGTCCCCCACCCCCCGACAGGTCCAGGTGTATTATGTTCCCCTCCCTGTGTCGATGTGTTCTCATCGTTCAACTCCCACTTATGAGTGAGAACATGCGGTGTTTGATTTTCGAACAGGTGTTCCTTTTTAGGTGGGTTTGAAGCACTGAACTCCCAACTTTAAGGTGAATGTCCAAGAAGCACAATGGGAACTGTTCTGTGGCACAGAGCAGGGGGACTCTGATAGGAACCTTATGTATTCACTTAGTCTCATTGTCCGGAGATAGAGACATGGCTGGTTAAGCTGCCAAAAGGGATCCCTTAGTTTTTTGGGGGGTGGATTTCCAAGCCCTGTTGTTGTTACTAGGACGGCACCTCAATCTTTGAGCAGGACAGATGATTGCTGGGGTCCTTTTGTAGCTGAGAGCACTCAGGGTCCCACTGGCGACAGCAGAAAAGACCTCGCTTCTCAAACTTGGCTGTCCAGTGCTCTGGACGAGTACTTCATCTGCCTGACTGCAGAGGGTGGGAACGTTGTGAAAGAAACTTTGTAGCTCATTAACAAGATAAGAAGCAACCGAAGTCTGCAGTGGCTGAGGATTTTCAGTCAGGTTTATTGAGACATACGTTTCCTGTGGTAAAAGTCACTTTAAACAATTTTTTTTGAGACAGGGTCTTGCTCTCCCACCCATGCTGGAGTCCAGTGGCGTGATCATAGCTCACTGCAGCCTTGAACTCTTGGGTTCAAGTGATCCTCCCACCTTGGCCTCCCTAGTAGCTAGAACTACAGGCATGCACCACTATGTCTGGCTTTAATACATATATATAGTAGAGACAGGGTCTCACTGTGTTGCCTAGGCTGATCTCAAACTCCTGGGTTCAAGCTCAAGCAGTCCTCCCGCCTTGGCCTCCTAAAGTGTTGGGATTGAAGGCATGAGCTACTGTGCCCAGCAAAATTCACTTTTTTTCTTTTTTCTTTTTTTTGAGATGGAGTCTTGCTCTGTCGCCCAGGCTGGAGTGCAGTGGCATGATTTCAGCTCACTGCAACCTCTGCCTCTTGGGTTCAAGCAATTCTTCTGTCTCAGCCTCCCAAGTAGCTGGGACTACAGGTGCATGCCACTATGCCCAGCTAATTTTTGTATTTTAAATAGAGACAGGGTTTCACCATATCGGTCAGGCTGGTCTTGAACTCCTGACCTAAGGTGATCCACCCACCTCGGCTTCCCGAAGTGCTGGGATTACAGGCATGAGCCACTGCTCCAGGCCACAAATTCACTTTTAAAAATATAAAGTAAAATTCATCACAGTTAATATATAGACCACTCCAATATCCAAAACAAAAAAGTTGCTGCATCTGCCTCTTTTTAGTTAATTCCCTATCCACCTCCAACCCCTTTTAACCACTGATGTTTTCTGTCCCCATAGTTTTGTGTTTTTCAGAACATTTAGAAATGAACCTACACTTGTGTTGAACATCTTTGTTTTACCAGAATCCTTTCGAGGTTCATGAATGCTGCTGCATGTGTCAATAGTTCATTCCTTTTTACTGCTGAAAAGTATTCCACTGTGTGGATGCCTCACACTGTATCCATTCACACGTCGAACGACATTTGGGTCCTTTCCAGTTTGGGGCTATTATAAGTAAGGTAGCTATAAACCTTCATGTATGGATATGGTTGTTGTTTTTTTTTTTTCCCCTTCTCTGTCACCCAGGCTGGAGTGCAGTAGCACGATCTCGGCTCACTGCAACCTCCGCCTCCTGGGTTCAAGTGATTCTCGTGCCTCACCCTCCCAAGTAGCTGGGACTACAGGCATGTGCCACCACACCCTGCTAATTTTTGTATTTTTAATAGAGACAGGGTTCCTCCATGTTGGCCAGGCTGGTCTCGAACTCCTGACCTCAAGCGATCTGCCCGCCTCGGCCTCCCAAAGTGCTGGAATTACAGGCGTGAGCCACTGTGCCCGGCCTGGATGTTTTCATTTCACCGAAAAGTAGGATTCCTGGGTCCTAGGAGAGTTCCAGTTTATGTTCTTTCTTCACTAACACTTGGTATCGTTGGTTTTAGTTTTCAAACATTTTAGCAACTCTGGTAGGTATGTGATATGGTTAGGCTTTGTGTCCCCACCTAAATCTCATCTTGAATTGTAATCCTCATAATCCACACATGTCAAGGGAGAGACCAGGTGGAGGCAATTGAATCTTGGGGCAGTTTCCCCCATGCTGTTCTCATGATAGCGAGTGAGTTCTCACACGATCTGATGGTTTTATAAGGGGCATGTCCCCCTTTGCTCGGCACTTCTCCTTCCTGCTGCTTTGTGAAGAAGGTGCCTTGCTTTCCCTTCGCCTTCCACTACGATTTTAAGTTTCTTGAGGCCTCCTCGTCCTCAAGAAAATTGACTGTTAGTCAATTAAATCTCTTTCCTTTGTAAATTACCCAATCTCAGGCAGTTCTTTATAGCAGTATGAAAGCAGACTAATACAGTATGGAATTATTTTAAAGTTTTGAAAAGAACAGTTTCCTTAGGAGAAGCACTCATCACATTAACAGCACATAAAAGAATATCTATGTAGTATGTCTGTTTATTTGCTTACATGTTCATTTTCTGTCACTAGAGTACAATTTTAAAGGAGGCATCTGTGGCAGCATCAATAAATACATGTGAATGGATGAATGAAGGAAGGAAGAAACTGGTAGCATGTACCAAAGGCTAGGGTGTCAGATCAGCCCTGGATTGGAACCTAAGGCCCATGTTATTAACTTCTGCCATGTACTTTTTTTTCCTTTTTTTAAGAGAGAGAGGGTCTTGCTCTCTTGCCCAGGCTGGAGTGCAGTGATGCAATCATAGCTCACACATAGCCTTGAATTCTTGGGCTCAAGTGATCTTCCCACTTCAACTTCCCAAGTAGCTGGGACTACAGGCATATGCCACCACACCTGGCTAATTTTTTATTGTTGTAGACATGGGGTCTCACTATGTTGCCCAGGCTGGTCTTGATCTCCTGGCCTCAAGTGATCCTCCCACCTTGGCCTCTCAAAGTGCTGGGGTTATAGGCGTGAGACACTGTACCTGGTCTGCAATGTATAACAGAGAAAGCAACTTTTACAGAAAGAGTTCTCTTGAACTAAAACCAATTCTGTGAGGAAAGAATCTCTTGAAGAAGAAAGAGAAATGCAGAGCCAAAGGCTTACAAAGGGCATGGTCTGTTTGGGAGCGGGGGTGCGCTCTGAGTGCTGAGAATGTACATAGTATGTGTGCATGTGGGTGGGTGGGAGGAGGGGGCTTAGCTGGGGATCACCTTGGCCAAATAGTAATAGCAATCATGGAAAGCTTATGCTGCTTGCTATGTGCCAGGTGGTTCTAAGACCTCTACACAGGTTCATTCATTTATGCTTCCCAACAGTCTTATAAGGAGAGCACTAGCATTATCAGCATTTTACAGATAGGGAAACTGAAGCACAAAAAGATCAAATTAGCTGGGCATGGTGGTGTGCACCTGGCATTCCAGCAATTTTGGAGGCTGAGGTGGGAGGATCATTTGAGGCCAGGAATTTGAGACTAGCCTGGGCAACATAGTGAGACCCCCCTCTCTACAAAAAAAAAAAAAAAATTAAAAATTAGCTGGGCAGGTTGGGCACAGTGGCTCATGCCTGTAGTCCCAGCTACTCGGGAGGCTGAGACAGAAGAATCACTTGAACCCAGGAGACAGAGGTTGCAGTGAGCCAAGATTGTGCCACTGCACTCCAGCCTGGGTGATAAGAGCAAAACTCTATCTCAAAAAAAAAAAAAAGATCAGCTCAGCATAGTTGCATGCACCTGTAGTCCCAGCTACTCAAGAAGCTGAGGCAGGAGAATCACTTGAGCCCAGGAAGTCAAGGTCCCAGTGAGCTATAATTGTGCCACTGCACTCCAGCCTGGGTGACAGAGCAAAACCATGTCTCTTAAAAAACAAAAGAAAACAAAAAACCATCAAACAACTTGCACAAACTCACACAGCTTAGAGCCCCGGAAGTTTATCCAAGTCTGCCTTTTACCACTGCACTGCACTGCCAGGCTATCAAGGGCATATTTATTGATTAGGAAATTATGTAAGGTTCTGTGAGAAATAGCTCCCAAAATATAGTGACTTAAACAAGGCAGAAATTAGGTTTTTCTCTCAGGGGTCAGCCCAAAGGGACAAAATTCAAGGCTGGTAGGGTGGCTTTGTCCTTTCCACATATGGCTCCAAGTTTGGGTCCAGGACAGTCACTTCCAGTTCTCACCATCTTTGAACCAGTGGGGAGAGGGAAAGGCTCAAGGAAGTATGCATTTCCATTTGAAGGGAATGGCCCTGGAGCACACACATCCCATTGGCCAGAACTCAGCACCATGGCGGCACCTGCAAGAGGTGCTGGGAAATATGGCCTCTATCTGGATAGCCATGCTCTCTGCTAAAACTCAAGGATTCTACTATTAAAGGGAAGAATGGATATTGGTGGAAAACCAGCAGTCTCTGCCACAACTTGCAGACTGTCCACTGGGCTTTGAACTTTATTCTGTCAGTGATGAGGAACTGGCAATGGTTTCTAAGCAGGGAGATTTCACATCCAGACTTGGGTTTTTGATCACTGCAGAAGCATGCTTGGAGAATAAAGGTGGGGAGAAAGAAAAGTCAGGAGCCCTGTTTAGATGATGTGTCTGTTACTTTGTTTTCCCATCTCTGGAGTCCCTACTACAGGCAGGAGCCTGTAGGTTGAGTTCCCAGGCAGGCCCAGATGGAGGGTTTGCAGGCAGGGTGAGTGAGCATGGGGCTGCAAAGGGAACAATCATCTGTCTTTGTCCTTCATTCCTTCCACAACTATTTATCCAGCACCGTTTCTGGGCACAGGGCTCCAGCGATGGTCCCAACAGGTACAATGACCTCTGGGGACCAAGTTCAGTTCTTGGTGAGTTCTCCAGTGCCTCTCGATGTAGGATGAACCGTTGGCATGCTCCACTGACGCTGGCTCCTTCTGTTGTTTCTCTTGGCTCCAGGACCCCCGCAGCAAACACAAGTTTAAGATCCACACGTACTCCAGCCCCACGTTTTGTGACCACTGTGGGTCACTGCTGTATGGACTCATCCACCAGGGGATGAAATGTGACAGTAAGTACTTTTTCTCTCTGGGGGCATCTGCTGATGGCAGAAGCAATGGGAAGGGCTGCTTCCACTTGGTTTGGGGTCCAGGTCTGCCATACATTCCCCCCTGTCCTCGTTGGGGCTGGTGTACCAGTTATCTGTTGCTGCATAATGATCCTCCCACCCCAAAACACTGTGACTGAAGACAATAAACATTTTTTTAGCTCATGACTCTGCAAGGCAGTTCTTTGAATCTGGGCTGGCCTCAGCTGATGTCACGCATGTTCATAAAGCATGAACTCATGGTTCATGGTGGATTAGCAGATGGAGGTGGGCTGGGAGCTGTCTGGGCCATGGTGGCCTCACCCACATGTCCTGGAGGATGGCTGGCTGTCATCTGGGTGATGGTGATGACCAGGCCACGTGTCTTTCCTCCTCAGTGGGCTAGGCTACCTAGCCTCCGTGCATGCACGGAGGTCACAGGGTCCTGAGTTTCTTAGGAGGGCAAGTCCCATTGGCAGCCACACTTCAAGTCTCTACTTGTGTCTTTTGCTCCTGATCCACTGGTCAAAGCAAGTGGCATGTGAGATGCACAGTCACAGTGTGGGAAGGGGCAGTCCATGGCTGTTGACACCCAGAGGCATGAACAAATCATGGGCATTTCTGCAGCCATGCACCACCACTGTTTTCAGCATTGAGATGTGGGGCTGATGCATTCTTTGCATGGAGAAGACCTGTGGCCCTGCAGCACCCACAGGTTTGTGCTGGAGGAGGAAAGAGCATCATTCTCTGGCCAGGATGTGGTAGGAAAGGCAGGTGGGGTAGGACTCCTCTTTATGAGGCCAAGGCCCGGATGGCCTGTGGGGCAGGGGAGCAGACAGGCTTTGAGAGCTATGGCCACAAAGCTACAGGGACACTGGAGGTGCTGGTGGCTCCCACAGACCTGTTGGTCTGCAGCAGGCTGGGTGTCATGAGGCTAGTGGTACTGCTCTCCCAAGGGTCCTGAGGCCCAGAGGACAGAGGGAGAAAGTCATAGGGCAGAGAGTGACAGAGAGGACTGTGAGGGTGAATAAGGGTGGTAGGGAGCAAGACAGACAGCAAGAAACACACATGCATAGACAGACACAGATGCAGGGGAAAGATGGACACATGCAACCCTAACACAGGGAGGAATGTGGGGCGTGGAAGCTACAGAGAGACTCAGCTAGAGAGAGACTCAGGCAAAAGGAGGGACAGGCAGACACACAGACCAACAGATAAGCCAGGTGCAGTGGTTCACTCCTGTAATCCCAACACTTTGGGAGGCTGAGGCGGGTGGATCACCTAAGGTCAGGAGTTTGAGACCAGCTTGGCCAACGTGGCAAAACCCAATCTCTACTAAAAATACAAAAATTAGCCAGTCAAGGTGGTGGGTACTTGTAATCCCAGCTACTTGGGAGGCTGAGGCAGGAAAATCACTTGAACCCAGGAAGCAGAGGTTGCAGTGAGCTGAGATCACACTACTGCACTCCAGCCTGGGTGACAGAGTGAGACTCTCAAAGAAGAAGAAGAAGAAAAGATAAAATGATTGGCATGGACACAGAGAGAGACGCCATTACACAGGCTCATGCAGAGGTATAGAGATGGAAAGACCAGAGACAGAGACAGAAGCACACATGGAGAGCCACAGAGAGACACGGAGGAGAGAGGCAGAGAGACACAGTTGGAGAAAGGGAGAGACAAAGAGGCCAGAGACAAGTGCAGAGAGTGGAACAGACCGATTCACAGACACGGCCAAGGCAGTGAGCCACGTGCAGAAGTGGGACAGCAGAGACAAGAGACATGCAGCAACGTGGAAACAGAGAGACAGACACAGAAACATGGCAAGAGCCACAGGGGGACAGTGAGGTTGGAGCCTTCTGCCTGCAGGACACCAGCTCCTCTTACCACACATGGGGCCCTAATATAGGGACAATGTCCCTGCCTCAGAGACAGTGGTGGGTGGGAGCTCAGGCTGGTGCTCAGGTCCCAGAGGGCTCTCCCTTCCCTCCCCACAACTCATTTCTAGTTTTTGTAATAGGCCTGCTGCCTCCTGGGACTTGGGTGGTCTGAGAAGGGTCCCTTGCCCCCAGATCCCTTGAAATAGGGGCCCATGGGGTGACTTGGCCTCTCCTTCTGGCTTCTCCAACTGGAACTAGCGTCCCCCTGGAGAATCCTGGGTGCCTGGCACACCTTCCTGGAGTGGGGCATTATTGCTCAAGACCTAGAAGAAATCACCCACCACATTGAAATAGACACAGATACTCTACGGAGGAGTGCGCAGAGGGAGTGGATATCCTATAACATGAGAGATGGCCGAAGGCCAAATTCAGTGTATAGGCACATTTTATCCACCCTGCCCTGGCTCTAAATCTTTTTCCTTGTAATTAATTATGGTGGACACTATGGCCAGCCCAGACCCCCTCTTCATGGTCCCACCCCATCCCCTAGCTGTGGTTCACAGCAGTGCCCCATCCTGCATAATTGCCCAAGATAATGCCTCTTCCAGGGAGACCAGATGATTGTGGTGCCCAGCCCTCTTGTCTCAGTTTGGAACAACTCTGAAGGGTCATCTCAGCTCTGGGCTCCCCCTAACATCAGCTTTGATTGCATCCACGTGGCAAACGAACTTCTCCCCACAAGAGCACTCCCCAAAAACCTTGTGCTCAAAACTCCCCGTCTCAGACTCTTTCCAGGGAGCCCAACCTATTAGCTGTTAATATTTAAAAATCAGAGCTGTCACGTACACATCGAGATTCCTGCATACGTTGAGAAATGGGGAATGTTTTTGCTCTGTTTCCCACTTGGCTTGGCCAAGTCCCTGCCACCCCCTTAGCTTTCCTCACTCATGTGACCAGCCAGCCTGTGAGCATTGAAGTTGGTGACTCTGGCTTCAGAGCCTTAAGGGGTGTGGGGTGTGCTTGCTTCAGACTGCACCCTTGGCTGTGGGTGGGGAACAGACAAGTTCTACCTCCTTTGCCCATCAGGGTTCAGGGGGAAGAGTTGGAAAAGCCCTTCTGATGAGATCCTGGCAGGCAAGTTGGTCTCAGCCAGGCTCGTGTGTCTCAGCTGTCTCAAAGGAGGGAAACAGGAAGGGCTCAGCGGTCTTGGGTGGGGCAGATGTCTGCAGCCCCCAGCCTGGGCCAGCCTAAGCCACATCCCCTCTCTCTGCCCTCACAGCCTGCATGATGAATGTGCACAAGCGCTGCGTGATGAATGTTCCCAGCCTGTGTGGCACGGACCACACGGAGCGCCGCGGCCGCATCTACATCCAGGCCCACATCGACAGGGACGTCCTCATTGTCCTCGGTAGGTGGCCCTGGGGCTCCACTGGCTCCTGACCTTGCTTGACCTGTGTGATTGAGAAGGGGAGGGTGGCGGAGGGGTGGGGCAGTCCAGTGGAGGGGTGGGGCAGTCCAGGGACGGGGAGGGGGTGTGGCACTGCTTCTGCCCCATGCCCTGCCCATGACAGCCCCTCCCTGCAGCAGGGGGATCTTTAGAAACTGTACACCCTCAAAGCTTCGTCCATCAGCACCCCAGGCTGACTTGGGTTCAGAGAGGAGACGTCTGAGTTCCTTGGACTTCTAACTTCCTCAGGATCCTCCACTTCCCTTCTCTCCTTCTCATTTCCCACTCTTTTTTAGTAATCTTTTGGGATGGGTAGTTGCATTTCCTTTACTCAGATAGCAGAGAAGGGAAGCTTGCTTCTTCCGCAAACTTTTCCAGCAGGAAAAATGGAGTCTTGATGATAAACCCCAGATTTGGAGAATATAATATCTTGGGAAGGAGGAGGGTTGGAGGGTGCAATTCAGGGGCTTTCCACATATTTGAAATATTTCTTTCTTGAACCTGATGGTGGCTATGCTGTAATTTTATTATTCTCTATATTTTCTGCATGTCTAAAATATTTCATGATAATTAGAAAGCAGGATGGTACAGTCTCCTGGGAGATGCAGTGAGAGGAGGAGCTGCTGGTGGTGGTGGTGGTGGTGGTGGTGGGGCTGTCACTCATGTATCCCAGCATTCAAGACATACCTGGCTCTGATATGGGAAGTTCAAGCAAAATTGGAACTCAGCAGCACTGGCTTGAGGAATACTCAGCCATAAGCCCCGGTATAACCAGCACTGAGCTGGCTGGGAGTGGAGCTAAAACTTTGCAGGAATTTCTTCTCAAAGGCTAGTGACAAACTACTGTGGACTTTATATATCTAATGAATATAAATAAGGGTTTATGAGTTGGTAACTCAGGAAATTGATCATGGAAGAGATTAATTTTGCAAAAATTAGTGTTTCTGAGGCCTCAGACTGGTTCAGTAGCTCTGATGCATTGAGCCCTGGGTTGCGGAGGGGCTTTACGTAGATTGTGTAAAAGCTGAAAAATACTTATCCCTGTACAATATAATTCTTTTAAACTTGAGATTTCGTGAAGCCCAGTGAGATTTTAGAAAATGTGCAATCCATTGCATTATGTTTTCCTCCAAGTGGTCGCCTGCCTCCCAGTGTGATGCTTGGGGGCCCCAGGGGAAATCCCGCAGTTTCAGGTTCAAGGGAAGCCAGTTTTCCCCACTGATTGAGGTTCCCGATGCTGGTGAGACAAATATGAGACTCTGCTTCCCTCTGGTGTCATTCTGTGGGAAATACACTCGTTCCAAAGCATGACTGCGGGCAGCCAACATTTATGGGCCGCATGGGATGTGCAGTGCTCTAAACCTTACGTGTTATCTCTTTCCACCTTCACAACATTGTGAAATCTCTATTATTCTTGTTTGAGAGGGAGACTCCATCTGTTGCCCAGGCTGGAGTGTGGTGGCGCCATCTTAGCTCACTGGAACCTCCACCTCCCGGGTTCAAGCGATTCTCCTGCCTCAGCCTCCTGAGTAGCTGGGATTACAGGCGCCCACCACCACGCCTGGCTAATATTTGTATTTTTAGTAGAGACAGGGTTTCACCACGTTGGCCAGGCTGGTCTAGAACTCCTGACCTCAAGTGATCCGCCCATCTCGGCCTCCCAAAGTGCTGGGATTACAGGTGTGAGCCACTGCGCCCAACCTTCTATTATTCTTGTTTTATGAACAAAGAAGCCACGGCTCAGAGAAGTTATATTCCAAGAGCTCACACCATTTGCAATAATAATAAAACAATAGCTAAGATGTGTTTAGTTTTTAAAATGTGTTAATCATTGTGAAAAGCACTTACAGGCAGTATCTGATTTACATTGTTTCAACAACTCAAATGAGTTAAGTTATCATTCTACCCATCAGAAAACACATTTCCTCACCTAGGTCTGTTTGACTCAAAAGTACTATATAGTAGGTTACTTTTTTGTTTAGTTTAGTTTCGTTTCGTTTCTCTATGCCCTCCACCGTATTTATTCCTTTTGTGGTTTGGCTAGGGCACCTCCTATGGGCATTCCTTAGGGAGTCTTTGTTCTGATGTGGTACAGTACAATATTTCTTCAAGTT
Organism: Homo sapiens; assembly: GCF_000001405.40. NCBI lineage: Eukaryota > Metazoa > Chordata > Mammalia > Primates > Hominidae > Homo > Homo sapiens. Next base: position 24,037,701 of record NC_000016.10, read on the forward strand.
CAAGGTCAAAGTCTTCCCCCTTAATCATAGATATGCTGTGAACTTTGAGAACCTGGATCACAAGCCCCCGCTTCTCAGGACACACTGATAGGAGGTGTATCCATTTGCTGTGGCTGCCATAACAAAATACCACAAACTGGGTGGCTTAAGACAAGACGTTTAAAAAAAAAAAAAAAGAAACGAAAAGAAAAAGAAAAAAACAATAGGCCAGGCACAGTGGCTCATGCCTATAATCCCAGCGCTTTGGAAGACCGAGGTGGGTGGATCACTTGAACTCAGGAGTCAGCCTGGGCAACATGTCGAAACATCATCTCTACTAAAAATACAAAAAATTAGCCAAGTGTGGTGGTGCACGACTGTAATCCCAGCTACTTGGGAGGCTGAGGCAGGAGGATCACTTGAGCCTGGGAGGTGGAGGTTGCAGTGAGCTGAGATTGCACCACTGCACTCCAGCCTGGGTGACAGAGCAAGACTCCGTCTCATAAAACAAAAACAAGAAAAACAAACAAACAAAAAAGGCCAGGTGTGGTGGCTCACACCTGTAATCCCAGCACTTTGGGAGGCTAAGACAGGAGGATTGCTTGAGACTAGGCGTTCAAGACCAGCCTGGCCAACATAGTGAGACCCTGGCATATTGTAGGATTTCATTTCTTTGGGATGTTCAGAGCAGGCAAATGTATAAAGAAGTTTAATAGCACTTTGTGCTTTTCCAAATACTTTGATATCACACCATTCGGGAAAGGGCACGTTGTTGCCATCATGGAAGGGAAAACGAAGTCTCAGCAAGGCTGAACACCCTGACCAATGTCACATGCTGAGCAGGGGTGAGCACCTGGGCCTCTGGCCCCATGTCACAATGCCCTGCAATTGCCCATACACCATGCTGGGCACAGCCTGTACTCAGCATGGGCTTGTTGATTGATGGATGATAGAAGAGAGCCCTGATGCTGTGGCCGAGTTCTCTAAAAATAGAGCCAAGATGGGGATTTTGTTCCAGTGATTTATTGGGCTGCTCATGGGAAAAGAGAAGTGAAGGAACCATGCTTCCTTCCTCAGGCAGGGAAAAAGCTTGGCGAGAGTGTGGTCTCCGTGGAAGTCTTCTTCAGCCTGGTATCTGGTGGAATTTTGTACCAAACACTGTAGCACAGTCAGTCCCATCTTGAGGCAAGGGGGCTGTTCTGTCGTGTTCCAGGTCAGTCAGTGCTGTGGGATGACTTGTGTCTCCCCCAGATTTGTATCTTAAAGCCTCACCCCCAGTGTGGTGGTATTTGGAGCTATGGGACCTTTGGGTGGTAATTAGGGTTAGATGAGGTTGTGAGGGTGGGGCCCTCATAATGGGATTTGTGGATTTCTAAGAGGAAGAAGAAAGAGAGATCATTCTGTCTCCACCAAAGGAAGGATACAGCAAGAAGGTGGCCGTCTGCAAGCCAGGAAGTGAGTCCTTACCAGGAATTGAAGCTGCTGGTACCTCGATCTTGGACTTCCCAGCCCCCAGAACTGTGAAGAAATAAATGTCTTTTTTTCTTTTTTTCTTTTTATTTTGTTTTAGATGGAGTCTTGCTCTGTCACCCAGGCTGGAGTGCAGTGGCATGATCTCTGCTCACTGCAACCTCTGCCTCTCATGTTCAAGCGATTCTCCGGTCTCAGCCTCCCGAGTGGCTAGGATTACAGGCACGTGCCACCATGCCCAGCTGATTTTTTTTATTTTTAGTAGAGACGGAGTTTCACCATGTTAGCCAGGATGGTCTCAATCTCCTGACCTCAAGTGATCCGCCCGCCTTGGCCTCCCAAAGTGTTGGGATTACAGGCGTGAGCCACTGTGCCGGCCTAAATGTCTGTTGTTTAAGCCACCCAGTCCATGGTATTCTGTTATGACAGCCTGAGCTGGCTGATATAGTCAGTTACTGCTGTAGGCTGCTGGGGATGGAGGTGGGAAGGTAGAGTAACTTCCCAGGTGAGGAGGCTTCTGTGCAGTTGAGGACAGTTATCTGGACATAGGGGTAACTGTGAGCCATTAACAGCCATCATACACAGCACCCAGGGGATGGGTGCATTGGCCAGCATGGAGGGGAGCTGGGCAGGGTCCAACAGCATCTGGCACACTCAAGTTTCCCTTGGTCTCCTGACTGTCTTCCTGGTTTCATTGCTGGGACTCCAGCCCCCTCCTCCTTGGTCTTGGCAAGACAGATCAGAGAGGAGCGAGCACTAAAGGTTGTGCGGGGTCCTTCCCAGCAGTGCCAGGCCAGAAGTGGCCTTGTGGTGTTTGTGGAATGGCCCCACCTCATCCAGACCCAAGAAGCATGGTCAGTATTAGGATTTTCCACTGACCATCAGCCCAGGACACTGCCGTTTGCCCTGAGTGTCATATGTTCTTTGGAAATCTCAGCATCTCTAGAGGTCAAAGGTTTTCTAACTTGCCTGGCTACTGAAATTGAGCTCATATATCTGTTCTTAGTGTTTTGGCAGGTCAAGATGAGAATAAATCTGATCAGTTCTCCTCCTTTTAAAAACCCATCAATGGTTTCCCATTGTCTTTATAACAGACTAAATCTAACATGGCGATCTCATTCTTTATTCACTGTCTCCTCCCCCTTTCTTTTAATCCTTGGTCCTCTGCAGACTGCCACACACCATAAGACATCTGTGCGTTCTGTTTAGAATGTTTGCCATTGCCATCTTCTCTTTTTCTAGCAATTAACTCTTCCTCTCGATCTCGGTTCATTTTTACCATCTAATAAGCTTCCTCCAACTTCCCCCTTTCGTAGACACTCATGGTAACCTGAGCTTGGCCTTGTGAAAGGGGTGATTTTATGTTGGATTTGATTAATGTCTGCATCTCATCACAAGGCATTAGCTCCATGAGGGCGGGACTGTGTCTTGCCACTCTACTCCCAGCACCTAGCAAGGTGGGCATCACTAAATATTTATGGGCTCAATGGCTGTATGTATGAATGAGAAACCCCTGGAGGATCCTGATAGATAGATATAAGGCTTTCACTGATGGTCCCCAGATCAGTGCCTCCTAAAGTCAGGAAATGAAGGTCAACGGATTGTCCAATTTATACCATTATTCTCATGGGAGGTAGAACATGCAGAAAATCTTAAGTACCAGGTCCAACGTCAACAGCAAATGTTACTGGGACTGAGACCCGCTTGTTGGAGTCATGACCACCCTTGTTCCCTGGACAATGTAGAAAAGACATGGAGCAGTGGGATTTGTAGTATCCCAGGAAACCGTATTGACATCATGATGCCCATAGGTGTCATGAGATCAGGCAATACAATGTCCAGATCAGAGTTGTAAAATGCTCCCAAGGTTTGTGAAGCCTGCGTGTTCATACATGCAACAATAATTTTTTTTGTGTGTGTGTGACAGAGTCTTGCTGTCACCCAGGCTGGAGTGCAGTGGTGCAATCTCAGCTCACTGCAACCTCCCCCTCCCAGGTTCAAGCCATTCTCCTGCCTCAGCCTCCCGAGTAGCTGCGACTACAGGCGCATGCCACCATGGCCGGCTAATTTTTTTTTGTATTTTTGGTAGAGATGGAGTTTCACTGTGTTAGCCAGGATGGTCTCGATCTCCTGACCTCATGATTTGCCCACCTCAGCCTCCCAAAGGGCTGGGATTACAGGCGTGAGCCACCGCACCCAGCTAACAATATCTTATTCAATGCTTTTTCAATTCAGTATCTACCTATCAACATAACAACTGACATCTATTATTTATACTCCCATCTACATTACAGCCACCTCCAAATGCTTAGCCATGTCCATCCTCATATCTATCTCCCAAAAGTTGGGAGTGTTCTTAAAGAAAGCAGAAAGAACCTTTTTTTTTTTAAATGTTTCTCTTTGGAACTCCCATTCTATATTCTTACCATTATATTGTGTTATACAGAAACTTTTTAGACTGAAACATCTCCCTGACAGCCTTAGGTACTCCCAATATTGTGATATTTAAATCCTTCTTAAGATCTGACATCCACACATCAAAAGAAAAAGAGTACCAAAGAGGCTGAGTGTGGTGGCTCACGTCGGTAATCCCAGCATTTTGGGAGGCTGAGGCGGCTGTATCACCTACAGTCAGGAGTTCAAGACCAACGTGACAAAACCCTGTCTCTACTAAAAATACAAAAATTAGCCAGGTGTGGTGGTGGATGCCTGTAATCCCAGCTACTCAGGAGGCTGAGACAGGAGAATCGCTTGGACCCAGGAGGCAGAGGTTGCAGTGAGCTGAGATTGCATCACAGCACTCCAGCCTGGGTAACAGAGTGAGACTCCATCTTGGAAAAAAAAAAAAAAAAGAATTGGGAAGAAAAAGGGCAATGTAAACAAGAAAAAAAAATCCAGATAGCTTAATATTTATTTTTGTTTAACTTTTATTTGAACTTTGGTGGGGGGGTACGTGTGCAGGTTTGTTATATAGGTAAACTTGTGTCATGGGGGTTTGTGTAATATTGCCCAGCCATGCGTCAATTGCAGACAGAAAATTATTATAAACTAGGCCGCGAGGGCCCACTAGGGGGCAGTCTCTGCCTTCAAAGCCATTCCTCCTCGGAGGCTCTCTCAGGAGATGCCCCAATTTGTGAAACCACAGTACTGTCATTGCTCATAATGGAAGGTGCAGCAGAGACCAGCTACGCTCACTGAGGTCCAGAGAAAGGTTACTTCTTCAGGTCACACACAGATAGGGCCCAGTTCTGGTAGATCTCCCTTCCCTTTTACATTATTGGTTTGTAATTTTTTCCCAAGTCTTTATTTTGAACTAAGTTGAAAGAATTTTACAGCAAACACTCATTTATCCACCACCTATATTCTGTCGTTAACGTTTCCACACTTGCTTAATCACATTTCCAACTATCTCGCTCTCCATCCATCAATCTGTCTTATTTTTGACACATTTCAAAGTAAACTGCAGACACCAATTCGATTTCCCCCAAACACTTCAGCATGCCCAACATCAATAGAATTCAAAATTTACTTGTAGGGTTTCTTTTTTTTTTTTAACTTTTGAGGTGAAATGTACATACAATGATACATACAAAATTTTTTTTTTTTTTGAGACAGTCTCACTTTGTCACCCAAGCTGGAGTGTAGTGGCGTAATCACGGCTTACTGCAGCCTCGACCTCCCAGGCTCAATTGATTCTCCCACCTCAGCCTACAAAGTAGCTGGGACTACAGGCATGAGCCACCACACTCAGCTAATTTTTGTAGTTTTGTAGAGATGGGGTTTTGCCATGTTGCCTAGGCTGGTCTTGAACTCCATGGTTCAAGCAATCCTCCCACTTTGGCCTCCCAAAGCGCTGGGATTATAGATGTGAGCCACTGTGCCCGGTGATGTCTTAAGTGTACAATGGCTGAGTTTTGACAAATGCATATGACTGTCATTCTAACCCTTATCAAATTAATTCTCTTTTTTGATGTCACAGCTGCTGTTGAGGATCCAAGGGAAGGTATGAACCAGAGAAATGCCTTTATGTCCCCACACACTGCACTCATACTCATGAGCTCTGGCTATTGGGATGTCTATTATACCTAAAATCCCTTAGATGACATGAAACTTAATAGTTGTTCAATTTTTTTTGTTTGTTTTTTGAGGAGTTATAATGCAGTAAAGTAGAAACTTTGAAAATTGGAAATTCTTGTTTACAATTTTTTGTTATGTATTCATTGAAGAGCAAAATGCCTTTAAAAACTCAATACACCTGCTTTATTTTGCTTTTTTTTTAGTATTGTTGTAATGAAGAAGTTCAGTTAAATCATATCTGTCTATGGAACATCTATCATCTTTCTCAGTGTATTACTGATAGTTGTCTGCACACCCCATGAGGCCAGGGGAAGGGTCTCTTGCCCATCCTTCCTTCAAAGCCTATCAGCTTGTTAGGTTGAGGTGAGTGTCTCAGGCACTGAAGTTTTGGGATACTGGACCTAAGGAGATGTAGGGAAGCTGACGTCTTGCTATTCAGTGTTCCTTCTCTTCTTCCCTGGTCATTTAAGTCTCATGAGAATTATCAAGGCCAGGCCAGCGTCTGAGGCCTTCAGGATGTGCTGGGCGCGGTCATTGCTCCCAAATGTCTAGGGAATTGCATTGAAGTGGGCACTGCTGGGACCTGCAGGGCTGTGACTTGTGACTGCCTTTGGGGACAGTGGTCCAGCAATGTCTATTAAAATATGTATACATATGAACATTTTGACTCTCACGTTTTCCTTTAGGGAATCTATTCTCTTAAAATGAAACACCAGCGTGCAAAGAAATAAAATCTAGAACAAGCATGTTTATTGATGTTTTCTTTGAGATGCAAAGAAAACATCAGCCTAATGAAGGGGTACCCATTTTATGTGATACTAGGTAGTTGTTGAAAGCATTGAATTAGGCCAGGCGCGGTGGCTCACACCTGTAATCCCAGCACTTTGGGAGGCTGAGGAGGGTGGATCACTTGAGGCCAGGAGTTCCAAACCAGTCTGGCCAACATGGTGAAACCCCGTCTCTACTAAAAAAAATCCAAAAAATTAGCTGGGTATGGTGGTGCATGCCTGTAATCCCACCTGCTCTGGAGGGTGAGACACGAGAATCACTTGAACCCTGCAGGTGGAGTTTGCAGTGAACAGAGATCAGGTCATTCATGCACTACAGCCTGGGTGATAGAGTAAGACTCTGTCTCAAAAAAAAGAAAAGAAAAGACTGAATTAAAATGAGAAAATGAGTATAATTTTTGACATGGGAACTGGTTACACAGGTGAATTTCCTTTGTGAGAATTCAAGCTGTAAGATTATGATTTATACACTTTTCTATAGGTATATTATACTTCCTATACTTTTATTATTTAAAAGTTTGTGATAAAAATTCTAAATAACTAAAAACAAAACACCAATGGGTTAGAGCTACAGATATTGGTGTAAAGCAGAGGTTGCCAAACTGGCCTGCTGCCTGTTTTTATAAATAAAGTTTTATTGGAACACAGCCACATCCATTCATTTATATATTATCTATGGCTGCTCTTGTGATACAATGGCAGAGTTCACTGCGTAGTTGTGACAAAGCTTGTACAATCTGCAAAATGTAAAATATTTGTTCTCTGGCCTTTACTGAAAACATTTGGCAGTCCTTGAACTAGAGGAACATCTATGGTTAAGTGAAAGGGTTAGGTTGCGTAAAAATATATTTAGTATGATCTCATTTTGAAGAAATAAGCAACAGCAACAGACACCTCCTATGTGTGAAGTTTTGTCTGTATATTTTATAACCTGTGTGTGAAGAAAGGTGTGGAAGGATACCAACCAGGTTGTAAACACTGGGATCGCAGCAGGATTGGGAGTGAAGAGGCTGTGGCGGTGAGGGGGATTGTGTTGTGTCTCTGTAGTTTTCATTACGTTTCACAGGTTGATTGCAATACATATCATTTCCGCAATTTTTGAAAAATAAAAACAGAAAAATCTCCAAATAGGAAAAATGAACAGAAATAAATTGTCTCAACAACAATAGCAGAAAAAAAAAATGAATGGATAATGCCCCAAATGATGGGGTGTTGGTTGCTTGAGGAGGGTTGTTGGGTGGTTCTCAGCTTGAGCAGAGCTGGGCCCAGGCCCTGTCTGGGTATTTTTGAGTTTTTATTGTCACTAGCTTCCATCTTGTGTAGCATCTGCCTTGTGAGCTGGGCCTGTTCTCCGAGTTTCATGGTGTTTGATGTTTTTTGCCTTCTTTCAGCAAGGTCGCTGGCATCATCCTTGCTGAGTCGCATATGTTCTGGGAACCACCTCCTCTTCTCTGTGCCTCTCGCCTGGCAGGTCTACGCTAAACTGCCCCCTGCCCTCCCAGGCCCACCCCACCTCCAAGTCTGAGTTCTTTGACTTAAACTTCAATCCTGTTTCCCATGGGCTGTGGCTTCCCAACCCTCAGTTTCAGTTGAAGCTAATTTTTTTTTCCAGAAATCACTGTGGGCCCTGGCTGCTCTGGGTGTGGTCTGGGGACCAGCTGCATCCCATCGGCATTACCTGGGAGCTCGTTAGCAATTCGGGATCTCAGCTTCCCCTCCAGGCCTGCTGAATCAGAATCTGCAATTTAACAACATCCCCTGGGGATGCACTGTAACATTCGAGCAGCCCTGCTGCAGAGGATCGCAGTGAGACGGGAAGAATGTGTCTTTTCCACTAGATGGCAGGCCTTACCTGCGCTTGGCTCCTGCGCAGACCACCACAGGTGGATGTGCCAGGGGTGATGTGAACCTCCAGCCCCGCGTTGGCCATGGCATCTTACCAGTCATGAAGCTCGGGTGTCAGTCCCGCCAGGGCTGGAATCCTCTTTCATTGGTGACCTGCACCTACCTGCATGTCCTGGCCTGGTGCAGCATGAGCTTCTGGCTTGAGCCATTTGTGTAAAGTGACCCAGAGCCTTTCTTTCTTCCCTGCTTTGCCTTTGTCCTCTACCACCTGGAAGGTGAAGGCATGTCTCTGGGGAGCTTCCTAGTCATTAGCCTCTGTGTTGCTTTTCTGGATGGCTTGCTGCACGTCTCTGCTAATTTTAGGCCAATGTGGTCTATGATTACAAAGGTTTTGCATGGGCTTTGGAGTCAGGCCTGGGTTTGAATCCTGCCTTTCCCACTCCTCCAACAAGTATTTGTTGGGGGCCTCCCATGTGCTGGGCACTGCTTACAGGCAAGGCCCCTGTGCTCATGGCCTCTGCCTTCTTTCTAATGATGGGAGATGAAGAGGAAGCAAACAAAACACTTTGAGAAAACAAGGAACACTATCAAGGAAATAAAATAAAGCGGCATGATGTGATAGAGGGTGGCCAGTGGGCTGAGTGTGATTAGCAGGGATAATGGCATTTAGTTGAGACCTCAGGGACCAGCAGGAGGGAGCCAGCTTGCTGAAAATTCCAGGGAAGAGTATACCAGGCAGAGGGAGCGGCAGAGGCAGAGGCCAGAGGGAAGAGTGAAGCAGCAGGCTTGTGAGTGACAGGAACTGACAGCCAGTGGGTGTGACTGGAGCCTCGGGATGGGGAGGGGTGGGTGACGCTGGAGGAAAGGCAGGGACAGCCAGTTAGGCTTTGTGAGCCCCATGGTGGGCTTGGTTTCTTTCTAAGTGCATGGAAATTTAGATCCCAGGAGTATCTGAAGGACATCATGCAAGGTCAGTGTGTTTAGGCCCCAAAACCACCCAGTGGGGGCAGTCATTTTGTTTTTCTCATTTTACAAAGGAGAAAACAGAGCCTTGAAAAATCTGAGCCTGGTGTGGTAGCATGTGGCTATGGTCCCAGTTACTCAGGAGGCTGAAGCAGGATCATCAGTTGAGGCCACAAGTTTGAGACCAGCCTCAGCAACACAGTGAGAAAAAAAGTCTTAAAAATTAGCTGGGTAGGCAGGGTGCGGTGGCTCATGCCTGTAATCCCAGCACTTGGGGAGTCTGAGGTGGGTGGATCACAAGGTCAGGCGTTCGAGACCAGCCTGGTCAACATAGTGAAACCTCATCTCTACTAAAAATACAAAAAAAAAATTAGCTGGGCGTGGTGGTGCGTGTCTGCAGTCCCAACTGCTCAGGAGGCTGAGGCAGGAGAATCGCTTGAACCCGGGAGGCAGAAGTTGCAGTGAGCTGAGATTGTGCCACCGCACTCCAGCCTGGGTGACAGAGTGAGACTCCATCTCAAAAAATAAATAAATAAAATAAAATAAAATAAAATACAAATTAGCTGGACATGGAGGCATGCACCTGTAGTCCCAGCTACTTGGGAGGCTGAGGCGGGAAGATGACTTGAGCCCAGGAGTTGGTGGCTGCGGTGAGCTATGATCTCGCTACTGCACTCTAGGCTGGGCGACAGAGCGAGACCCTGTCTCTCCTTCTAAAAAAAAAAAAAAGAATTTGAGCACCCGCCTCTAGTCCCTAAGGCAGTGCATGGAGGAGGCTGGATTTGTACCCTGGGTCCATCTGTCTGGCAGGTTCTAACACATTAAGTCAGATGTTGGAAAGATACAGTTTAAGACTATGAGACATTGGAACATAAGAAACACCCACCATACCAGTGGGGAGAGGAAGGAGATGCTTCAGCACTGGTAGTTCTCATAGTCTTATCTTTCAGTGGCTTTAGGGCACAGGTTGGGACTAGTTTAGCCTTAAGGTCTTGGAGAAGACCTGCTTTTCATTTGCCTGTTGCCCCAGCACTGTGGGGTCAGAATCTTTCTTGTGATCAGAGTTTAGAGAAGGGAGGGAGCAGTGGGCTGGAGGCATTCCAGGTAGCCCTGGAGAAGGCAGGAGAGGCATAAGTTAGAAGGGTGAGGGAAGGGAGGAGGGCCAGTGGCTGACGCTTACTGAGCCCTTGCTGTGAACCCAGCACAGTGCTAGCCATCGTGGGGCACAAAAGCCTGTGCAAGATGCAGTCGCAGCTCCTGAGCAGCCTCGCTGTCTGGTTGGGTTCCATCTGCTTTACCACTACCAACAAAACCAAGGGACGGACACCTCTTACTGATAGTAACCACCAGGCACTGGGCGAAGCACGTTGCTCAGCCATGTCGTATAATCCTATCAACAACCTGTAGTCCCAGCTACTTGGGTGGGAGAGAGTTACTGAGGGCATCTCCATTTTACAGATGGGGAAACTGAGACACAGAGAAAGAGGTTAAATAACTTGCCCAAGCCACACAACTAGGAAGATGTGGAGCTGGGACTTGAATCTAACTATGCCATTCCAGATAATTAGGCTCTTGGACACCGTCTTATCCTGGCACTAAGTACATCAGTGGAGTGATGATGATACATGATATTAGTAGCAGCCACTTTTACTTCTTTCTTTTCTTTTCTTTCTTTTTTTTTTTTTTATAACAGAGTCTCACTCTGTCGCCAGGCTGGAGTGCAGTGGCACAATCTCAGCTCACTGCAACCTCCGCCTCCCTGGTTCCAGCGATTCTCCTGCCTCAGCCTTCCAAGTAGCTGGGACTACAGGCATGCGCCACCATGCCCAGCTAATTTTTTTGTATTTTTAGTAGAGACAGGGTTTCACCATGTTGGTCAGGCTGCCTGACCTCAAATGATCTGCCCACCTCGGCCCCCCAAAGTGCTGGGATTACAGGTGTGAGTCACCGTGCCCAGCCACAGCCACCTTTTCTAAAACCCTTCCAAATGCCTGGCTTTTGCTAGGAACTCTACAAGCGTTCCTTCAGGTAATCCTCCTAACAACTTTTGCTATTACCCGTAGTCCTTCTCTCCATTATATGGTGAGGAAACTGAGACTTTGCTTCATATGACTCCATTTTCCCCAACACTTCCTGCTAGCCTGTTTTGCTCCTTTGGGAGTATGAGAGTCAGTGTTTGCTGGACTGTGAGGCTGAAGATGATAACATTTCTTCAAATTGGCCTGTTTTTTTTTTTTTTTTTTTTTTTTTTTTTTGCAGAAAGACAGATTTCACTGGCCAAGATCTGCCCAAGAGGCTGAATAAATTCCTAGGTTGTGAGAAGCAGGTGGATGGAGAAGACTTTCTCTCCAAACCTCCCTGTGTTAGGACCAGGGAATGGGTTATGTGAATCTGGCAACCCTGTCCCACCCTGGACCTGCACCCTTTACCACTACCCTGGCACATCCGGGACCTGCACCCTTTACCACTACCCTGGCACATCCGGGACCTGCACCCTTAACCACTACCCTGGCACATCCGGGACCTGCACCTTAACCACTACCCTGGCACACCCGGGACCTGCACCCTTAACCACTACCCTGGCACATCCAGGACCTGCAACCTTAACCACTAACCTGGCACATCCAGGACCTGCACCGTTAACCACTAACCTGGCACAACCAGGACATGTGCCCTTAACTATTACCCTGGCACAACCGGGACATGCACCCTTAACCACTACCCTGGCACATCTGGGACATGCACGCTTAACCACTACTCTAGCATCATCCGGGACCTGCACCCTTAACTACTACCCTGGTCTGCCTCCTTGAGTGGCCCAGGGAACATCTAGAAGCTGAGAGAAAGAGAGGGATAAAACCAAGTTCACAGCAGTATCCTAAGAAAGTGTTCTCACTTAAAAATGCAAAGATGCTCACAGAGTGTTCAGGTTACACTGGAAAACTCCAGAAACAAAGTGGTTTGTGTACATGGGAGGAAGCAGAATCAACTTCCCACCTTAGCATTGTGGGTGCTTAGCCCACGCCTGTGTATCGCTCAGGGAATCAGAGTCACTATAAGCATCATGGAATAAGGGATTTACTGTACACGTTAGACCTTATACAAGCTTGGAGATGCTGGAGACGGGAAGATCTGGAGGGGTGAATTGAGAATCAGAGGAAGAGCAGTGGTGCAGGTGGACAAGTAGGAGTTGGTAGGGGATCCAAGAAGCCAAGCACGTTGAGCTGCTGACATAGATATTGATGAATTTCATGAAGCTTTTACAGGCACTGGTTTCACCCTTGGGTAACTCAGTACAGGTATGTTGACAGCCTTCCACTAATTCAAAGATGGTTCATAGGTGTCCCAGAATCTTTTAATTCCCAAGTGAGGCAGCCCCAACTCCTTCAGCCATTTACTTTCTAATCCTTAATCCACAGCCCACAACCTCAAACACATGATAGGGCCGAGTATGCCATCATTGATGTCAACCCGGAACTCTTCCTAGACAACACTCCAGTTGGAGTAGCTTCCTTATAAAGCAGGGTGCCCAGAGTGAAAGAGAATCCACCTGTGTTGCCGAGGAGCGAAGGATTGTCACTTTCCTTATTCTAGATCAGCTGTTTTCAAACCTTTCGGCTTCCAGCCCATCTAGGTTTTATGTAACACACACACACACACACACACACACTGCACAAACAAGCACAAACTCACAAACACACACACATTGCACAAACAAGCACACACTCACAACCAAAACCAAACTGCCATTAATGCTTACCTCTACTTATGCTCACCACACACTCTGATACATTCTCCTCTCTTTTGTGGCCCTCTTTTCTGTTCATTTCCATTCTATTTCCTTTAAGAAACCCTTTAAGGAAAATGCTCTTACTCTGCAAATTGATTTCACTAACAATTGGCAAATGTGTCATGACCCGCCGCTTGAAAAACACTGTCCTAGACAACAAAATTCTCTTTCTGCATCCTGAGATGATACTACTCTTTTGGGGGGTCTGGGGGTACCACCAGCCACATTGCACTGTTGACTTATCTTGGGTTTATGATCAGTTAAAGCTCTCTTGTCTATCACATCGGGTGCTGCTAGCCTGCAGGCCCCACATCCTTGTGCAAGATTTTTTTTTTTTTTGAGACTCCAGGATGAAACCTGATGCATTTCATCTTGTAGGGTTTGGCCTTTTGCTCCACGGCCAGGCTGAGAGCTTTTGGGTCTTCCTGTTCTTGTGCCGAGTGTCTTCCGGACATCACCTTCCTCACACCATTCTCTGTGCTACTTGTTCTGCCCTCCTTACTTTTGAAAAGATAGTTTATTACTCATAGATGAGGAGCAGGCGTGCCACTCCATGAAAGGCCACACAGGGAAGCAGCAGGGTCTGCCAGGAGGCAGAGGAAGCGGAAAGAAAACGTGGCAGGAGCATTTGCTGCTGTTTCTGTGAGAAGGAGCAGGTAGGGCGGGAAACCAGCCTTAGGGCTGGCTGGTTTGAATGATCTCAGCAGACTCTGGGTGTAGAGGCTGTCTCTCTAGTTGCCTGGTACCTGATACCTGGTGCTTTTACCTGGGGTAATTAGCACAGGCTGGCCCAGAGTGTAAGAGCCCCATGAAGGAGTTGGTTGGAGGTTTGGGCTTTGGATTGGTTGGTTTGCATATGAAAGGTGCGCTTGCAGGTGAGTTCTTTACTGTCTCTAGGAATGGGCTAGCCCTGGGACAGACAGTTTCTCCAGGGTCAGCAAGGCTCCGAGACACCAAAGCATCAGAAATACAGAAAATAGAGCCAGGTGCAGTGGCTCATGCCTGTAATCCCAGAGACTCAGGAGGCTGAGGTGAAGAATCACTTGAGGCAAGGAGTTTGAGACCAGTCTGGGCAACATAGTGAGACCCCTGTCCCTAAAAAAAATTAAAAATAAAATTACCCAGGCATGGTAGTGCAGCATGCCTGTAATCTCAGCTACTCAGGAGACTGAGGAAGGAGGATCACTGAATCCAGGAGTTCAAGGAAAGAGGCCGGGCACAGTGGCTCACGCCTGTAATCCCAGCACTTTGGGAGGCTGAGGCAGGTGGCGAGTGAATCACCAGGTCAGGAAAGGGAGACCATCCTGGCCAACATGGTGAAACCCTGTCTCTACTAAAAATACAAAAATTAGCTGGGCATGGTGGCGGGCACCTGTAATCCCAGCTACTCAGGAGGCTGAGGCAGGAGAATCGCTTGAACCTGGGAGGTGGAGGTTGCAGTGAGCAAGCGAGACTCCGTCTCAAAAAAAAAAAAAAAGACATAAAATTAATAGACCTTAGACTATTTTATTTAATTATTTTATCAAAATAGGATAGGCATAGTTAAAAATGCCAATGTGCATTGGAGAGCTGAGGATGAAAAGCAATGTCCTGTACTTGAGCTTGCATCAGAATCATCTAGAGAGTGCCCCACCCTCAGAGTTTCTGATTCAGTAGACATTGAAGAATGAGAATTTGAATTTCTAACAGGTCCCCAGAGAATGCTGGTGTGTTCACACTCCGGTTACCAGAAAGGGATCCCGATCCAGAACCCAAGAGAGGTTCTTAGGTCTTTTGCAAGAAAGAATTCGAGGCAAATCCATAAAGTCAAAGCAAGCTTACTAAGAAAGTAAAGGAATAAAGCATGGCTACTCCACAGGCAGAGCAGCCCTAAAGCTGCTGGCTAGCCACTTTTGAGGTCATTTCCTGATTATATGCTAAAAAAGGGGTGGATTTTTCATGAGTTTTCTGGGAAAGGGGTGGCAGATTCCCAGAACTGAGGATTCCTCCTCTTTTTAGACCATGTAGGGTAACTTCCTGACGTTGCCATGACGATTGTAAACTGTCATGGCGCTGCTGGGAGTGTCTCTTAGCATGCTAATGCATTACAATTACTGTATAATGAGCAGCAAAGACGACCAGACGTCACTTTTGTTGCCATCTTGGTTTTGGAGGATTTTGACCTACTTCTTTAACACAACCTGTTTTATCAGCAAGGTCTTTGTGACCTGTACCTTGTGCTGACGTCCTGTCTCATTCAGTGACTTAGAATCCCTTAACCTCCTGAGAATGCAGCCCAGTAGGTCTCAGCCTTATTTTACCCAGCCCCTATTCAAGATGGAGTCACTCTGGTTCAAACATCTCTGACACTCTGAGAACCACTGCATTGGAAGACACTATTTTCAACTCTTTAAACTCTTTCTTCCAGCACTTGAGCTCTAAATTTTAATCATGTGCTCTGTCTCTCTGTCATTTCACTATTTCATGGCTCTGACTTCCTGAGAAGGTTTTAATTCTCTGATGTGATCCCTCTAGTTCTCTTCCCCTCACATCCAGCACGGGGTTACTGCCATTTGTAGTTCACTCACTCAAAAAAAAGTGATTATTAAGCATCTTCTGCATGTCAGGCATTGACTTAGTCACTGGAGATTTGTCAGAGAACAAGCCAAAGTCCTGCCCTCATGGAGCTTATATTTTAGTGCAGGGCTTGACAAACTTTTTCTGTGAAGGGCCAGATGGGCTTTGGAGCTATCTGGTCACTGTCACAACTACTTAACTCTGCCATTGTAACACGGAAGTGGCCACAGTGTGCCAATGAATGGGCACGGGTGTGTGCCAATAAAACTTTATTTACAAAAACAGGCAGGAGGCTGGATTTGGCCCTTGGGCTGTAGTTTGTAGACCTCTGTTGTAGTGTGGGAGAAGACAAAGTAGGTAAATAAGTAAAATACGAACAGTAAGCTAAGGGGAAAAAGAAAAAACGGAAAAAGAGGATGGGAAGGAGGCAGGAGGGGACTGGACCTGCACATTTAGATATGGTGGCAAGCAGGCAGTCACTGAGATGGGGACATTGAGTAAAGACTTTCAAAGGAGATGAAGGAGGGAGCCATGCATCTCCCTGGCAGAAGAGCATTCCAGGCACAGTAACAGCTGGTGCAAAGGCCCTGTGGCATGAGCATGTTCGGTGTGCTTGAAGAAACAGCAAGGAGGCTCGTGTGTCTAAGTGGGGCAAGTCAAGGGAAGGGAGCAGGAGAGGAAAGCGGAGGAAACAGAGAGGCAGCTGCTGAGGGCTATGTGATTCTTGGGAGGGAATTTGTCTTTTCTCTTAGTCCAATGGGAATCCATTATTGTGACTCTAGTAGTTGTAATAGTTCCTTTAAGTTTTATTTATTTATTTTAGATACAGGTTCTCACTGTATCACTCAGGCTGGAGTACAGAGGCACAATCACTGCTCACTGCAGCCTCAAACTCCTGGCCTCAAGCAATCCTCCTGCCTCAGCCTCCTGAGTAGCTGGGACTGCAGGCACACACCACCATGCCCAGCCAAATTTTTAAAAATTTTATAATAGAGATGGGATCTGGCTATGTTGCCCAGGCTAGTTTCAAACTCCTGGCCTCAAGTGACCCTCTTGCCTCAGCCTCCCAAAGTGCTGGGATTACAGGTGTGAGCCACTGAACCTGGCTATTTAAGTTATGTATTTGCAACTCCATTTCTTGCTTTCCCAATGGTAGGCAATATCTCTTAACTTTGTCTTTTGTAGAGCATTTTTATATGCATGATATCATTTACTCCCTATGAGATGTGACTATTGTCCCTATTCTGTAGAGGAGGCAACTGAAGCTCGGAAAGGTTAAATGACTTGGCCAGATTCATATAGCTGATAAGTGCTGGTGCTGGAATTTAAACCCAGGTTTGTCTTAATATGGAGATCTTAGCACCTATTTTATATGAAGAGACAATCCTTTAGGGATACTGGGGAAACCTGTGGCTTTTGGACAATAAATTAAAAACCCTTTCCCAAGAAGGGGAGCTGTGTGTGTATCAATCAAACAAAATGAGAACTATTCTGAGAGGGAGGAAAAGGTTCTTTTCTGTGGGAACGCTGACCAAGCCGTTGACAGCTCATTTATGTGATGCTGGTGCAGTTTGACATTCATAGTACAAGACTTGCATGCAATTAGCACGAATCGTTCTAACAGTCTCTTGAAAACATTTGGAATTTTCCCTCTGTCTGGCCTTGTGCATGATGTAAACATGGCTTTATTTAGTTGGTCATCCATCCCAGAATAGTGTGGTCTGCATCTGTCTGCATCACTGTGGTCTGATTGAGGTCTTGTTTTCCTGGAGGGCAGAGACTGTTGTGTAGGCTTGCTTTGTGGATCCTCCTCCCCCAGGATCATTCGCCACAAACCCGATGGCAGCCTCTCTCTTTAGCTCATGACAATTTCTCCAAGTGTAAGCTGGGGGTCCCGTTCAGTATGCAATGCAAATGAGATGCAAATGAGGGGCCCTCTTGGGCACAGGCCAGGAGGCCAGAGCTCTGGGGACTTCTGTACCCCTCCTCTGAGTTGCCTAATGAAGCTGACCGTTCCTTTCACAATCATCTTCTCCACCCACCAAAGGCCTCTTAATGAGGGCAGAAGCTGACTGCTCTGAAACCCCTTCAGACACCTGGTGATTGGAAGCTGGAGAGACAGTGAGCTTTAGATGGGCTGTCAGCCGCTGCTGAGTCCTCATCAGCTGCCTGCTGGGTTCTGAGAAGCACTAGGGAAGGAAGGGAGATGGCCCTGGAACTGACTGCTATTGTCTGTTCCTCCTCCCCTGACGAGCTGCATGCGGCAGCCACGGATGGCTGGGTTTGGGCTTTCACGTCGGCTTCTCTGGCCCTTGCTGGATGCCTGCTTCAGCTCAGAGAATGTGGCTTCACAGGGACTTGGAATAAGAGCTGAGAGCCTGTTCCCCCCATCGAGGATCAATGCTCCTTTGATTTCATTTCTTCTTTCCAGACGAATCCACTGTCTTAGCCCGTTGTTGGAGAAATCCCGACCTAAGCAGGCTTTCAAATTGGGGAAAGAAAAGTGAACCAATCTGAAATCATGGAATGGTTGGTGGAGAAGGACAAGTAGGCATATCCATAAAGAGCCAGCAGTCCCAAAGGATGTTCCAGTGCATCTTTCTGCTTATTTCTTCTAGTTTTGTAGGGGTGTGTGGTGTGCAATGCTGTTTGCTTGACAGAATCCTTTCAGTCTCTCTCTCTCTCGAAATATAAATTTCCTGCACTACAACAGCCTACTAAGTGCCAGACACAGTGCTGGGCTCTTTACCTGCATCAACCCATTTTGTCTCCATTGACAAAAGGGGAAACTGAGGCTCAGAGAGGTTAATTGACTTGCTCAAGGTCAACTGGGCTTCTGTGTGGCAGAACTGGAGTTTGGTCCCAGGTCTGTTTGCATCTAACACCCAGCCCCTTAACCACTTTGCCGAATTGAGAATTTGGAAATTAAAATGGTGATTTCAACTCAGGGATGGGTGTGCTTTCTTTCAGCCTTGCAGTAAGTGCACATCTTCTTTCTCTTTTCCTCTTTGAAGCTGCCAGCCTCTCCCTTGGGGTTCTCCTTGGCTCTGGCCATGATTTCCCCAGCTTCCTCATTCATACCTCCTGGCATCAGACTGACCTGGGCTAATCACCATCTCTGCCTGTCACTAGTTCAAGAGGCAGCTTATGGGGACTTGTGGGTCATACAGGTTCCCCTAGAAAGATGATGGGCAGACTGACATTGGGATTGAAATGTCTTGTCTCCAGCGTTCTTGAATAGGGGCAACAATGCCCACTGGGTCTCCAGGCATGGGGTCTAAAAGTGAATGCAAAATACCTGTGATACAGTGTGGATGTTTTATCCCCACCAAGTCTCATGTTGAAATGTGATCCTCGGTGTTGGAGGTGAGGCCTCGTGGGAGGTGCTTGGGCCATTTTTGGGTCATGGGGCAGACACCTCATGCCTGGCTTGGTGCACTCCATGTCACCTAAACGAGTTCTCGCTCCATGTTCACTAGAGATCTGGTTGTTTAAAAGAGTCTGGCACCTCCCCTCTCTCATTCTTGTTCCCGCTCCTACCATGTGATACACGGGCTCCCCTTTCTCCTTGTACCATGATTGGAAGCTTCCTGAGTCCCTCACCAGAAGTGGATGCCAGCACCATGCTTCCTGGACAGCCTACAGAACCATGAACAAAAATAAACCTCTTTTCTTTATAAAGTACCCAGCCTCAGGTATTCCTTGAGAGCAACGCAAACGGATGAACACAGCCTATTTCCATAGCCTTGCTATTGGTGAGTCTTGGGCCCGTGGTGCATGCACAGGGGCCAGATCCAGCCCTTACCCCAAGAGCAGATTCAAACGTGTCTTTCCCTGATTATTTATGGCCACTAAAATGGAAGGTGATGGTTGTGGTGGGTGTCTATGATCAGGGCTCAATAAATATTTGTTGAAAACAAAAATGTAAACAAGAAAAAGACAGGACCTTGTCAACAAGTGTTATATAGTTGCAGATCTTTATCTTGGATTGTTCAGACTCTGCCCTTCTCTGGCAGGCACACTTTTGGGAATGGGAAGGGCCAACAGTGCTTCTTTGGTCCCATTAGATCCCCATGTCAGCCCTATGAAATAATACTATCCCATACTTACTACTATTTCAGCTTTACAGAAGGGAAAAATGCAGCTCAGAGAGGTGAATTCACTTGCCCAAAGTCCCATCGCTAGGGAGCGATGGGATTTGAATTAAAAATGCAGATGTGATTGATTCTAAACGCAGGCTGTTAATGCATAGCTTTCCTGGGGAACAAAAAGAGCTTTCCTTTCATACCTCATTCATTCATTCATTCACTTATTCTTTAATCTCTTCTGTATGGGAGGTCATTTGCTAGATACTGGATGGCTGTAGGAATGAATATGATTCTTTACACGCTGAGTATTTCATAGCCCTACTAAGAGAGAAGAAGAGAGAGCTCACTATAAAAGGGGGGATTGGTGAAGAGATAATGGAGTAGGAAGCACATGCTGTGGGAGGTGCCAGGGGATGAGAGGTTAATTCCAACCCATGGGGTTGTGATAGGCTTCACAGAGGCAAAGGCAGTGGACTTAGTTCTGGATGGGGCAGAGATCTAACGCTTATTGATGGCTTGCCCCTTGCTAGGACTCAGCTCGGTGGGCGCTTTGTCTATTTTCTACTTTGAAAGATGAATAGAAACTTTGACGGTCTTTTGCCCTCTGAAATCCACTCTTCACACCCAGCCACAGGAATCTTTCTAAAATGTAAATCAGGCCATGTCACCCCCCTGCTTAAATGATTCCAAGCCTTCTCAGAGCTTCCAACTGAAACCTAAACTCCTCACTCCTGCTCTAAGAGCCTGCAGATTCTGCTTCCTTCAGCCTCTTTCCAACCTTGTTTGTTCTTTTCCCATGATAGCCACATCTCTGAGCCAACAAATATTTTTCCTTCCTTCTTGCACTTGCTCTTCCCTCAGCTTGGGTTGCTTTTCCTTGGGCTCTATGTGTTGCCAACTTTCCAGTAGCCTTCAGTCATCACTAAATGTCACCTTCTCAGAAAGCCCGCCTCTGAGTCTTATCTGAAGAAACCCCTCCCAGTCACTCCCTATCCCATTACTCTGTTTGCATTTGTTTATTTATTTGCTTCTTGCCTGTTTCTCTCCACTGGATGGAGAGCAAGAACCTTCCTTATTTTTTATGCCACTTTGTGCTAGTGCAGTGCACAATTGACATGTACAGATGCACAATTAGAGTTTGCTGAGTAAATGGCTAAATAGGTTAAAAAAAAAAACCAAAAACGGTGGGCTGCTAGGCAGAAGTGTAACCACACAAGTGAACCTTGAAAGTTACCATGAAACGTAACCTTCATGCCCTGTGAAGGTGCCTTAGGTTTCTGGTGTGTTTGGACCATAGATTGTAGCTATGAAGTCTGATTAATGCCTGAATCAGACATTGAATGACCTGAATAAATAGTTAAAAAGTTGGACTTCTAGGCTGAAGTGTAACCACATGAGAGAAGCATGAATGTTACCATGAAGGTGCCTAGGGTTTCTGGTGTGTTCAGACCATAGATTGTAGCTATGAAGTCTGATTAATGCCAGCTCACAGAAGAGCTTGCTCAAGCATGCTAGGGATTTGGTGAGCCATTGTAGGTGGTAATGACCTGATCTAGTTACCATGGGTGACAATTAAAAAGAAGGATTAAAGATGTAAGGGACTAGAGCTGTAGAGACCCATCCAGGAGCTATTGATCCCTGTAGGATGGAGGAGATGAAACATACATGAATTAAGGAAGTGGAAGGATAAGAATAAATTGATGTAGAGGATCAGGGAGAGGATGGAGGAGTCAGGACTAACAGAGATTTCTGACTCAGGAAGACATGTGGATAGTGAGCGTGATAGCCAATTAGGGTTAGAAGTCACAGAAGCTTACCAGAAGGGAAAGGTAATCATCTTGCTTTAGTATATGTTGAGATGTTTTTGGGTTGCATGGGTGACTGTGTCCAGTAGGCAGATGAATCTGTATATCCAGAGATCCGATTGGAAAAACAGAGCCAACAGTATGGATGCAGGGGTCACCGGCCCTAACAGTGGAAGCTGAATTCTTTGAGTGGGTCAGGAATTAGTGCAGCACTGTAAGAGCAGGAAGGTTCAGGCTCTGGGAAATGGAGCCACTTCAGTCATCAGTGGAGCAAGAGGAGCCAGTGAAGGAGAATTTAAAAATAATGCTTTTAAGTCCAGGTGCAGTGGCTCATGTCTGTAATCCCAGCACTTTGGGAGTCTGAGGCAGAAGGATCGCTTGAGCCCAGGAGTTCAAGACCATCCTGGATGATAAAGGGAGACTCCATTTCTACAAAAAAAAATTTTTTTTTTTTAATGTAGCCAGTGTGGTGGTGCATGCCTGTGGTCCAAGCCACTGGGGAGGCTAAGGTGGAAGGAGCCCTTGAGCCCAGAAGTTTGAGGCTGCAGTAAGCTATGATCACAGCACTGCACTCCAGCCTGAGTGACAGAGTGACACCCTATCTCGAATAATAATTATTATTAGTAGTAATAATTATAGTGCTTTTAGAGAATGAAGGGGAACCAGCCGAGTAAATGGTCATAGAAGCCAAGGGAAGAGAGAATTCAAGAAAGTGGATATGGCCAACACCTTAGATGCTGCCAACTGGTAATGATAAACACGAGGCTAAGAATTGAACAGAGTCACTGGATTTGGTCATTTAACTTAGGGACTTGGGAAGTGCTCTTTCAGTGGCATAGTAGGAGTTAAGAGGCAGGATGCCGGAAAGCCTGGATGCTGGATGTTGAGGAGGGAATTGAAGGAGGGGATGTGGAAAGAGGAGTGTAGACAACTCATGAGAATTTGGGTTGTGGAAGAAAGGGGCCAGGGAAGGCGTCTTAGAAGGAAGTTATTTCTGAGAGGCATCTGAGCAGGTTTATAGCATGAATGGAAGAAAGCAAGGTGCCTGGGAATAGGGATAGGAATTAAGCAGAAGCGGTCCTAGGCTTTGTCTTCAGGAAGATAGGTGTTCAAGTCCCAGCTCTGCCACATGCTGGCTGTGGGACTTTGGGCAAGTTAATGAAGCCCCATGAGTCTCAGTGTCCTCATCTGGCGAGCAGAGAGAGTAGCCTGTACCTTGCAGAGTCATGGCAAGGATGAAACAAGAATGTCTCTCAGGGCCTTCACAGCGCTTAGTGCATAATGAGGGGTTAGTTAGTGAACTCCTACCAAGCTCCTTTGTACAGGGCATTTAGCAAAGACGTCAGTGACCCTGAGAATCCCTAGTCTAAGGTAGGTACCCCTTCCCTAAGCGCTGAACTTCCTCCCTTATGCATGTATCACATCTACAATGTTTCCTTGTGTAGTGGATACTGTGGTGTGCCACCAGGATCCCTCTCTCAGCACAGAGGCACTCCTGCCCCAAGCCACGCAGAGTATTGGCTCTGACCACTCACGGCTTCAGTATTTCCGTAGGATTTGCCCTGAGGGAGCTGCAGTGCCCAAGGTTATGCCCTCTTCCAGGGGCAGCTCACAGTCTATGATTGGTTGCTGGTGGGGAATGGGCTTATAAATGCTCTTCCCCAGCCTCAGTAGGGAACAAGTCTAAGGGGCCATCCCAGCTACAGAGCTCCCTCATGGATCAGGTGACACCTCTGTTGCAGCTACATTGCAGTTCAGTTTCTCGATTTCATCCTGCTTCCCCCATTCCTTGCAGGAGTTCCTCCCAAGGTTATTCCCTGAGAAGCCGCCTGCATACAATATCCAGATCAGTCTTTTTTCAGGGAACCCGACTTAAGATGCCTTGTTTAATGTTTGTATCTTTTCTCTAAAATATAAGCTTTTTGTAGGGACTGACTATTCTGTCTTGTTCATTTTGTGTCACCATGTCTAGGTACATAATAGGTGCTTGTTAATAATTTTTAATCTTTTTTTTTTTGAGACAGGGTCTTGCTCTGTTGCTCAGGCTGGAGTGCAGTGGCATGATCTTGGCTCACTGCAACCTCCGCCTCCCGAATTCAAGCAATTCTTATGCCTCAGCCTCCCAAGTAGCTGGGATTACAGGTGTGCATCACCACACCCAGCTAATTTTTGTATTTTTAGTAGAGACGGGGTTTTGCCATGTTGGCCAGGCTGATCTCAAACTCCTGAGCTCAAGTGATCTGCCCACTTTGGCCCCGCAAAGTGCTGGGATTACAGGCATGAGCCACCACATGCGGCCATTAATTGAATAAGTGAATGAACAGGTTTCCTAAACACACACACAGGAGTGCCCTGATATATACAGTTTTTCAGAGTTGTGATTAGAGAATAGGTTATCTGGAAGTGCCTTCCTGTGGGAGTGTGAGCTTGCATAGGCTCCCCCAGCATGGAGCCATCACTAGCAATGGCTGTGTCTTCCACGAGCTATTTCCAGGGTTCCATCAGCAAACAGTGGTCACGATTTATAAAACGTTCACACAAGAACATTTGGGCTGCATTCTACATCATTTTAGTACAGAGAGGTTGTTCCTTGGGGCCTTTAATTTTCTAGCTTTCATTATTGAGAGAGTAAAATGTATCACTTGCATTCCAAAATTGATTTTTATTTCCCAAAAGAAGCCCATAAAAATAAATAACTTCCCGGGAGGGAAAACAGAAAAGCACTCTATACACTGGGCAATTTGTTAAAAAAGAAAAGAAAAGGAAAGGAAGCCTGGAGCGACAAAGCAATCTAAACATTTAGATTGTATCTCTTGTATTCCCCCACTCCCCCTGCACCTTAAATAAATAAAAAAAAAAAAAAAAAAAAAAACTTGAGGCCTGCTGGACTTTGAAAATGCCCATGTTGTTGAGAAAACTCTGTTGGGCAGCTTCATGGGACAGCATCCTTTGGAGCACTGCCTCATGGTTCACACCCCTGGTATCCCAACCCACTGCTATGTTGTTATTAGCAAGATACGTTTCCAGTATCTCATTACTAATTGTATCAGTAAGCATTTGCTGTGTAACAAATTGCTGCAAGGGTAGTGGGCTTAAAACAACATTCTTTCTCTCAATTTTGTGGGTCTTCTGGGAGGTTCTTGTGATCTGGGCCAGCTTGTCTGGGGCTGGAGGGTCTGTGAGGCCCTCACTCTCACATCTGGTGGTTGGCTCAGTGTCAGCTGGAGGGACAGGGATGCCTTGGCCATTGCCTGCCACCACCCAGCAGGCTAGCCTTTGCCTGCTCACTGGCATCTCAAGAGCAGTAAGTGAGGGCATTTCAATCCAAGCCCCAATTCCCAAGCACTTTTGAGGATTCTGTTTGCATCGCATTGGCTAATGTCCCAGTCACATGACCAAACCCAGATGCAGGGAATGGAGAAACGAATTGTTGTTCTTTCCTTGACATTTTACTTTCTCAAGTATAAAGGGGGGTTTGTAGGCAAGGAAGATGCCAAGTAGTCCCATTTTATAGCTAATAAACTGAGAACCAGAGAGGTTGAGCAACTGGTCTGAAGTCACGCAGCAAGCCCAGAACACACTGGGTAACCAATCCACTGGGGGTGAGTTCACCCTGTGCAGCCACATTTGATCTCCCCTTGCTTCATTCCCTCCAGCACTCTGGCAGCCAGGAGGACAGCTCCCTGTGGGGACTGTGACATTACTGGCCCCTCACTCAGCTCTTCTTGTGCCAATTAGAATGCATACTTATTTTTTTTTGCAGGTTGTCCTTTGCTTGCATCCCTCACCTCCCCCATCCACTCTGTGATCTTCTCTGTGGCTCAAGAGCCTGACTCCTTCAGAGTGCATGACATGGGCTCTTTTCCTTTTTAGTTTCTGATTGAGTTCAAGCAGTAAGAGGCATTGATTGGCAAGAGATTGTAGGATGGTAGGAATGAGAAGATGCGGCATTTCTGTCCCAATTCCTCTGCTCTTGGCTGTGTGTCCAGCAGTATCAGAAGGCCCCTTCTCTGTGTCTCCAGATTTCACTGGGCTCTGGTAACACTACTTCCTTCTTTGGCCTCTTCAGGCCTAGGGGTAGCAATGACATCTCAATGCTGCTACTCTCTGGATGTCTCACCATGCGTTGTTGATCCCTTTAACCCTGTCTTCACATTTGTGAGTAGTACCTTAATTAAAATCTCTAGAGCCTTCTGAATTGGATTCTGTTTTCTGCTTGCGCCTATCCTGATACACTTTTTTTTTTTTTTTGAGATGGAGTCTCACTCTGTTGCCCAGGCTGGAGTGCAGTGGCATGATCTTGGCTCTCTACAACCTCCGCCTCCTGAGTTCAAGCGATTCTCCTGCCTCAGCCTCTCAAGTAGCTGGGATTACAGGCGTGTGCCACCATGTCTGCCTAATTTTTGTATTTTTAGGAGAGACAGAGTTTCATCATGTTGGCCAGGCTGGCCTCGAACTCCTGACCTCATGTGATCCGCCCGCCTTGGCCTCTCAGAGTGCTGGGATTACAGGCGTGAGTCACCATGCCTGGCCACTGATGTACTTTCACTGGGTTCCATTTTTTTTATAAGGGGAGAAAGAATGGAGTTTGCAGCATGCGCTTAGGGAACCCAGTATCATGATGATAGAGGAGTGAGTAGCCTGCATGAATGCTGCTGTGGCAGGAAGAATGTTTGAGAACTTGAGCACTAGAGTGTGAGATTTCTGGTTGTCTTGGCTCCATTCAGGGAATTCTTAGGACTCTGGGAAGGACATACCAGGATATTTATGGCATCACTGTTTGTGGTGGCAAAAAGCTAATAGCCTCCTGAATGCCCGTTTTTGAAGGCTGAACATGTTGTAGTCTGTCCATGCTGTGGTATAACTTGCAGTTGAAAAAGAATGAGTTTCAAACTGACTGACATATTGTTGGGTGGGAAAAGCATTTTGCAGAGCAGCGTGTATAGTGTGATTCCGTTTTTGTACAGTAACCCTCCCAGTCCATTTGTTTCTAGGTGATTGTCTCAGCCAGGAGAAAGGTAGGAAAGAGTAAACACCAGGTTGCCGTCCTTCTTACCTGGCAGTTGGGGAGGAGGAGAAAGATAGAATGGGAAAGCAAGTAGGTAAAGGGAGCTTGAAAAAAAAATCATAGCAAATGGGAACATACACATAGATTTAATTTGGTGTCCCTTTTCTAACTTTTTGAGATAGATATAGCATTGATTTTTCAGCCTATCTTCTTTCCTAATATGTACATTAAGGCTACACATTTTCCTTTAAGCACAGCTTTAGTTGACTCTCACAAGTTTTGAATATTTTTGAATTTTCATGATGATTTTTCCTATGATTTATTCAAAAGTGTATGTTTAATTTTCAAGCATTTGTAAATATTCTAGTTATCTTTTTGTTATTGATAGTTTGTTTCCACCACAGTCTGAAAACATACATAATTTCATTCATTTGACATTTGGGTAAATATTCCATGTGCACTTACAAAGAATATGTATCCTGTGTTTGTTGGATGCCATATTGTGTGTGTGTAAATTAGTTTCGTTAGTTGTGTTGTTCATATTTTCTATATCTTGTTTGATTTTTATTTTGCTTGCTTGTTCTGTTACTGAAAGAATTGGATTTAAGTCTCCTATTATGATTCTGGGTTTTTTTCCTTTCAGTTTTATCAATTTTTGGTTTGTATATTTTGAAGCAATGTTATTATTATAAAATATAATTGATATCTCCTCGGTGAATTGATCCTTTTATCATTCTGAAAGGTATCTGTTTATCTCAAATAATGCTTCTTGCCTTAAAGCCTACTTTGCCTCTTGTAAATATACCAGTTTTCTTTTGGTTGATGTTTTATGATGTGTGTGTTTATATGTATATACATATATACATATATATAGACCGAATATATGTATTATATATGTTTTATATAATGTTTTATGGTGTGTGTGTATATATATATATAAAAAGACTGAAAGGGAAAAGGGGGAAATATATCTATATATAAAATAATATAAATATATATATATTTTTCCCCCTTTTCCCTTTCAGTCTTTCTGTAGCCTTACATTTAGAGTGTGTCTTTTATAAGCACAATTTTTAATACAGTCTGACAATAGTTGATTTTAATTGGAGCATTTAGACCATTTACATTTTATATAATTGCTGATATATTTGAGTCTATATCTACCACTTCCTATGATTTTTCGTTTGTCCCATGTGTTTTACATTCCTTTTTCTCTTTATTATTGCCTTTTGGGGATCACTTAAGTATATTTTATTATTTCATATTCCTTTCTATTAACTAATTAGTCATGTATTGTTTTTATTATTTTTATATTGATTCTAGAGATTGCAATATGCATCTTTGGATTTTAGAATTTAATATATTAGTACTTTTATTACGTTCCAAATGATCCTAGGTTCTTTAACATTTTAGTCCTGTTTACCCCATCCTACCATACACATTGTAATTTTACATGTGATTTAAACTACATTATGATAATGCTTCATATAATCAGCATTTACTTGGATTTAATAATATATTTACCCTTTCTGTTAGTTTTCATTCTTTCTTACATTTTCACATTTCCATCTGGGATCATTTTCTTTCTCTCTAAAGAACGTCTTTTATTATTTAGTTTAGGCCTGCTGCAAATACATCTTAAGATACTTGTATTTCAAGCTGGGCACAGTGGCACATGCCTGTAGTCCCAGCTATTCAGGAGTCTGAGACAGGAGGATTGCTTGAGCTCAAGACTTCAAGTCCAGTCTGGGCAACATCGTGAGATCCCATCTCTGGGGAAAAAAAATCTTTATTTCACATTCACCCTTGGATAGAATTTGAAACTGGCTGTTATTTTCTTTCGGCACTTTAAATATACCATCCCGTTGTTCTTCTTCCATCATTTTTGTTGATTTTGTCAGTCTTATTGTGGCTCTTTTGAAGTCCTATTGTTGCCTTTATGCAATCTGTATGATTTTAGATTTTCTCTCTCTCTTTGATTTTCAGCAATGTGACTGTGATGTTCCTGTGTGTGTGTGTGTGTGTGTGTGTGTGTGTGTGTGTTTGTATGTGTTTATCTTGGTTGGTGTTTCTTTACTTCTTGCCTCTTTAACTTGATGTTTTTCATTAGTATTTTCTTGTCCATTGTCTGCCCTATCCTTTTCTCTCCTTTTCATGCTTGACTTTGATTATATGTATGTTAGACCTTGGTACTGTGTCCTCTGTCTCTGACACTCTCTTCTGTACTCTCTGTCTCTTTTAATCTTTATGCCATAGTCTGATTTTTCTTAATAATCTGTTTTTCAGCTCACTGATTTGCCTTCTAACTGCTTCCAATCTGCTGCTAAGCCATGCATTGAGTTATTAATTTTAAGTATTGCATTTTAAATAAACTTTTTATTTTAGAATAGTTTTAGATGTACAGAAAAGTTGCAGAGGATAGACTTCCCGTATACCTTTCACTCAGTTTTCCATTATTAACACGTTACATGACCATGACACATCCGTCAAAATGAAGATGTTAACACTAATTAGTACTGTATTGTTAACTAAACTCCAAACTTTATTTGGATTTTCCTTTTTTTTTTCACGATATTCTTAGTGTATTCCAGGATCTCATGTAGGATACCAAATTACATTAAGTTGTCATGTTTCCTAAGTGTCCTCTGGTTTATGACAATTTCTCAATCGTTTCTTATTTTTCATGACCTTGACAGTTTTGAGAAGTACTGGTCAAGTATCTGGTAGAATGTCCATCCACTTGGGAATTATTGTATGTTTAATTCTAAAGCTTTCATTTGCTTTATTTAGTTATTTTGAGACAAGGGTCTTGCTCTGTCACCCAAGCTGGAGTGCAGTGGCACAATCATCACTCATTGCAGCCTTGAACTCCTGGCCTCAAGCAATCTTCCCACCTCAGCCTCCTGAGAAGCTGGGACCACAGGTGCATGCCACTGAGCTTGGCTAATTTTTAAAAATTTTTGTAGAGATGAGGTCTCGCTGTGTTGCCCCAGGCTGGTCTTGAACTCCTGGCCTCAAGTGATCACCCCTCCTCAGCCTCCTAAAGTGTTGGGATTACAGGTGTGAGCCACTGTACCCAGTCAGTTTCTTTTTTGTAACCAATAGTTCTCTGGTGAAACTTTCCACATTGTCATCCTTTCTCCCTTCTTTTAAACATCTTAATAAGTTATTTTAAAGTTCATGTTTGATAATTCCAGTGTCTGAATCACCCATGGATCTGCCCTCTTGTCTGTTTTTTTAAAATTTTTTAGACGGGATCTTATTCTGTCACCTAGGCTGGAGTGCAGTGGTGCAATCATAGCTCGCTGCAGCCTCTACCTCCTGGGCTCAAGCAATCCTCCCACCTCAGACTCCTGAGTAGCTGGGACTATAGATGTGTATCACCACACCCCACTAATGTTTGTATTTTTGTAGAGATGGGGTTTTACTATGTTGTCCAGGCTGGTCTTGAATTCCTGAGCTCAAGCCGTCTGCCCATGTTTGCCTGTCAAAGTGCTGAGATTACAGGCATGCATCACCACGCCTAGGTGTTTTTTGCTTCTGGTCCTATTTCTTGGCATGTTTGGAAGTTTTGTTTGAATTTCAGATGATTCCTTGCTAAATTAGAAAGCTGTTGGACAGGTGTGGTGGCTCATGCCTGTAATCTCAGCACTTTGGGAGGACAAGGTGGGTGGATCATCTGAGATCAGGAGTTTGAGATCATCCTGGCCAACATAGTGAAGCCCCATCTCTACCAAAAATACAAAAATTAGCCTGGCATGGTGGCACATGCCTGTAATCCCAGCTACTGGGGAGGCTGAGGCACGAGAATCACTTGAACCTGGGAGGCGGAGGTTACAGTGAGCCTGGGTGACAGAGCGAGACTCCGTCTCAAAAAAAAAAAAAAAAAAGAGAGAGAGAGAGAGCTGAGGAAGAGGTTA
Source organism: Homo sapiens (assembly GCF_000001405.40). Classification (NCBI taxonomy): domain Eukaryota; kingdom Metazoa; phylum Chordata; class Mammalia; order Primates; family Hominidae; genus Homo; species Homo sapiens. The sequence goes on from NC_000016.10 coordinate 24,067,990, forward strand.
TTTTCCATGCAGGTTGGGGTCACCCTTCTGGTGGTGATCGAGCTCACTGTGTGCTGGTTTATAGCCTTCGTAAGGTTTGTTCTATTTCTGGTTCATTTCCACTCCTATGGTGTAGAGGTTTCCAACTCTGAGGCTGAAGACTTGCCAGGGCCCTCCTTTTAACTGGGTCCTGAACCCCAATTTTTGTTTCTCTAGCACCATAAGCCTGACAAAACCTCTCAGCTGATTTCTGTTTTGTGTCTCAACCTCTGCAGTGTGATTGGTAGAGACTCAAGAGAAAAATCAATGCCTAGCGTTGAGTTCACTTCTCTGCTCTTCCCCTCCCACTATGATTTGGCCCCTCAAGTCCTGCCTTCCCTGGAAGCTTTGATTCCTAGCCCCAAGAATAAGCTTCAAGCTCTGGTGGCCTCCCTCCTTCTTAGCAGGTGCCCTCTGTCTAGCTTCTTAGTCCTTTGCCCTGTGTTGAGAATTGATTTATGGCCCAAAGGAAAAAAAAAAAAAAACCACACACAGAATATTGGACTTATCTTAATTCTAATTCCTTCAAAATTCCAGTTTCTTGAAAAATATTTTTTATCTGGCTTTTATAGTTGCTCTCAGTGGGAGAGCTACTTTATCATTGCCCCAAGTGGTATGATATTAAATAAAAATATAAAATACAAAATAGATTTAGAGTGGTATAATTATGTAAAAATTGAATGTTAACATGGAAAAAGACCAGAAGGTGAATATACAAATGAAAGCATTTATTTAATTTTGGGATAAGATCTAAGGTAATATTTGTTTGGTTCAGAAAATTATTTTTAAAGAAGGGTGTTGTGAGCATCAGTGATAGAGTGAGGAATCCTCATTTCTTTCAGATCCTGGTAGGGGACCCTGAGAACTTTGGGGAGTGAAGATAGTGAAGTAAAGGTTGCTAAGCATTCTGCTAGAACACTATGGAGACAGCGATATAAAATAAGAGCCAATAATAACAAAGTAGCACATAGTGAATGTTTACCATATGCCAGACATTCTATTAATTTATAATGATTGTAACATTCCTATGAGCCAACATCCTTATCATTAGCCCCATTTTTTAAACAAGGAGACTGAGTTACCGAGAAGTTAGGTAACTTTCAGGTCACAAAGCTGCTCTATGGCAGAGCTGATCTGCCAGGATCTCTGGGTTTAAGCTCCTCACCATCACACTTGACTAATTTGGTATAGAAAGTGGCTTTAGATCAGATAAGGGTACATGAAATGCAGGAGGTGCCGTGTTAGAGGACAGTTTGGTCCAGTCCCCATGTCCTGGGGCAAATGAAGCAGATGGCCTCAGAACAGCCTGTTTTTAAATCATGTAAGACTGACTTCTTTCAGCTGCTGGATTCCTGCCTCCCAGAGTGAGACGTTGAAGTTTGGCCCGGAAGAGGCTGAGCACTGGGGACGAGCAGTGCTGTGCTGTGTATAGAGTGCTTAAAACAGTGCCTGGGTCTGAGCGTGGTGGCTCATGCCTGTAATCCCACCTCTTTGGGAGGCCATGGTGGGAAGATTGCTTGAGCCCAGGAGTTTGATTTCAGCCTGCAACATAGTGAGACCCCATTTCTACAAAAAATTTTAAGAAGTAGTCAGGCATGGTCGTACACCTGTAGTCCCAGCTACTTGGGAGGCTGAGGTGGGAGGATCACTTGAACCCCAAAGGTTGAGGCTGCAGTGAGTCGTGATTGCACTACTGTACTCCAGCCTGAGTAACAAAGCAAGACTTTGTATCAAAACAAAACAAACAAAACAAAACAGTGCCTGGCATATAGTATGTGCTCAATAAAAGTTGTCATTGTTATTGTCATGACATCATCAGAGCCTAGAACAAATCACAAAACCTGTATATTCTCTCTGGGCTGGAGGTCTTAAGATTCTTCTCCATTCCCAACGGGTACTCCCGAGATGACGTGATTCATGGCCATTCCTTCCTTCCTTCAGTGTGTGGCTCACACTGTGCTGGGCTATGGCGTCACCACTGTCAATACGACAAATAAATGGATAATTACAGCAAAGTGTTAGGACTGCTGTGCCAGACACGAGTGCAAGGTGTCCTGGGCAACCAGGGAAGGGACGTTAACTTACACTGGGATTGGGGCCCTGTGATGGTAAGCTTTTCATCTTGCAGGAAACCAGGGGATTTTTTTTTTTTTTTTTTTGAGACAAGGTCTTGCTCTGTCGTCCAGGCTGGAGTGCAGTGGCACGATCTTGGCTCACTGCAACCTCTGCCTCCTGGGTTCAAGCGATTCTTGTGCCTCAGTCTCCCAAGTAGCTGGGATTACAGGCATGTGCCATCACTCTTGGCTAATCTTTGTATTTTCAGTAGCGACGGATTTTTGCCATCTTGGCCAGGCTGGTCTCAAACTCCTGACCTCAAGTGATTCGCCTGCCTCAGCCTCCCAAAATGCTGGAATTACAGGCATGAGCCGTTGCGCCCGGCCTTGAAACCAGGGAATTTAATGACATTTAAAAATCATTTATTAAGTATATATGAAATATATAGAAAATAGTATCCCAGGCACCTAATAGAACAGAATAATAATAATGACTAGGAGTTGTTGAGTGTAAAATAGGTTGCAGTCATTACAACGCATATAATAGCATGAAGTATATAGCTCCTCAGCCCTCTCAGCCATCTTATGAGGGAACACTGTTGCTATTCTCATATTACAGATGAGGAAACTGAGGCTCAGAGAGGTTAAGTAATCCTCCAAGCCTCCGCAGCCAGGAAGTGGTATCACTTTGAACTCAAACTCAGGTCTGTTTGATCCTGAGGCCAAGCCCTTGGCCAGAAAAATTAGGAAGTCATAGTCCCTTCCCTTAAGGAGCTCTATTTAATATAGCAGAACAAGTAAAGCAAGTACATATCTCTCTAAAGTATACTGTGTCACTGAAGATAAGAAAGGAAGAAATCCTGTGATGGGTCAGATGAAGTCAGGAAAGGCTTCTGGGAAGAGGTGGCCTTATAGATCTAACTAGAAGGATGAATGAGCTTTGGGCCAAAGGCAAGGGAGGGAACCATCTGGACAAAGGGTAGTTAGTACACACTGTGACCTGAAGAGGGAGCTCAAAGCCCCCCTCCACTCCAGGGCTGATGTGAGGATGTGAGTTAAGGACTTGGATGCTGCTCTTGGGGCTTTCAGAGATAGGGGAGGAGCTTAATGACCTCGTCTTCATGATATACCCTAAGCATTCTCTCTTGGCTTTCCATTTGAGACTTACTCTGCCTTCAGACCTCTCAGAACTCTGCATATCTGGTATGGTAAGAGGAGCCTGAGCTACCTCTTCTCTGCATTGCCTTGAAAACAAAACATGGCCGGGCACGATGGCTGACGTCTGTAATCCTAGCACTTTGAGAGGCCAAGGCGGGTGGATCGCTTGAGCTCAGGAGTTTGAGACTAGCCTGGGTAACATGGTGAGACCCTGTCTAAAAAAAAAAAAAAAAAAAAAAAAAAGACAAACAGGACTGGGGAAAAGGAATAAGAGGAGCCCGTCCAACCTTCCAATTTCCACCAATTTTAATGTGGATCCAGAATTGAGAATGCTAGTCTAGCTCAACTCAACAGGGCCAGTGGTTCTACTTGTGATTGGGGGTAAAGGTCCTAGGGTAGTAAAGAGAGTGAGTACCTGCCTGGCTTGTCCGCTCTGCACATGTCTCTGGGCAGTAGCTGTGGGATGTGGTCCTGGACACTAGATCCCATCTGTCTCCTCCTATGGAGGCAGGATCTTACAGGGAACAGCCGGCAGCCAAGGCTAGCTGGAGTCTGGCCTACACCATATAAGGAGATGGTGCAGGAAAGGCTGAAAGTTATGGTGGGGGCCGAAGAGGGCGTTGAGTTGCAGTAACCATGCCCAAGCCTTTGTGGAGTTAATGATCACAGTGGACACATTCTGGAGGGGTCGTCGGCATCACTGGGCCCTGCTCCAGGATCTCAGCAAGGATGTTATTATTATCATGAGGGTGCCCAATTCAGTTTGCTACTTGTTTATGGGCTGATTGCAATTTGGATAGAGTTTAACCCCCACCCCACCCCCGCCTTTTGTTTTTAAAAATTTGCTGAGGTGAAATTCACATGACTTAAAATGATCTGTTTTAGAGTGAACAGTTCAGCGGCATTTAGTACATGCACAGTGTTGTGCAACCACCACTGCTATTTAGTTCCAAAACATTTCCATCATTCCAAAATAAAGCCCCATACTGATTAAGCAGTGACTACCCATCCCTGCCTTCTCCCAGCCCCTGGCAACCATCAATCTGCTTTTGTTTTTAATTTTTTTGAGACAGGGTGTTTCTCTGTCACCCAGGCTGGAGTGCAGTGGTACGATCATAGCTCACTGCAGCCTGGAACTCCTGAGCTCAAGCAATCCTCCCACATCAGCCTCCTAAGTAGCTGGGACTGTAGGCATGCACCACCATGCTCAGATAATTATTATTTTTATTTTTTATAAAGATGGGGGTCTCCAACTCCTGGCCTCAAGTGATCCTCCCACCTCAGCTTCCCAAAGAGTTGGGATTACAGGTGTAAGCCACCACAACCAGCCAATCTGCTTTCTTTAACTCTCTCTTTCTCTCTCTCTCTCTTTTTTTTTTGAGATGGAGTTTCCCTCTTGTCACCCAGGCTGGAGTGCAATGGCATGATCTCTGCTCACTGCAACCTCTGCCTCCTGGGTTCAAGCAATTCTCCTGCCTCAGCCTCCCAAGTAGCTGGGATTACAGGCCTGTGCCACCAGACCGAGCTAATTTTTGTATTTTTAGTAGAGACGGGGTTTCACCATGTTGGCCAGGCTGATATCGACCTCCTGACCTGAGGTGATCCACCCGCCTCAGCCTCCCAAAGCACTGGGATTACATGTGTGCGCCACGCACCTGGCCTAACTCTCTCTCTCTTTTTAAGGCTGTTTAAAAATGAAACTATTCAGTAGCTCAAGTATACCTTACTGTAAAGAGGAAGTATTTATGCAGTGCTCAGTCATCTTGATCAGAGATGATTATCAAAACATCAAAATATCTCTATGCCAGCTGGCAACTAAGAAATACCACCAGATGTCCTCTGCCTCTCTGGCCTTGTTAGTTTCTTCTCCAAGAGCCCTTGGATGTGATCTGATAATGAAAAGGTGAATGTCTAGTTCAGTGGGAGCCTTCACATCTACCCCAGGGCTTTGGCTGTCTCCAATCTGATGGATAAACCGCTTGCTAAATATTTTGACTATCAGCCCTGTGATTAAGGTCAGGATTAGAACTGTTGTATTTGTAAGAACCTCTCCTAAAGATGGCCTCCCATTGCCCACCTGTTTGAATCCTACCTGCCTTAAACATTTTTGCCATTTTTATTTATTTCTTAGAAACAGGATCTTGCTCTGTCTCCCAGGCTGGAGTACGGTGGTACAATGTTGGCTCATTGCAGCCTCAGACTCCTGGGCTCAAGTGATCCTCCCGCCTCAGCCCCTTGAGTTACTGGGACTACAGGCGCATGCCACCATGTCTGGCTAATCGTGAAAATTGTTTTTGTAGAGACAAAGTCTTGCTATGTTGCCCAGGCTAATCTCAAATTCCTGGCCTCAAGTGATCCTCCCTCCTTGACCTCTCAAATTGCTGGGATTACAGGTGTGAGCCATTGCGCCTGGCCGGTTTTTTAAATGTCTCAGTCTAAAGTTCAATATTCATCCCCTAGCCCCTAAGCCATGTTTTTAACACCTCGATAAACGATGTGCTGACTTTACCTAAAATGTGTCCAGTATTCCTTCTGAGATGGAAAGATGCTATTTTGGGGGTAAATATGTTGATCTTTTCCAGAAGGAGTCCAAGACAGCTGATGATAGCTTTTGCTTGTTCTCTATAGAAGAGCAAGTGATGGCCGGGCGTGGTGGCTCACGCCTGTAATCCCAACACTTTGGGAGGCCGAGGCAGGCGGATCACGAGGTCAGGAGATCGAGACCATCCTGGCTAACATGGTGAAACCCCGATACAAAAATATTAGCCGGGCGTGGTTGGTGGCGGGCGCCTGTAGTACCAGCTGCTGGGGAGGCTGAGGCAGGAGAATGGCATGAACTCAGGAGGTGGAGCTTGCAGTGAGCCGAGATCATGCCACTGCACTTCAGTCTGGGTGACAGAGCAAGACTCCATCTCAAAAAAAAAAAAAGAAGAGCAAGTGATGTGTTTAAGACACACCTCGAAGCTACTGCCATAGAATGTGTGACCATGGTTATGGATTTCATAAGGGGCACCCTAAGAGGGAAAAATAATCTGACCCAGATGGATCTTCCGAGGCACTGTGATGTCGTGCCTAAGAGTGCAGCCTTGGGAGGAAGACAGAGAGGGTTCAAATCCCGCTCTACTGTTATCAGCTCTCTGTATACCTTGGACAAGTCACTCAACCCCCTCAGCTGTCAGGTTCCACATCAGTAAAATGGGGAAAACAGTAACACTCACATCATAAGGTTCTTGTAAGGATTCAATGAGATAATTCATGTGCAGTCCTTAGAATAGTGCTTGGCTCATATAGTAAGAGCTCATTCACCGTCAACTATTATTATTTAATCTATTTTCTATCATATTTTGGAATAAAACATTTTGGCTTACTAAAAAAGAACAAAAAGAACATGTATTTAAAATCAGTAGGCAACAGTGAGTCAGTGAGGATGTTCTGAGAGTAGGAATGACATGATAAGATCTGCGTTCTGGGAAGATTAATTTGTCTGAAGCTTATAGGGTGACCTGAAAGGAGACGAGGAGGGGAGGGAAATCTGTAAGGAGGCTGATGCAACGGTCTAAGCTGCTTTGTGCAATATGGCAGCCACTAGCCACGTGGGGCTGTTTAAATTTAAATTAACGAGCTTGGCCTGGTGGCTCACACCTGTAATCCCAAAACTTTGGGAGGCCAAGGTGGAAGGATTGCTTGAGGCCAGGAGTTTGAGACCAATCTGAGCAACATAGCAAAAACTTGCCTCTACAAAAAATAAAGTTAGCCAAATGTGGTGGGATATGCCTATAGTCCCAGCTACTCGGGAGGCTGAGGCAGAAGGCTCACATGAGCCCAAGAGGTTGAGACTACAGTGAGTCATGATTGCACCACGCACTCTAGCCTGGGTGACAGAACAAGACCCTATCTCAAAAAAAAAAAAAAAAAATTTAATTAAAGAAAATTAAATAAAATGCAAAACTCAATTTTTCCAACACAATAGCCACATTTCAGGTATTCAGTGGCCTCATGTGGCTAGTGGTTACTATACTGGACATCAAACACTTCCATTATTTTAGAAAGTTCTATTGGACAGTGTAACTGTAATAGGTTCACTGCCCAATGCATGCAGCAAGTCAATACACTAAGCCACTGAGTTGCAGCAGAGAAACAGGTTTAATTGTAGGGAAGAGACAGGAGGAAACCTCAAATCCATCTCCCAGAGGAGTCTGGGGCTAGGATTTTTAAGGGTTTTGCAGTGGGCTGAAGTGTGGAGATTGTTGATTGGTGGAAAAGAGCAGGATGGAGTCATGGGACAGGGAGATAAAGAAGCTGTGTTCTCTTGCTGATTCAGTTCCTCTGTTTGGGGTCTTTAAACTGGTTGGCATCAGCTATTCTGCTGGAATTCAGGATCTGTTTAAGCAACTCTTAAACAAAAGCCTATGATTCTAATGTCAGAAATCCTATCTGTAGGAACAACGAGGTTGCAAATGGTCAGTATCCAGTGTTACCTGACTTTTAGTTGCAAGGAAGTGGGTCAAAGTTAGCCTGATTAATGCTGAATTGTAACTATATTTCTGTCCAGAATTCTTCCTACCCTGGTGAGGCTGGCTTCAACAACACTGGTCAAAAGCAGTGGTTTTCATACATGAGTGTCACATCAGAGTCATCTGGAAAGTGTGTTAAAATACAGGTTGCTGGGTTCCATCCTCAATTCAGCAGGTCTGAGCAGGGCCTGAGATCATGCATTTCTTTTTTTTTGTTTGTTATTATACTTTAAGTTCTAGGGTACGTGTGCACAATGTGCAGGTTTGTTACCTATGTATACATGTGCCATGTTGGTGTGCTGCACCCACTAACTCGTCATTTACATTAGGTGGGAGGAATAACATTAGGAGATCATGCATTTCTAATGAGTTCCCAGGTGATGCTGACGCTGCTAGTCTGGGCCACACCCTTTGAGAACCACTCTCTGAAACAGGACTTCTCAGTCATGGTGTGAGGGAAAGGGGAGTTGTTTGGAGCATGTGAAAAGCCTTATTTATATGCCCCAGTTAAGCCCAATTGGGATTTGGACTCAGCCTCTTTCCAGGATTGGCAGTTGTTGGCAGATGTACAGGAGTGCTTTTGGCTTTTCTGGTTAAAAGAGGTGAAAGGTGGGGCTAATTCAGAGTATGGAGATCAGAGGGGTGAATCATGGAGCAAAAAGGGGGCCTTATCTGCTTCTTCATCCATTCTCTCTGTCATCCTGGAGCTCAGCTTTTGGGGCCTGATAGGGAGAAAGACGAGACAGAAGCTTTCAGAACTGAGAAGTCAGAATTCACTGGCTTTGTTCCTCACTAATACCTTGACAACTTTCTCCCTAAGGCAGTGGATGACTCACGTCTAGCTGCATGGTCTGGGGGGAGGAGCCTCAGGGTACAAGTGACAGAATTCAATGAAGTGCAAAGTGGGAGAAACAGGCACTTCAAACCTCAACGTATTACCTTGCTACAAGTGTGCCTTTAACTCACTGTTTGAGTCACAGAAGGAAACAGCATAGGGCTTGCTCTCAGGGAGCCGGAGTATAGCATCTGCTGATGGCCAGGGTCACTGGAATATTTGCCTCTGTCTGGGCAGAGTTTAGAATAACAGGCAGAGGCATAGGGTGGGGGCTGTGCCGGAACTCTGTCTATCTCATCTGTGTACCCTTTTATAGATGGTCATCGGATTTGTATTTGCATCTCAGTGTAGTCAGACATTCTTCCAGAACACTCCAGCAGTGCTTCTGTGCCTGCTGGAAAATAGCTGCAGCTCTCTCCTGAGGCAGCTCTTCCCACAGTCCCAGCTGCTCCCCTGGGATCCTCCTTGGACCTCCCCATAGCCTGGCAAGTAAACTTAGCACCTGGGCATATCAGGGGGCCTCTAGGACCCTGTTCCAGTACTGAGCACAGCATCAGTACTGGTTAGCTTGTGCTTGGGCTGTGCCATTTGGAAGTATTTTGAAGATGCACATGCACGTGTGTGTGTGTCTGTGTGTCTACGGTGGTGAAGAATGGAGGGATGTGGGATGGGGCAGATTCAGTAGATGCCTTGAGATATGGATAGTTTGGTAAAATTATGATAATAAGAAAATGGAAAGGATGCCAGTTTCCTTCCAGCTAGTTAAGACCCATTACTTTACTCATTGACCCACCTAACCCATCCATCCATCCACCCATGCATTCATCTCTCCATCCATCCATCCATCCATCCATCCATCCATCCAATCCATACATTCATCCATCTAATCCATCCATCCATCCACACATGCATTCATCTCTCCATCCATCCATCCATCCATCCATCCATCCAGTTCATACATTCATCCATACATTCATTCATCTGTCTAACCCATCCATCCATCCACTCAGCCAACTCATCCATCCATGTAATCATATATCCGTTTAGGATAAATGTATCCAGCACTCTCTTTTAGTGCTTCTGTGTGACTGAGGATGTTTGACAATGAAAGGAGGAAGCATTCATCTGCTGGGACCCCTTCTAACAGATGTTTTCTTCTCCCTTCATCCCTGAACAACAGTAGGAGAAACAGGAAACTTGTCTTCAAATGGTAGCCCTTTTCCCTGACTGTCTGAGGATCATGGTCTGAGAATGTGCCTCTCAGTTTTTAAAAATCCTTGAATTCCATGATTCAGTGATGTAGTTAATGTAGACAGGGCTCTTCTATCAAAGCAGGGAGCCTATTGAAGATATGAGAAAATATGCACTGTTTCTCTAGAGAAGGGAAGTAAACCCGCCTTCCTCAGAGCTGGGAAGGCTTTTGTCCCAAGCTTCTGAAAATTAAACCCATCACTTAACGTTCTCACTGAGCAGATTGCGGGGCTTCTGGCCCTATGCTGCTTGGGTTGTGCAGAGCTGCCGACAGACAGTTTTGATTGAATGTCCAAATTAAGCTGCCAAGCAGCGACTCTGCAGCTCCAGGGACTCCATGTTAGTATTTATGTCACATCTTTAGAAATAATCACATTGCAAAGCAGCACCCAGAGCCATGTCTGCAGCCGCTGCAGCGTGGGAGAGGGGGCTGTTGAGCACCTCCTGCCTCCATGCTTCATGCTGCATTTACTCAGCACCCAAGCAAGGGTGGGGCCCCATGGCACGCCATCCTGGTTCCTGTCCCGAGGATATGAGTGAGGAATTGGTAAACCTCGTCTGTCCTTCTTGTTTTCACTTAACTTGAGGCAGGAGGTGGTCTCCAAACAAGAAGTAAAGCTAACTTATTGGATGCCTGACTCCCAAACCATCTGTCCTAGGCAGACAGAAAGACCCTCAGGGCCAACCTGAGGGGAACAGATGTTTATGGGGGGCAGGTTTACTCTTGTTTTTCCAAGCTGGGCTGAAGAGCTCCTCTTCCATCTGCATCAAGCCCTGAAAACTCTGCCGTGCATGAGTAAAGTAGCAAGTGCTGCATCCCCCAGTGAGATCCAGTGGTGACATTGTCCACACCACTGGGGAATGCTAGTTATTAAGAGACTGGGCTTGTGAGAGCTCAAAGGTGGACTAACCCAGATCTTCCCTGTCGAGGGAAATGGTCTCTAGACTTGTGGGGTTGTGGTTGTGTGGAGTCAGAGTAAGTGTGGAGCAACGCTGGGAACTGTAGGACCCTGAATGACCAGGGAAACCGCTGTAGAAAATAGTTGACACTAAACTGGGTTTAGGGGGTCATAAAACCTCCAAGATTTCAAAGCTTCTGGGTCCCAGGAGGACTCAGTTACTGAGCACAAAAGTTGCATGGTTTTGGTGTCAGGCCTCTGAGCCCAAGCTAAGCCATCATATCCCCTGTGACCTGCACGTATACATCCAGATGGCCTGAAGCAACGGAAGATCCACAAAAGAAGTGAAAATAGCCTTAACTAATGACGTTCCACCATTGTGATTTGTTCCTGCCCCACCCTAACTGATACGATATATTCTCCCCCGCCCTTAAGAAGGTACTTTGTACACCTATCCCAAACCTATAAGAACTAATGATAATCCCATCATCCTTTGCTGACTCTCTTTTCGGACTCAGCCTGCCTGCACCCAGGTGAAATAAACAGCCTTGCTGCTCCCACAAAGCCTGTTTGGTGGTCTCTTCACACGGACACACGTGACATTTGGCAGTGTTGCAAAACCCTCAGAAGTCCGAGTATCAGCTGGACTGAACCTTGGGGCACCCGCGTTGTGTCTAGTTCCAGTTTGTTAAGAATTAGGTGCACAAGACCAGCCCCCCTTTTACACAATGATTTCTTTCTCTCAGATTTAGAGTAACATTTTTTTTTCTAACTAAAAATGTAATTAATGCTCAACTGAGACCATATATTGAATGTCTCCTTCTTCCAAATTCCCACTGAAGTGACAAAGAGATTAAAAATGGAAAAAAATTGATCAGGGTGACAAACCAGAAAAATGGTATCAATCAGATGCCAGAATCTTTGGGGAATTTTTCTAAGATACAATTCAGACAATCCAAGCTGATTTTGTGTTCTCTTTTCCAACATCTAAGCCTCTTATACAATACTTTTAAAAAATGTAATTGCGTTGATTGGTACTTTCAGAACAATGTTAAATTATGATAGTGATGGTGGGCATTCTTAATTTGATTGTGGCCTTAATAGATATGCCTCTAGAGTTTTACCCGTAAGCATAATGAAGGCTGTTGGTATATTTATTACGTCAAGAAAAGCATTCATTTATTTCTATTTTTCCAAGTGTTAAAAGGACGAATGGTTATTGAATTTTGTCAGTCGCCTTTTTCGTCATTTTTTAAGATAATTATATAGTTTTTCTCCTTTGACCTAGTTTTATAGTGAATCATATTATTAATAGATTTTCTAAAATTATGAAAGATTTTTGTTTGAAGAGTGTGCGATCGGTTTCTAGCTTTTGAAAGATCACTTTGGTGGGGGAGTGAAGGAAGGGCTCAATAGAAGACCACAGGCAGGAAACCAATGAGGAGGATCTTAATTTCACCCAGAGAGGAAAAGTGAGTGGCCAGGGAGCAATCATATGAGCAGCTGCTGTTTATGAATCACTCATCACCTGCCCAGCACAATACCAGGATTCAAATATAACTTAATAATCACAGTAATTCTATGGCACACTTATTATTGTTCAGATGGCAGTGATATGAATAGTAGGGACTCAGGTACACAAAATGAGAAAGAGGCAGATCAAACAGCACGGGGTTGTAGATTGCACCAAAGGGAGGAGACCAGAATGATTTCTAGATTCTTACTGGGGCAGTTGGGTGGATAGTTCAACACTCACTAAGACTGGCATTGAAAGACAGGGAGGAGACATGGTGGTGTCGGGGGAGCAGGAGGATAATGAGCGTTGTTGGACATGTTGAGTTTAGCGTACATATGGGACATCCAGTACAAGATAACCAGTGGACAGTTGTACATACAGTTGTAAAGGTCAGTAAAGAGGTGTGGGTGGGAGTTGTCAGTATTTAGGTAGAAGTAAAATCATAAGAGTAGAGCCCCTGGAAAAATACGGAAACTAACAAACAAACTTCCGAATAATCCATGGTTTAGTTCAAAGAAGAAGTCTCAAGGGAAATAAGAAAATATTTTGAATTGAAAGAAAATAAAAGTATAACACATGATACTTTGTGGAATCCAGATTAAAAAGTGCTTAAAAGGAAATTTATATTGGTAAATTCTACCAACACTTAAAGATGAAATAATACTGATTCTCCTAAAAAGTAGATGAGAAGGGAACATTTTTCAACCTATTTTATGAGGCTAGCATTACCCTCATACCAAAACCAGACAAAAATAGTACAAGAAAACTACAAGCAAATATCTCAAATATTTTCTTCCAGTTCGTCATTTGTGTTTTGCAGAACAAATGTTTTTAAACTTTAATAAAGTACAATTTATCATTTTTTTCTTTTATAGGTCATGTTTTTAGTGTCATGTGTAAGAACTCTTTGTAAACATAAATATAAAAATCTTCATAGAAATATTAGCAAATTAAATTCAGCAATATATAAATGAAAAATACACTCCGTCCAAATGAGTTTTATCCTGAGAATGCAAGCTGGCTTAATAATAAAAAAAAAAATCAACCAATGTAATTTACCATATTAATAATCTAAAGAAAGAAAAAAAATTAACATATCAATTGATGCAGAAAAAATTGGACAAAACTCAATATTCATTTATGATGAAAGTTCTCAGCACACTAGAAATAGAAGGGAACTTTCTTGATCCAATAAGAAGTATCTACCAAAAACCTGTAACATACTTAATGATGAAAAACTGCATGCTTTCTCATTAAGCTATGAAACAAAACTAAAATGTTCATCCTCCCCAGTCCTATTCAACATCATGTCATAACCAGCACAGTAAGATAAAAAAAATTTTTAAAGGCATGTGGGGCTCGGCTCGGTGGCTCATGCCTGTAATCCCAGCACTTTGGGAGCCTGAGGTGGGTGGATCATCTGAGGTCAGGAGTTCGAGACCAACCTGGCCAACATGGTGAAACCCCCACATCTACTAAAAATACAAAAATTAGTCGGGCGTGGTGGCAGATGCCTGTAGTCTCACCTACTTGGGAGTAGGCAGGAGAATTGCTTGAACCTGGGAGGCAGAGGTTGCAGTGAGCTGAGATTGCACCACTGCACTCCAGCCTGGGTGACAGAGCAAGACTCTGTCTCAAAAAAGTAATAATAAAATAAAAAATAAAAACCATATGGAATGGAAAGGAAAAAAAGAAAAATTGTTTCTATACACAGAAAACAGTATTGTTTATGTAGAAAATCCACAGGAATCTACCAAGAAATTACTAGAAATAATGAGTGAGTTTAGCTGGGTTGCAGCATACAAGTCAACACACAAAAATCAATTGTATTTCTATATATTAACAACTAGAAACCAAAAATTTAAAAAATACTACTTACAGCAGCTGCAAAACAAAGGAAATATTTAGGTATAAATCTAACAACACATGTCTAGAATCTATATGCTAAAAATTCCAAAACACTGAAAGAAATCAAAGAATACCTAAATAAATGAAGAGATAACCCATGTTCATGGATTGAAAGACTCAGCAGAGTGAAGATAGCAAGTCTTACGATTGATTTGTAGGCTTAATGAAATTCAAGTCAAAATCCCAGCAGGATTTTTTGTATGTTTGGACACAGTGATTCTAAAACTTGTATAGAAGGGCAGTGAATCCAGAATGGCCAAAACAATTCTTAAGATGAAGAATAAAGTTGGAAGAATTACTGTACCCAATCTTAAGACTTACTATATAAAGCTTCAGTAATCAAATGTGATATTGGTGACAGGATAGATACACAAGCCATTGGAACACAGTAGAGAATCCAGAAATAGACCCACACAAATACGGCCTATTGATTTTCAACAAAAGTGCGAAAACAATGAAATGGAAAAAGGACGGTCTTTCAACAAATGATGTTGGAATGATTAGACATTCATATGAAAACAAAATGAACCTTGACCTCCATCTCACACCTTTTGCAAGAATTAACTCAAAATGGGTCATGGAGCAAAATATAAAGGTATAAAATTTCAGAAAACACAGGAGAAAATCTTTATGACCTGTAGTTATACAAAGAGTTCTTAGACGTGACACTTAAAAACGTGACCCATAAAAGAAAAAAAAAAAAGTGGTAAATTGTACTTTATTAAAGTTTAAAAACTTTTATTTTGCAAGAAACAAACTATAAACTGGAAGAAAATATTTGCAAATCACATATCTGACAAAGGACTTGTATCCAACTCATTGTATCAGAACTCTCAGACTCATTTGTATGAAGCCAGCCTTACTTAAAATGTAATCTAAAAACCTGAACAAACACTTTACCAAATAATACAAGGATGGCCAATACATTCATGGAAAGATATTCAATATCACTAGAAATTACAGAAATGCAAATTAAAACCACAATGAGATACCATTGCACACTTACTAGAATGGCTAAAATAATGATGATAATGATAATAAATACTGTCAATATGGTGTGCTAATGAGTATGCAGAACAAGAGGAACTCTCATTCATCACTGTGGGAATGCAAAATGGTACAGCTGCTCCGGGAAAGTGTGGCAGCTTCTTATAAAGCTAAACAAACGCATATAACTGAATGATCCCACTCCTAGTTATTTATCTTAAAGAAGTGAAACTTTATGCTCACACAAGAACCCGTGAGTATATCAGCTCTATTTGTAATCACTAAAATTTGAAGACCACTGAAATATTCTTTAACAGTTGAATAGATAAACCTTGATACATCCATGCAATAAAATACTACTCTGCAATAAAAAAGAATTAACTGTTCATATACACAACAACATGGATGACCCTCAAAGGCCCTTTGCCGAGAAAGAGAAACCAATCTCAAAAGGTTTTCTTGCTGTATGATTCCATTTAGGTATTATTCTTGAAAAGATAAAACTGTAGTGATGAGAAACAGATCGGTGGTTGCCAGGGGCTGAGGATGAGAAGAGGATGTGACTATAGAGGAGAAGTATGAGGAATTTTTCCGAGGTGATAGAACTCTTCTGTATTCTGATTGTGTGATGGTTACGTGAATCTATACATGCATTAAAATGTATAAATTTTTTCACAAAACTGTGCACCAAAAAGTCAATTTTACTGCATGTAATTAAACACATAAAATAAATGTTATAGGCAGAAAATAAGCTGATAAAAGACACAAGTACACACAGAGAGAGAGAAGAGAGAGAAAAGAAGGCAATAGTCCAAGATGAAGAGGGAGATGGATAAGAGGAATGCAGAAGAAAGAAGGTTGTCATGTTATGATACTAAAAAGTAATTTAAAACAGTAGACTAAATCAAAGTGTGTAGAAGCAGTAGATAGAGGAGTGCCTACTGCAGAAAATGTAATAAGTAATATGGAAACAAGCTTAAGGAGTGCTCCAATGGGGATGGCAGGGGAAAGGGACAAATAAATAAATATAACCACTAAATAAATGACAGATGTAGAGAACAAATAGCATTTATCCATGGGTAAATGAGTATCAGATACTCCTAGAGAAAAGACCAGAGCAAATGGAAAAGCATCTATACTGTATTCAAAGTAGAGTTCAAGACAAATATATAATATACTATATAAAATGTGTCTTTTATTTATGGTAAGTAAAGTCTGGGGACAAAAAGTAATCATGAACCTAGGGCCAAAATGCATAAAGCAAAAACTTGAAATGAAAGGAGTAATTTACAGAAATACCATAATAGAAGGGCTTTAAAAACACACTTTGTCAGTCTTGGACAGATAAAAGCGGTTAAGAAAATGGATATAGATAATTTAAATAATATAATTAGAGTGAATATAAAATACCTCTCTATCTTGAATCCTGAACCCTTCAATAAAAGAATTACATTTTTTCCCTAGTATTCACAAAATTAGTGATATATTAACTTGTTAAGGAAACCTCATTAAATTCCCTCCAAAATGCCCCCAGAAATTGCTCAGCCCACATTTTCCGATAAAAATAAAACAGAACTAGAAATTAATGACAAAAACATATAATACCAAAGATCAATGGATGAGTGAGATGGAGGTAGGAATCAGATGGGAGCCTCAAGAATTGAAATCTTGAAATTGCTTCTGTAAGGAATGGGAAATTAACTAGGGACACCCAATAGGTTTGACAAGCAGTGTGCGGGACTTTGCTGTGGTTGGAGATCATGGGTATATAGTGGCATGAAGCCCCTATGTGTGACACTTTCCCCTGGGGACACTGTCTAGAGCAAATTTCACTCATGGTTGAGGGTATGCACACAGGATGTTGAAGAGACAGGAAGGTAAGGACATTTAAGCCACTGGTCAGAAGCGATTGAATGGCTTTTCCATATGGGAAGTGGTAGGGAGGAAGTAAAACCGTAGCAATGCACTGATGGACCAGGGGAAAGGAAACAGTTGAGGAACTGGAGGGTTTGATGAAATGAAAAAAAAAAAAAAGCCAGGTAAAGGGAGTAGAGACATAAAAGGATAAACTACCACTGGAGAGTTTAGAGGCTATGCCATATCAGGTGAAACTCCAAATGCCTGGACTGGAGTGGAGAGGAGGTCATAAGAAGAATGGATGATACGTTTGACTTCACGTCGTCTATTATTCTCAGACCTCCTCCAAGATTCATTTGTATGAAAATCACATTGGAGGGATACTCTTTTAGCCCTGGAATTTATCTTGATTGTTACATAATTTGGTCTAAATTCTCTGAAAGGAGAAAGGAAATCAACATTTGTTGAGCCTCTGCCATGTGCCTTACATTCCACTTTGACACTGTTATCCTCTATCATTAGGGTAGTCATATAATTTATTGTTAAAATTTGGACTCTCTTAAGAGTGAGAGGACAACAGTTCTAAATTGAGGTTGCTCTGGGAAAACTGGGATGGATGGTCACCCCCACTATTATCCAAGAGCCCATTTGAGTTGTCTGTGTAGGTTTATGAGAATTTGGGGGTGGGGAGACAAAGGCTCAGAGAAGCCATTTGAGTGAGATCACCCAGTTAGTGAGAGTCATGGCAGAGGTAGAATTGACAACCGTGTCTGCCTGACTCTGAGGTCTAGCCATTGCTAACTTAGTTCCTGATTCACCACGCTAGCTCTCCACCATTGTTTCACTAGCTGTGGCTTGACAGGCTCTCTTCTTGACAGACACCATGACAGTCCCAGCTGGAAGTCTGTCTCAACACAGATAATTAGATGTGTGATAACTGTACCACTGCCAGCAATGATGGGAAGCCAGCTGTTCTAGGAGCCTTTGGGACCACGATGTGCTCGGGAGGACTTTGATGCTGGATGTGGGCTGCCCAAAGACCCCACGTTTGCTGGTTTTGTAATCAGAGCCTATCAGGTGAAGATTATACAGCATGGCCAGTTACAGAGGCTGGGAAGGGGATTCTGAGGGATTTCAGGGCTCATAAAAGCCACAGCATCAGAGAACCTTGGGGTCAGAAACCCCCAGGGTTAGAAGAAGTAATAAGTAAACAGGAATCGATGGGACACAAATCTAGATTGTAGAGCAAAGGGCTAAAGAAGCTTCCAACTTGGGAAGGTATGGCAGGGCAGGGGGGTTCAAGCAAAGGACCAGGTAAACTGTCAGCCACCAACAGATAACTGAAACAGGAGAGGGGCAGGGCAGGACAGTGAAAATAGGTTGATGGATCTGAAATGATTGACCTGTTTAGTCTCTCCCTCCAACCCTGGTTAGGGCATGTGCTGAGGATGTCCAGCTGACCTCAATGAGCTTATCCTGGGTCTGTGTGTTATTCACCACGGAGCTCATTTTCTGGGTTCTATGATGCAAACCAAAAGTTTTTAAGTATCACCCTGCGGATCCAATTACCCTATAAACTCTTTGGAGGAATAGGATGGGGTCTCTGAAAGCCAGGGCAATAGATTCTTGGAAACTGTAAAAGCACAACTGAATTTGTAAATTGTTTTAATAACACAATTAATACAAGAATACATTCTCTTTGTCAGAAATTTAAAATGTGATGGATAAAGCTAAAATCTTTATTCACAACCCTCAAATCAGGTTCCTCTACCTGTTCCTCAGAGGTGGACATTATTTTAAATCAATTTTGGGTATATCTTTTCAGACTCTTTTCTATATATTTACATTCATATATGACCTTGTAGAAAATGCATTTTACTGTACCTTTCTTTTAAATATTTGGAGGGCCTTTAAAATTTTTTTATTCTGACATAATCTCAAAATGACAGAAAATTGCAATAACAGTAAAAGAAATTTCTGTATACACTTTACCTGATGTACTAATTGTTTATATTTTGCTCCATTTGGTTTAGCATTTTCTCTACTAATGTATTTTTATATGTGTGCACATTTTTTTTCTGATCCATCTGAGAGTAAGTTGGGGTCATGGTTTCCACTTATCCTGAAATACTTCAGTTGTATTTCCCAAGAACAAAAATATTCTTAGTACATTTATTCAAATGAGGAAATGCAACATTGACCCAATGCTATTATCTGACAGTTCAGCTCCAGATTTCACTAATTGAACCACTAATGCCTTCACGCTTCTTTCTTAAACAAAGAGGCATTATATTGCCCTCATCTTCTTTTTTCAACGTGCTTCATCTTGCTTTTTTCAACACGTTTCTGCATATAGATAACCCAATGTTATCGGCATGGGCAAAGTGCGTCACAGTATGAATGCGCCATATATTATTTACTGTTTCCCCCATTGGTGGGCACTCAGGTTATTTCCTACTTTTATAATTGCACACATCCTCAGGCTGAATATTAGTGGGTATTACTTTGGATTAATGTTCTTTTATTTTTCCTTAATAAATCCTTCACTGGAATGAATTACTGTTTTGAGGACACACAGTGAGGACAAAGCAAGACTCACAATATTGAGGAAAGTTCCTTCAAAAGGAGTTAAATAAGAGATGCTCCTGATTCACATAATGTGGGATCGGGATATGAAAGCAGCACAATTATTCTGAGTTTTCTGACAGATAATTGTATCTTCTTAGAAAGAAAAAACAATTAAGGAACTTCTTGGTGAAGAACAATTCTTGGAAAAATAGTTAACATGCATGCTATCTTTTTATGGATTCAGTGCTGTCTTAGAGAACTTGGACCAGAATGCAGAGGCCTCGCTTGCTCCAAAGACCCTTAGACAGAAACAGGCAGACCTCACCCTGCACCCAGAGCCCCATGCCCACGGCAAGCAGTGTTCTCTGGACCAGGACACGCTTCTCCTGTACTCTTTGCAAACTTCCACCAGTGGGGACGTTTGCTATTTCTGCTCTGTGTGAAGCATTTGGTACCATCTGGGCTGGCTGAGTTTCAACAAAGATAGTAAAGAAACATTTATCAAGAAAAATCAAAGTCGGTCTCGCCAAGTGTGGTCTAGAGAGATTTGCTTCCGCGATACATATGCGGCTCTCTTGCTGCTGGGAAACACGACTCAACTTTGAAACACTTCAGGAGGGACAGCCCTTTGGATCTTAGCCTGCAGCTACTGTCAACTGCTCATGATAGATGGTTTTAGTAGCCAGAGCTCTTGGAGATGTGAATGCCAGCAGTCTCAGGATGCATTCCACAGCATTCCGTTGCACAGAAAGTTTTGGCCCCTTTGGTAGAGAATAAGCTCAAAAGGACAAAAGTAGAAGAAAGGACCTATAAAGGTGAGGGAAGAGTCATGCCTCAGTGAGTAATGTTTGGCTCTGCAATGATTAGATTCCCAAGAAAAGGTCATTCTTGGCTGCACACAGTGGCTCACACCTGTAATCCCAGCACTTTGGGAGGCCGAAGCGGGAGGATCACTCGTGGCCAGGAGTTTGACACCAGCCTGGGTAACATAGTGAGACTCCATCTCTACAAAAATTTTTTAAAAGTTAGCTGGATGTAGTGGCACATGCCTGTAGTCCCAGCTATTCAGGGTGCTGAGGTGGTAGCATCGCTTGATCCTGGGAGATCAAGGCTGCAGTGAGCCGTGATCGCGCCACCGCACTCCAGCGAGACCCTGTGTCAAAAAAAAAAAAAAAAAAAAAAATTGCTCTTAAACCACGAGTCTTGAGATTGACAGCTTCAAAATACAACACTCTTGTCCAGCAAAGAGCACTCTAAAAGAGCTGTAAATTCCTTAAGCTTATGATAGAAGATCTTTTTCCAGTGACTACCCTTGTGGTGTCAGTTCATAAGACTGGGGCGGAGGAGGGGGAGTGGCCTTGCCAGGGAGAAGAAAGATGAGCTGTTTCCTCTTGCCTCTGTGTTACCAATCAACCAGACAGACAAGCTTCTGGCGCATCTGAGTGTCTCAATCCTGTGTGTGTGCAGCTCACTATGTGATAGATGTGTCACTCCAAGATCCCAGCCTAGAAACTGGTACATGTTATTTTCCTTGGAAGGCTCAAGAAATGAAAGTAACAGTTGGATATTATATTCTATGGGGAAAATGCATGGGTATTTTGAGAAATTATTATTCTCCAGAACAATGTTACTTAATGTGTGTCTTATAGACTGGCAGCATCAGCATCACATGGAAATGTTTTAGAAAAGCATATGGACAGGTTTCACTGCAGACTTAGGGAATCAGAATCTATCTGTGGGGGTGGGTGCCAGATACATGTGTCTCATGAGTCCTCTGAGTAATTTTTATGCACACTAAGGTTTAAGAAGCTCTCCTGTGGAAGGGTTCGAGTAAACATCGAATGCATTGTTAAGAAGAAAACCACAAATGGTTCCATTTGATGTCAGTACGTGTGGAAATGGTTAACTCTTCATAATAAAAATAGACAAACAGGCAAGGCATGGTGGCTCACACTTGTAATCCTAGCACTTTGGGAGACCAAGGCTAGAGGATCATTTGCATCCAGGAGTTTGAAACCAGTCTGGGCAACATAGAGAGACCCCCACCTCTACAAAAATTTTTTTAAAAATTAGTTAGGCATAGGTTGGCAAGCACCTGTAGTCCCAGCTACTTGGAAGGCTGAGTTGGGAGGATCACTTGAGCCCGGGAGGTCGAGGCTGCAGTGAACCATGATCATGCCACTGCACTCCAGCCTGGGTGACAGAGTGAGACCTTGTCTCTCTCTCTCTCTCTCTCACACACACACACACAACAAAAACGTAGTGAAAGAGGGCATTGCATATGAATAAGAATAATAATGAAATAGCAGTAATATATAGCAGTTAACATTTATTGAGTATTTTTTAAGTTCCAGGTTCTGTGCTAAACATGTATATTCTTTATCCAATTTTACTCTTGTAACAACCTATTTTATTGATCAAGAAATTGAGGTTCATATGTGTGAAGTAACTGCTTGGTAAGATGCGGACCCTGGGATCTTATAGCCCTGTGTCCATGACACTATATGGTCTGTCTTGGGGACAAGATTAACATTTTATTTTGTCCCCTATATCCCCAGGGCCTAGCAGAATGCTTAGCACTTAGTAGGGACTTGCTTGTTGAACTTAACTGATCAAGGTCAACATCTTGCTTTTGGTGTAAAAATGA
The DNA here is from genome assembly GCF_000001405.40 of Homo sapiens. Lineage (NCBI taxonomy): Eukaryota > Metazoa > Chordata > Mammalia > Primates > Hominidae > Homo > Homo sapiens. The sequence goes on from NC_000016.10 coordinate 24,090,202, forward strand.
GATGCAGCTTGCAAGCTGAGATGGGAGATGAATTCAGCCTGTGGAAAAATAGAAGACACTGCCATGTTGCTGGAGTGCAGAAAAAATGTCAGCACAGAATAAGTTACAGCTTGATCCTGGTAGCCGATTCAATGCTTCTCCCATCTCATTTATTCGGTCTCAACCCCTTACTAGCTGTATCATTTTAGGGAAGTCAGTCTTATTTATTTTCCAGCAATGGTCAGCTGTTTGAGTGTAGGAAAAGGACAGAGTAAGAAAGGACAGGTATTTGAATTTAAGTAGGGCTGGGGTCATGTGAGACAAGTAAAATAAAAAGAAAGAGGGGCAAGGGAGTTGAGGGTCTTTCCAAAGGAGTAGCTAAAATGCACCATAAAATTGAATCTGGATATGAATGGAGTAAAAGCAAGAGGGAATAGGGAGATCAAGAGAATGTGTTGGGTTCGAGGGACTGATTGGTGGAGAATGGACTGACGAATAGGGGAAGATTTATTGCAGTAGAATAATAGAACTAATGAATTGGAAAAATAGAAATTGGTGTAAGATAGTAGGGTACTTGAAACTGAGATTGAGAAAGTGGTATAATTTCTGGGATAATAGGCTCCAGAGCGTGACCATGGTAGGAGATAACTATGATTGGGGGTGAGCAAAGGTTGCAGGAAATGAGGGGGTGCTTTCTCTCCTACTTTCCAATATTCTTTCTTCTAATCTGTTTTTCTTGTTATCTTGAGTTTACAAAATTTCTGGTTTTATTTATGCTGTGGATATTTTTCCAGCCTTTTCCCTATGGGCTGTCTGGGTGCAGGTTATGGGTGATACATGGATAATAGGTGCATCTTGGTTTAGAGGGTAACTCTTTATTTCTTACTGCACTTATGGAACACGAGAAAAAAAAGTATTAAATAATGGCTATGGTAATGGATATCTTTGTCTTATTCCTTACTTTAATGGAATTGCATTTATCATGAACCATGGTGCTGTTATTTCAGATAGCCTTTATCCTGTTAAAATTCTCTGCTGTTTCTAGATAACTACAATGATCTTATGGTTTTCTTCTTTGATCTATAAATATGATGAATATATTGAAAATAGATTTCCTAAGATTGAACCATCTTTGCATTCCTGATAGGAGTCATTATGTATTCACCTTTTAGCAGATAGTTAGAGTCGATTTGGATTGAATGTATTACTGTGGATTGTTCTACTGTAAGTGAGATGATTGACATTGTATCCTTAAGAGCTGTGCAATTCTCATTTTCTAGTCTGCTTCCATTGACTACCTGCATTACTGGTTTCTGAATTGATTCCTAATTAACTACTTCCTGTTTCTCCAAGCTGATGATTTAGTCTCCCTCATCCTTTCTATAGCCAGTTGCATCTTCACTGCTGATTCCCTGCCTCCTTTTCTCCTGTAAGTTCATCTTTTTTTTTTGACGGAGTCTCACTCTGTCGCCCAGGCTGGAGTGCAGTGGCATGATCTTGGCTCACTGCAAGCTCTGCCTCCTGGGTTCATGCCATTCTCCTGCCTGGGCCTCCCAAGTAGGTGGGACCACAGGCACCTGCCACCATGCCTGGCTAATTTTTTTGTATTGTTAGTAGAGACAGGGTTTCACCATGTTAGCCTTATAGCCTCTTTACCTGGGTGTTCTGGAGTCAGGGTGGAGCTGAGCTCTAATGCTGCTGACATTGTTCCAGCCTTCTCTCTATGGGCTGTCTGGGTGCTGGTTATGGGTGATACATGGATAATAGGTGTACCTTGGTTTAGAGGGTAATTCTTCCTTTCTTTAGCTTTTTCTTTTTGAATGGAGGTAAAATTAACGTAACATAAAATTAACCATTAACTGTTTTTAAACGTACAATTCAGTGACATTTATAGAATATTCACAGTGTTGGACAACCATCATCTCTATCTAGTTCTCAGAAATTTTCATCACCTCTAAAAGAAACCCTGTACTCATTAAGCAGTCACTCCCCATTTCCCTTTCCCTCCAGCCTCTGGCAACTATTAATAGTAGTCTACTTTCTGTCTCTATGGATTTACCTGTTTGGGATGTTTCATGTAAATGGAATCATACAATATGTGACCTTTTGTGTTGGGGTACACAAATGTTCATAGCAGCAGTATTCACAACAGCCAAAAAGTGGAAACAACCCAACTATGCATCAACTGCTGAATGGATAAACAAAATGTGGGATATCTATACAATGGAATATTATTCAGTCATGCAAAAAAATGAAGTGCTGATACATGCTATAATGTGGTGAACTTTGAAAACGTTATGCTAAATGAAAGAAGCCAGCCTTTCCTGTGGGCTTTGTGGAAAATAAGCTTAGAAAACTTACAGTTAATCTTGGTATGGGAAGAGCAGTGTAAAAGTCAGAAATCCATTTTTAACCAACACAGACCAGAGTTGACATCTTATCAGCCCATCTCATTTTGTGCACTGCTTCAGCTATGGATGTTAATAAAATTAAATTTCTCACTAAACAAGTGTGATGCCAAAGAACCTTCCACAAGTTCTGCAGCTGTCACTGCTTGGTGCTTAAACATGTTGGACAGTATTAATGCAAAAACTGCTTTTTCTTTTTCAGTAAGAGATGCTAAAAACCTTGTACCTATGGACCCCAATGGCCTGTCAGATCCCTACGTAAAACTGAAACTGATTCCCGATCCCAAAAGTGAGAGCAAACAGAAGACCAAAACCATCAAATGCTCCCTCAACCCTGAGTGGAATGAGACATTTAGATTGTAAGTGGAAATGACTGCAGTGAGCATGGGTGGTGGAGGTTGGGTTATGTGCCACCTGAAATCAGGGAGTTCCTCCTCCCTTAGCTCCTGTTTCCTTCCTTCCCTACCTCCCTCCTTTTCTGTCTTCTCCATCCCTCACTCCTATCTTTCCCTCCCTTCTTTTCCATCTGCAATTTTGTATTGTGAGCCAAGAAAAAAAATTAGAGCTATTTTTTTAATAGAGATGAGAATGCCTGTGGTGTGGGGGAGTGGGTAGGACAGGAAATGGTGTGATGTGTTGCTAAGTGAAGGCAAGTTGTGGGAGAAATGATGGGGCTCAGCAAATAGGGGAACATAACCTACAGGGTGTGGTGACAGCCTCTCTAGAGTTGGGTTTATGGATGATGCTTGGCCTGCAGCCTTCTGGGACATCTCCACCAGCCTCCCTTGAGGGTCTTCCCTGGCCAGGGCTCCAAGAATCTGGGAGTCTCTTTCTTGTACATCTAGGCATCAGGAGTTGGTTATAACAGCCAATTCACTGAGCATATATGATGTGTGACAAACACTGGGTTAAGCGATCCGACTTCATCGGCTCATTTTATTCCCAATGTAGCAATAGGGCTTATAGAGGTTAAAGAGTATGCCCAAAGTCCCATAGCAAATATGGGGTGGAGTGGGATTCAGCTTCTGGCAGTCTGACTTTAGCGGTCATACTTTTTTAGCCACCAGCTAGAAGCACAGTTCCTTGTCCTGTCTCCTCTTCCCTCTCTCAGGGCAAAGCTGGGCCCCTTCTCAGCCTCAGTCAAGGACATGTCTCAGAACAGACAATTTCCCCAGGATTTTTCTCCATGCATTTCCTCAGCCTCATTCTCAACCCACCTGTGTGCAGATATACACATGTACACACCCAATTATGCAATTGATATCTGTATTTCTTATAGGCAATAGGAATTCCTGAATATCCTGAACCCTATTAAGACATAAGATAACAAAAGTAGTTAGAACTGTTCTTGTCATAGCCAGTCTAAGACCTCTGCCTGTTTAAGCCACAGGCTGTCAAACAGAAAAAGCTCTCACTCCCTGGAGAGCTAGCCTGGGATGGAAACTGAATATGTTTCTTTCAGCAGCTTGTAATCTTTAAAACTTTCTACCTCCAGGTCTTGTCCTCTTGTACATTTATTCTGCTTGAGAAATTACTACAACCTCCACTGATGTCTTTTCTTTTTCTCTATGCAGTCAGCTGAAAGAATCGGACAAAGACAGAAGACTGTCAGTAGAGATTTGGGATTGGGATTTGACCAGCAGGAATGACTTCATGGGATCTTTGTCCTTTGGGATTTCTGAACTTCAGAAAGCCAGTGTTGATGGCTGGTAAGTAAGATTTTGCCTTGAAAGCTACCATACAGCTTGCTCCATCAAACGCGGGGTCAAGTATGTTTTCCTTTTTCTCCAAAAATTGAAATACTAAAACAGAGTCCCAAAGTGAAGTCTGGTTGATTGGATCTGCCTTGCAGATATGTTTTGTTTGGTCCTTGTACTAAAAACAAAAAAGAAAGAGGCCAGGCCTCGTGTCTGACACCTGTCATCCCAGCACTCTGGGAGGCCGAGGCAGGTAGATCACTTGAGCTCAGGAGTTTAAGACCAGTCTGGGCAACATGGTGAAACCCCATCTCTATCAAAAACATGAAAAATTAGCTGGGCATGGTGGTGTGTGCCTGTAGTTCCAGCTACTCAGGAGGCTGAGATGGGAGGATCACTTGAACCCTGGAGGCAGAGGTTGCAGTGAGCAAGGTGGTCAGAGATTGAGCCACTGCACTCCAGCCTGGGTGACAGAGTGATAAAAAAGAAAGAGAGAGAGAGAGAAGGAATGAAGGAAGGGAGGGAGGAAGGAAGGAAGGAAGGAAGGAAGGAAGGAAGGAAGGAAGGAAAGGAAGAAAAAGGGAAAGGGAAAGGAAGAAGAAAGAAAGAAGAAAGAAAGACGGAAAGCAGGAAGGAAGGAAGGGAGGAAGGGAAGGAGGGACAGAAGGAGGGAGGGAGGGAATTAGTTCTAGTATTTTAAAAATCTGGGGCTAGAAGGCAACAATTGAGAACAGTTGAATAGTTAATGCCCCCTTTAGACAGGACATGGATTTTCTATTTGTCACCGTCCTCACCACTCCCTATTTTATTACATCTGGGCCAATTTACTAAACTACATGATGAGACTGTAACTGCCCAGTGGCTTCTTTGTGCCTGCTGCCCAGACAGAGCCGATTTATCAAGATGGGAGAATTGCAATAGGGAAAGAGTTTTACACACATAGAGCCAGCTAAATGGGAGAACAGAGTTTTTTTATGACTCAAATCAGCCTCCCTGAAAATTTGGAAGCTAGGGCTTTTCAAAGATAGTTTGGCAAGGAGTAGGGTGGCTAGGGAATGGGTGCTGCTGACTGGTTGGGGATGCAGTAATAGGGGTGTGAAAAATGGTCCTCGTGCACTGAGTCCACTTCTGGGTGGGGCCACAGGACTAGTTGGCAGGTCCAGGTGGGGCAGTCTGGTTGTCAGGAAGGCAAAAGCCTGAAAAGACATCTCAAAAGGCCAATCTCAAGTTCTACAGTAGTGATGTTATCTGTAGGAGTAACTTAGGAAGTTGGAAGTGTTGTGAGCTCTGGGATAAAGGCTGATAATAATCCATGTCTACATCTTAGCAGAATTCAGGCTCCTTTCATTCTCCTAACTTGGCAATATTTCATTAGTTTTACAAAGGCAGTTTAGTTTTGGGAAAGGGCTGTCATAATTTAAAATATACAACAAATTTCTTTCAAAGTTAGGTTGGCGGTCTGGTCGGGGTGGAGCCATTGGTTACGAGAAATGCAAAAAAACCTGAAGAGACATCTCAAAAGGCCAGTCTACAATAGTGATCTTATCTGCGGGGGTCATTGGGAAAGTTGCAAATCTTGTGACCTCTGGAATAATGGCTGGTAATCCTTTATGTCTACACCTTAGCAGAATTCAGGCTCCTCTCATCCTCCTAACCTCATGGTCCCTCATTAGCTTTATGAAGGTAGTTTAGTTTTGGGCAAGGGCTATTATCATTTAAAATGTACACTAGGCCGGGCGCAGTGGCTCACCCCTGTATTCCCAGCACTTTGGGAGGCCGAGGTGGGTGGATCACGAGATCGGGAGATCGAGACCATCCTGGCCAACATGGTGAAACCCTGTCTGTACTAAAAATACAAAAATTAGTTGGGTGTGCTGGCATGTGAGGATCACTTGAACCAGGGAGGCGGAGGTTGCAGTGAGCCGAGATCATGCCACTGCACTCCAGCCTGGGTGACAGAGCAAGACTCCATCTCAAAATAAAATGAAATAAAATAAAATAAACACTAAATTTGTCACAAAGTTAACTTGGCCCGAGCCCAGGAAAGCGTAAGGGCAGTTTGGAGGTTAAAGGCAAGCTGGGGGTTGGTTAGATCAAATCTCTTTCACTGACGTCATCATTTTCTCCCTGTTACAATTTCTGCAAAGACAGTTCCATGACTGGCTCCATGGACACTAGAGTGGCTTGTACACTTCACCTGAAAGATATGAGCAACCCACTGTCAGATGGTGTCTGAGAAGCTACCGCTTCCTTGGGAGTCCTTAGCAAGTCTGGCCACAGATCATAGATGTACTGGGGTGTTGTTTTCATAGTCAGCTGCTGTGTCTCCTTTGTCCTGAAGATTTTATTTTGCTCCCTTCCTATGGCAAAAAAAAAAAAAAATATATATATATATATATATATATATATATATATATATATCCTCCAATGTTACCAACAGAGAGGCTGGGTAAGCCCCCTTGGCAACTGTTTCACAGTTAACTGAGTCAAGGAGTCAGAAGAAATAGCTTAACCTGGCACTATAACTTTGGGAGAAGTGGCAATTGGGCTGCTATTACTTCTTTAAGATAAATTGTCTCATATCTGAATTGTCTCATTCAGGACCTTTTCAGCTTCAAGTGAAAGAAAATAAAAATCAAACTGGTTTAGCGAGAAAGAGATGTGTCCTTTGGACCACACACACATCTTTCCTTTCCATTGTTCACCTTATGACTTCCTTGTCTTGGCTCCATGTTTCATCTTAGGCCTTTTTTTTTTTTTTTTTTTTTTGAGACGGAGTCTTGCTCTGTCACCCAGGCTGGAGTGCAGTGGTGTGATCTCGGCTCACTGCAACCTCTGCCTCCTGGGTTCAAGCAATTCTCCTGCCTCAGCCTCCCGAGTAGCTGGGACTACAGGTGCCCGCCACCACGCCCAGCTAATTTTTTGTAATTTTAGTAGAGATGGGGTTTCACCATGTTAGCCAGGATGATCTCGATCTCCTGACCTTGTGATCTGCCTGCCTTGGCCTCCCAAAGTGCTGGGATTGCAGGTGTGAGCCTCCGTGCCCAGCCTATCTTAGGCTTTTCTTGAAACATATATTGAGTGTCCACTAGGTGCTGGTCACTAGAAACACATGGAGGTATAAGACAGACATGACTTCATGGAGCTTAGCTTATGGCAGAGGGTGGGTTGGGGAGATAAACATTGAACAAGGAATTACGCAAATGACAAATCAATGACAACATGATGGAAGATGTGAAGAAGACAGGAGCTGAGAGTTTTGAACCCAAAAGTATCTGAGACAGATTTCAATCAGTTTAGAAAGTTTATTTTGCCAAGGTTAAGGATGTGCCAGTGACACAGACTCAGGAGATCCTGATGACATGGGCCCAAGGTGGATGGGGTACAACTTGCTTTTATACATTTTAGGGAGACGTAAGACATCAATCAATACATGTGAGATTTACATTGGCTCAATCTGGAAAGGCAGGACAACTAAAAGTGGGACGGGGAGGTGCTTCCGGGTCATAGGTAGATTTTACAATTTTCTGATTGGCAATTGGTTGAATGAGCTGTTATCAATAGAAAGGAATGTCTGGGTTACATAAGGAGTTGTGGAGACCAAAGTTTTATCATGAAGATGAAGCCTCCAGGTAGCAGGCTTCAGAGAGACTAGATGGTAATTGTTTCTTATCAGACTTAAGGTCTGTGTTGATGTTAATGCTGGTTGGCTTTTCCTGAATTCCAAAAGGAAGGGGATATAATGAGACATCGTGTCTGACTCTCCCTTCTCATCATGGCCTGAAACAGTTTTTCAGGTTAACTTTGGAATGCCCTTGGCTGAGAGAAGGGGTCCATTTACATGGCTAGGGGGCTTAGAATTTTATTTTGGTTTACAGAATGTACCCCAAAAGAGTTGTGTTAAAGCACAATTCACAAATGGTTAAAAACATAGTTCTCATAAGATAGATAATGGGCATTAATGGGCATTGGCCAAAGATTTCCTTAGCTCACTAAGGAGAAAAGCAGCAGGATGAATGAATGATTCCACAGAAGGTTTGATAAACTGATGTTCGTGTAGTCAGTAGAAAAAGATATGCTGAAATAACTTTGCTCAGTTAAATATAAAACTGACTGATATACAGGACAATAGAATCATAAGCTTTGGGGTTATCTACTAGAATGAAACAAAAAAAAGATTTTGGCCAGGCATGGCGGCTCACACCTGTAATCCCAACACTTTGGGAGGCTGAGGCGGGCGGATCACCTGAGGTCAGGAGTTTGAGACGAGCCTGGCCAACATAGTGAAACCATGTCTCTACTAAAAATACAAAAATTAGCTGGGCATGGTGGCAGGTGCCTGTATTCCCAGCTACTCGGGAGGCTGAGGCAGAAGAATCGCTTGAACCCAGGAGGCAGAGGTTGCAGTGAGCTGAGATGGTGCCACGGCACTCCAGCCTGGGCAAAGATTTCACCTCAGTTTTCTAAAAGTTAACATGTATCTTTGCAGACTAGGGAGGCCATCTGGGGCTGACCTGATGGTGAATAATAAACTAAACAAAGTAATATTACTGTGAGGAAAGAAATAGCTAATTAGAAAATGCTCTAGCATGACATTAAAAGTTCACACGGTCATCTTTTTGGTTTTCTTTTTCCCCCAAGCTTTGGATATTTTTCCCTAACATGCAAATGACTTGACTTTGCAGGGTGTACATCAGTTACTCACAGTGGATGTTTCATTCTCATTTTAAATCAAACTTAAAGAGGTTAAAGAGAAAGAATGCATGATCCTCAGGGGGTATCAGTGTGACAGGAGGAAACATAATAATAATAATTATAATAACAATAGCTACTACTCATTGACTCTTAATAGATGCCAGGCTCTGGGTTGAGCTTTTCCAGATGTCGTGGAGTCACAATTTTACACAGCACTGATCAGGTGTGCAGAAAAAATAAAGCTTATTTCTTTTCTATAATGGACTTAGACTTTCTCATGCACTTTTGTGAGCTCCTGGTGACCGAGGAGAAGGGACTCTATATGCTGCATGTGGTACTTTCTGAGCTTCACTGTTTCACTTTTCTGACTGGTCACTGTTAACAGCAAAACCCAGCTCTGTAAAATATTTTAAAGAAGTTTATTCTGAGTCAATATAAGTGACTGTGGCCTGGGGAAACACAAACCCAAGAAGCTTTGAATAAGTGGTCCTGAGGTGGTTAGATTACAGTTTGGTTTTACATGTTCTGGGGAGGCAGAAGTTACAGGCAAAGACATAAATCAATACATGGAGATTATACATTGGTTTGGGCCCAAAAGGCAGGATAGCTTTAAATGGGGCTTATGGGTTATAGGAGATTCTTTAATTTGCAGTTGGTTAGAGTAAGACTTTGCTAAAACTTGGAGTTAACAGAAAGAAATATTTTATGTTGGCTGGGCGTGGTGGCTCATGCCTGCAATCCCAGCACTTTGGGAGACCGAGGCAGGTGGATCATTTGAAGTCAGGAGTTCGAGACCAGCCTGGCCCACATGGTGAAACCCCGTCTCTACTAAAAATGCAAAAAAATTAGCAAGTTGTGGTGGCACATGCCTGTAATCTCAGCTACTCTGGAGGCTGACCAGGAGAATTGCTTGACGCAGGAGGCGGAGGTTGCAGTGAGCTGAGATCCCGCCACTACACCCAGCCTGGGTGACAGAGTGAGACTCCATCTCAAAAAAAAAAAAAAAAAAAGAGTGTTTAAGTTGAGGATGCTGTGCAGCAAGATGGCTTGCTTATGGTGCAACTTCACCTTTGCCTGGCCTGGCGTTAGTCCTGTTTATAATCTGATATTTTATTGCCACAAAGAGTCTGTTTTGTCAGTCTTATGATCTCTACTTTAACATTCATGTCAGTCCATTGTTGTATATAAACTCCCAAAGAAAGGAGGCATAACAAGACGTGTCCAATCTCCTTTCTCTCATGGCTGATAATTCTGTTTTTAAGGTTTTTCTTAGATCCTCTTGGCCGAGGAGGGGGTCTGTTCTGTCAGTGGGGGGCCTTAAGATTTTATTTTTAGCCTACGTTCCTAAACCAGCGCCCACTGAAGTGGGACTGGTCCCACCTAGCTTTGGGGCATCATTCTGGCTTTGTGCTGAAGATCCTGGCCTGTTGCTTCTCCTTGTGAGTTCCCTCCATGCAGCACCCTCTCTGTCCCACTCATAGGCCACTGCTGGGCCTGGTTCAGGGAGGCCAGGAACCTGCCTGAGTCCTCCCCCTGAGGAGTCTTTTCTGCTCCTTCTGCTGCTGCTGGAATGATGTTGCCTGGTGCATGGATAGGTCTCTGGCCAGCGTTCCAGCCGAGGAGGAGGGAAACCCACCTCTCCCCACCACCTGTCCTTTCTCCTTCCCAAGGTTCTCCAAGCCCCAAAGGGAGGGGCTTCTCCTACAATCACCCAATGAGTTCATCTAGAGCTGATTCACTGAGACGGCAATATTTTAGCAGAGAAAGAGTTTAATAAACACAGTGCCAGCCAAGCTGAAGGATGGGAGTTTATTACTCAAATCAGCCTCCTCCAAAATTCAAAGACTAGGGTTTTTCAAGGACAGTTTAGTGGTAAGTGGGGGCTAGGGAATGGGGAATGCTGATTGGTGGGTTGAGAGTGAAATCATAGGGGGTCAAAGCTGTCTTCTCATGTTGAGTCAGTTCCTGGGTGAGGATCACAAGACCAGGTAAGCCAGTTTCGTTGTATGGATTCCCAGTCTGGGTTGCACCAGCTGGTCCATCAGAATGCAGGGTCTGGAAAATATTTCAAACACCAATTTTAGGTCTATAATAGTGATTTTATCTATAGGAGCAATTGGGGAGATCCTGAATCTTGTGACCTCTGGCTACATGTCTCTGGAGCCAGAATTCTAACTTTGTGGCTAATATGTTAGTTTTACAAAGGCAGTTTTAGTCCCCAAGCAAGGAGATGGTTAGTTTTGGGAAGGAGCTGTTATCGTCTTTGTTTTAAAGTTAAACGAATGGCCAGGTGTGGTGGCTCATATCTGTAATCCCCGCACTTTGGGAGTGCCAAGGTGGGAGGATTGCTTCAGTTCGGGAGTTAGAGACCAGCTTGGGCAACAATGAGATCCTGTCTCAACAAAAAATTTAGCCAGGCATGGCGGCATGCACCTGTGCTCCCAGCTACTCAGGAGCCTGAGGTGGGAGGATCACTTGGGCCCAGGAGGTTGAGGCTGCAATGAGCTGTGATTGTGTCATCGCACTCCAGCCTAGGCAATGGAGAAAGACCCTGTCTCAAAGTAAATAAAGAAACAAATACAAATAAAAAATGAAGTTGAACTGAAACTAACTTCTTCCCATAGTTAGCTTGGCCTAGGCCCAGGAATGGACAAGGATAGCTTGGAGATTAGAAGCAGATGGAGTTAGTTAGGTCCGATTTCTTACACTGTCATAGCTTTTCTATGTCATATTTCTCTTACTGTCATAATTTTTGCAAAAGTGGTTTAACTCCCACACATGCCATATCCTTCTTCCTGGGCTAGTGCCTGCCTTGTCTACTCCCCTAAGGCTGAGAGCAGGGAAGAAAAAAACGGCTTAAGAATAGGGATAGTGTATCAGGAGTAAGCCCAAAATATTACTGCATTTACACTTAGATGATCATTTAATTCTCCAGTTATTCTAGGTTTCATCATTTCCAAGGCTCAGAATAGTTCAGCAGTGTGTTAGGGATACACAGCTTGTAAGCAACGGTGCTGGGTTCAGGTCCAGATTTCTATGATGCCAGAGCCTAAGCATATACAAATTCCATTCTGCCTCCTGATACAGGGTTAGGTGGAAGGCTAGAGGGTAGACAGCTGGGATTTTATTTCGGCTTTCCTGACTGGATGGATGCTTTGTGACCTCAGGTGAGCCACTTCACCTCTCTGTACTACAGCTTTCACAGCAGATATGCCACCCATCAGATTGATTACAACACCCCCTGTCCTCCATCCACCACTTAGGATAGCTGTGAAGTTGATGACATAATAGTTGGAAGGGAACTTTTCCAAAATAAAAGCCCTCTGCAGATTTTTGCAGATAAAAGTCCTCCTCAGATTTACGGCCAAGACATTTGCGATGCTGTCTTGACTGTAAATGGACCAGATCCTAGACATTTGGATTCTTGCCCCTGGGATTCTTTGAACATTATGTGATCTTGAGCAAGTCTCACACCCTTTCTGAAACTCAGATTCACCATTTAGAAGGGGATGGGCTCCATCAGCTCTTCTGTTGTGCTGTAATTGAAGACCGTGTGGCAGAAACAGCAGATGCAGCTGTGGAAGCTATCAGATGTGGTGCACCAGCCCCAGGCCCCCTGTCTGCCTCTTGGCCAACTGCCCTGTATCTGTTGACAAATCCGCCTCTTTGTTTCTAATTTTGTTTATTTATACTGTCTCCTTTCTTTCCCCTTCATTTTCCAGAGGTTCATCTGTTTTATTTACTTATTTATTTTCTTCAAGGAATTAACTCTGGGATTTGTGTATCAATTTTGTTTGTTTTCTCCTTTTCTGTAGGTTTATTTTGTGTTTGGCTTTGACTTTCAGTTGAACATTTTACTAATTTATTTTTTCTTCTTTCGCCTGACTCTGCTCTTTAAAAATAATGAATAGCTTTTTTGTTTGTTTGTTTTGAGACGGAGTTTTGCTCTGATGCCCAGGCTGGAGTGCAGTGGCACAGTCTCTGCAGGTTCAAGCGACTCTCCTGACTGAGCCTCTTGAGTAGCCAGGATTACAAGTGCCTGCCACCACACCCGGCTAATTTTTGTATTTTTAGTTGAGACAAGGTTTCACCATGTTGGCCAGGCTGGTCTCGAACTCCTGACCTCAGGTCATCCTCTCACTTCGGCCTCCCAAAGTGTTGGGATTACAGGTGTGAACCACCGCACGTGGCCAAAAATAATGAACAAGCATTTAAGGGAATAAATGTTTCCTCTGAGTTTTGATATGCTAACATTCTGGCTTTTGCTACTTCCTTGAGGGCCTGCAGTTGAGGTTTTAGTTTCTTTTCTAACATGCTTTAATTTAGGCATTTTTTTTAACCCCTAGAATTAGATTTTTGTTTAAATTTTTAATATTAATGTTAAGTTACTGTTTTAGTGCTTTCAAGTTAGAGAATATGGCCTGTGCACTTTTCTTTTTCCCTCCTGTTTTCTTTCCTTTCTTTCAGCATAGCTTAGTATTTGTTCAATGTTGTTAAAAGTTCTGTGGACTTGCAAGAAAAAGATTATATTAGCTATTCGTAGAGTATACTTTTTTGTGGAGAAAGAATAAACCTTTTTTCAACTTTTATTTTAGATTCACGGGATACATGTACAAATTTGTTACCTGGGTATATTGCATGATGCTGAGGTTTGGGGTATGAATGATTCCGTCACCCAGGTACTGAGCATAGTACCCAACAGTTAGTTTTTCAATCCTTGTCTTCCCCTCCCCTCTCCCCTCTACAGTTCCTAGTGTCTGTTGTTGTCATCTTTATGTCCATGAGTGTAGGGTATACATTTATTCATTCCAATGTATTATAAGGTCCAGATCTTTTTTTTCTGAGGCGGTGTTTCACTCTTGTTGCCCAGGCTGGAGTGCAACGCCGCGATCTTGGCTCACCATAGCCTCCGCCTTCCGGGTTCAAGCTATTCTCCTGCCTCAGCCTCCTGAATAGCTGGGATTACAGGCATGTGCCACCACGCTCAGCTAATTTTGTATTTTTAGTAGAGATGGGGTTTCTCCATGTTGGTCAGGCTGGTCATGAACTCCCGACCTCAGGTGATCCGCCCGCCTCGGCCTCCCAAAGTGCTGGGATTACAGATGTGAGACACCACGCCCAGCTAAGGTCCAGATCTTTTATACCTTCATATTGTCCTTTTGTTTGCTTGAGCTAAATGTGTAGTGTTTATTAAGTTTCTTCAGGCAAAATGATTCACAAACATTCTTTTTATTTCTAGGGGTTTTTGCCTTATCTGTATATGGCAATATTATTAACCACATAACTCTACAAGTCTTATTATATTGACATGAAGTTATCTTTGTTGCAGCTAATGCGTTTTCTCTATAATTTTACTTTGTTGCTGGCATTCATTCATTCATTCATTGAATATACACAGTGAGCACCTGCTGTGCTGAAGAGACACTAATGAGCAAAACAGACAAGAATCCGTGGCCTCATGGAGTTTTCTTTTTAGTTGAAGAAAAATAAACAACAATTGTAAATGAACAAAAATAAGTAATAAAACATGGCATGTTTGAGGCTGATAAGTGTCATAGAGAAAAGTAAACAAGAAATGGGGACAAGGAATCTTGGGGAGTGGAGACATTCAGATTTTATAGGGAACTCAGGAAAGAACTCACTGAAAAGGTAACATAGAGCAAAGATCTAAAGCAGGTGAGGAGGGAGCTGTGTGGATATCTAGGGAGAGGTTGTCTTAGGCAGCGAGGACGGCAAGCTCAAAGGCCCTGGGGCAGGAGTGCACCCGGCAAGTTGGAAGAGCAGTAAGGAGACTCCTGTAGCTGGAGCTGGATCCATGAGGGGAGAGTGGAGGAGGATTAGGTCTTGGAGGATATGGGGAGAGGGTTGGCGGATCCTGTCGGCCTTGTCAGGACTTTGTCTTCTACTCTGAAGAACACGGGGAGCCAAGGAATTAATGAGATTGAACTGACCTTTGCATATGTCCTCTAGTTGTGGTGTGGTCGATCCCTTTTCCCTAGTAGGTCCTTTCCCATTCTTTTATGTCTAATCTTTCTAAGTCCTTTGGTCTTGTGTAACAAGCGGCACGTTGTTGGATTTTTTTTTTTTTATTTTTGAGACAGAGTCTCACTCTATCGCCCAGGCTGGAGTGCAGTGGCACGATCTCAGCTCACTGCAACCTCTGCCTCCTGGATTCAAGTGATTTTTCTGCCTCAGCCTCCCGAGTAGCAGGGATTACAGGCATGGGCCACCACACCCATCTAATTTTTGTGTTTTTAGTAGAGGTGGGCCTTCACCATGTTGGCCAGGCTGGTCTCGAACTCCTGACCTCATGATCTGCCCACCTTGGCCTCCCAAAGTGGTGCTGGGGTTACAGGCGTGAGCCACCAAGCCTGGCCTTTTTTTCTTTTTTTTTTAAAATTTTACTTTAAGCTCTGGGATACATGAACAGAAAGTGCAGGTTTGTTACATAGGTATACATATGCCAGGTGGTTTGCTGCACCTATCAACCTGTCATCTAGATTTCAAGCCCCGCATGCATTAGGTATTTGTCTTAATGCTCTCCCTCCCCTTGCCCCTCACCCCCTAACAGGCCCCGGTGTGTAATGTTCCCTTCCTTGTGTCCATGTGTTCTCATTGTTCAACTTATGAGTGAGAACATGCAGTGTTTGGTTTTCTGTTTCTGTGTTAGTTTGCTGAGAATGATGGTTTCCAGCTTTATCCATGTCCCTGCAAAGGACATGAACTCATCCTTTTTTATGGCTGCATAGTATTCCATGGTGTATATATGCCACATTTTCTTTATCCAGTCTATCATTGATGGGCATTTGGGTTGGTTCCAAGTCTTTGCTATTGTAGCTAGTGCTGCAATAAACATACATGTGCATGTGTCTTTATAGTAGGATGATTTATAATTCTGAATCTGAAGATCTTTTTTCCACAGGAAAATGTTTTAATGTTTATAGCTATAATTGCCATGTTTCTTATGGTGTTTCTAAAGTTTTCTTTTTCTTTCCTATTTCATTCTTTTTTTTTCATCTCCTTCTAAACAGATAACTATTATCTTAAATCAGTGTTATATTACTTTTTTTTAAAAAAACTTTCTGTTATTATTAATAATCACATTTTGGTCTTATTACAAAAAAAAAGCAAAAAACAAAAAACAAAAAAAACTAATGCTTTGGAATCAGACTTCCCGGGTTAGAATTTCTACTGTACCACTTCCTAGCTGTGTACCCTTGGCAAGTTACTTCGCCTCTCTGTGCTGTGTTTCCTCATTTGGAGATAATAGTCGTAATTATGTCACAGGATTGTTGCAGTATCAAATTAGTTAATATAAGTGAGGTGCCCAATGTCTGCTAAATAGCACTCAGTAAGTGTTAGTCATTATTGTTAATTGAATAATTATTAGAAAAATATAAGAAATTGGAGAATTTCAGAGACCCCAGATTCCCAGTGCCCATAACCACTATTGACCCTATAGAGAGAGAGAGTGAAGCAAAAAATGAAATCTTACTGTGCATACTATTTGGTACCTTGCATTTTTCACCTAAAAATAATCCGCAATAAACATAATTGTGGCAAAACTTTTGTGCCCAGCTTTAATAATTTCCTAATAAATTTCTAAGCCTGGAATTGATGACTTTAAGCATATACACATTATTAAAGGGTTTGCCAAAATGTCCTACAATTTTAAAAATCAATTTACAGTCTTATCAATCTTGTATGAAACTTTTCAGTTTATTAACATTAACATCCAGTGCTATAAATTTCAAAGATATGATACAAAGATTATACACATATTGTATTAGAAATTATGTTGAACATTTTCATTTGCATATTGCCATTTGTTTATATTTATATATGACTATGTCCTTTTGCCTTTTTCTTATTGACTTGTAAGAACTTTTTATATGAGAAGAATATTAATATGTCTTTCCTGACATATGTATGTTGCAACGTTCCTCCTCCTCCTTTTCATGTTGTAAATTAATTTTGGTAATATGCATTTTTCTTATGGTATATAAAGCATTCGGTTCAACTCCAATCTAATATGATAGATATCAAGCCACTTGCCAGAAACATTTCTCAAGTTTTTCTTTTCATTGACTAATTGTTATCTGAATTATCCATGCTGTGTTCACTGTCTCAAATGAATTTTTTAATTCAGTGATTATATTTTTCTTCCGAAAGTAGTCTTTCCCACTCTCGTATTTGTTCCCTTTTCACAGATGCACCAACCTCTTGAATCTCACTGCAAATATGAATTAGGTAGTTTCTAGAATGTTCTCTCTTTTGGCAGCAGTTGTATTTCATGGGAGTTACTTTGATTCTGCATTGTTTCTTTCTATTTAAATGACTAAATTTTTCACACATCCTATTGTGCTTATTTGCCTATCCTTATAGAAGGGTGAGCACAGACATTTCTGTGTCCTTGTTCTAACATTTCATATCTGGATAAAGGGAGACAGGAGTCTTTTGTATTTTTTGGAATTCTGTTTTGTCAGATCAGGAGTCCTGTTCCTGACATTTGGGCGGGGCTACAGTGGAGACAGGTCCATAACAGGCACCCCTCAAGCCAGATGGAGAGCCCATCTTCCTCACGTTGGTTCTGTGCATCTCAAAGTCAGAAGGGGTCCTGCTCCTCTCTGAGGGGGCACACGTGTCCTATTTGGAGGCAGTAGTGGCAGCGTCCTTCACTCACTCTGTGGCGTACTGGCCACCGTGAACACACGCTGTGGCACCATGCCCCTGCCCGCTGCGCCAGGCACTGACATGTCTCCTCTTGCATATGAATGGGAATCGGCAACCCTCACCCGGTCATTGATGGTCTCAGCCGGGGTCATTATTGGGCTCTGTTGGGGCACCTTTTATGGATGACAGCTGGTCAATTCCCCTTTATCTGTATTTTCCCAAGTGTGAGACCCCAAATACTCTAGATGGTTCACAGTCAGGGCATAAATAATATTGAATTGTGCCCCAAGAAAGCAATTATTTTGTCAGTGTTCTTTCAGTTCTTCAAATTATGGCAAAGAGAAAATCTCAGAGGTCTCTGATATATCGTTAACACTCTAACACTTGCTCTTCGCTGATCTCCCATTAAAAAGGGGCAGGGGCAGGCTTTCGATTGAGAGCCTTTAGTAAGCAACACCATCTACTTGCACGTGCATAACCTTGATTTCCTTGATTTCCATTTGTTTATTTTTTTTTCTTTTTTTTTTTATTGGAACATTAATTAGGTTTTATTTTCACTTTTTGTTTCCACAGTAACATGTATGGGATTAGGTTACAGTGTTTATTTGTCCCCAATCTTTTATTTATTTATTTTTTTTATTATTTTTTTTTAATTGATTGACTTTTTATTTTTTATTTTATTTTTTTTTAAATTTATTTATTTATTTATTTATTTTTTATTGATAATTCTTGGGTGTTTCTCACAGAGGGGGATTTGGCAGGGTCATAGGACAATAGTGGAGGGAAGGTCAGCAGCTAAACAAGTGAACAAAGGTCTCTGGTTTTCCTAGGCAGAGGACCCTGCGGCCTTCCGCAGTGTTTGTGTCCCTGGGTACTTGAGATTAGGGAGTGGTGATGACTCTTAACGAGCATGCTGCCTTCAAGCATCTGTTTAACAAAGCACATCTTGCACCGCCCTTAATCCATTCAACCCTGAGTGGACACAGCACATGTTTCAGAGAGCACAGGGTTGGGGGTAAGGTCATAGATCAACAGGATCCCAAGGCAGAAGAATTTTTCTTAGTACAGAACAAAATGAAAAGTCTCCCATGTCTACTTCTTTCTACACAGACACGGCAACCATCCGATTTCTCAATCTTTTCCCCACCTTTCCTGCCTTTCTATTCCACAAAGCCGCCATTGTCATCCTGGCCCGTTCTCAATGAGCTGTTGGGCACACCTCCCAGACGGGGTGGTGGCCGGGCAGAGGGGCTCCTCACTTCCCAGTAGGGGCGGCCGGGCAGAGGCGCCCCTCACTTCCCGGATGGGGGGGCTGGCCGGGCGGGGGACTGACCCCCCCACCTCCCTCCCGGACGGGGCGGCTGGCCGGGCGGGGGGCTGACCCCCCCACCTCTCTCCCAGATGGGGCGGCTGGCCGGGCAGAGGGGCTCCTCACTTCCCAGTAGGGGCGGCCGGGCAGAGGCGCCCCTCACCTCCCGGACGGGGCGGCTGGCCGGGCGGGGGGCTGACCCCCCCACCTCCCTCCCCGACGGGGCGGCTGGCCGGGCAGAGGGGCTCCTCGCTTCCCAGTAGGGGCGGCCGGGCAGAGGCGCCCCTCACCTCCCGGACGGGGCGGCTGGCCGGGCGGGGGGCTGACCCCCCCACCTCCCTCCCGGATGGGGTGGCTGCCGGGCGGAGACGCTCCTCACTTCCCAGACGGGGCGGCTGCTAGGCGGAGGGGCTCCTCACTTCTCAGACGGGGCGGCCGGGCAGAGATGCTCCTCACCTCCCAGACGGGGTTGCGGCCGGGCAGAGGTGCTCCTCACATCCCAGACGGGGCGGCGGGGCAGAGGCGCTCCCCACATCTCAGACGATGGGCGGCCGGGCAGAGACGCTCCTCACTTCCTAGATGTGATGGCCGCCCGGCAGAGGTGCTCCTCACTTCCTAGGTGGGATGGCGGCCGGGCGGAGACGCTCCTCACTTTCCAGACTGGGCAGCCAGGCAGAGGGGCTCCTCACATCCCAGATGATGGGTGGCCAGGCAGAGATGCTCCTCACTTCCCAGACGGGGTGGCGGCCGGGCAGAGGCTGCAATCTCGGCACTTTGGGAGGCCAAGGCAGGCGGCTGGGAGGTGGAGGTTGTAGCGAGCCGAGATCACGCTACTGCACTCCAGCCTGGGCACCATTGAGCACTGAGTGAACGAGACTCCATCTGCAATCCCGGCACCTCAGGAGGCCGAGGCTGGTGGATCACGTGCGGTTAGGGGCTGGAGACCGGCCTGGCCAACACAGCGAAACCCCGTCTCCACCAAAACCAGTCAGGCGTGGCGGCACGAGTCTGCAATCGCAGGCACTCGGCAGGCTGAGTCAGGAGAGTCAGGCAGGGAGGTTGCAGTGAGCCGAGATGGCAGCAGTACAGTCCAGCTTCGGCTCAGCATGAGAGGGAGACCGTGGAAAGAGAGGGAGAGGGAGACCGTGGGGAGAGGGAGAGGGAGAGGGAGAGGGAGAGGAGGGAGAGGAGGGAGAGGAGGGAGAGGGAGAGGGAGAGGGAGAGGGAGAGAGCGTCCCCAATCTTTTAAGTCTATTTTTTTTTTCTTGAGACGGTGTCTCGCTCTGTTGCCCAGGCTGGAGTGCAGTGGAGCAATCTCGGTTCACTGCAACCTCTGCCTCCCGGGTTCAAGCGATTCTCCTGTCTCAGCCTCCCGAATAGCTGGGACTACGGGCGCGTGCCACCATGCCCACCTAATTTTTTTGTGGTTTTAGTACAGATGGGGTTTCACCATGTTGGCCAGGTTGTCTCGATCTCCTGACCTGGTGATCTGCCCACCTTGGTCTACCAAAGTACTGGGATTACAGGCATAAGCCACCATGCCCAACCTTTTTTTTTTTTTTTTTTTTTTGAGAGACAGGGTCTTGCTTTGTCACCCAGGCTGGAGTGCAGTGGTGCAATAATAGCTCACTGCAGCCTTGACCTTCTGGACTCAAGCGATTCTCCTACCTCAGCCGCTCAAGTAGCTGGGACTACTGGCATGCGCCACCATACCTAGCTAAATTTTTTTAATTTTTTTGTAGAGACAGGGTCTCGCTATGTTGCCCAGGCTGATCTTGGACTCCTGGCCTCAGGTGATCCTCCTTCCTCAGCCTCTCTAAGTGCTAGGATGACAGACATGAGCCACCACGACGACCTGTTTATCTTTTTGTTTGTTTTGTTTTGTTTGTTTTTAACAATTATTTTCTATTTGTAACAAGTGATATTGAATTTCCTTCCAAGGAAGAAATAAAAAGTGTCCTTTAAAATTAAATTTATTATTAAAAAAGTAAAACAGATATTTCAACGCTGATATACAAATCTAGCAAAATCCACAAAGGTAGCATCTGAATGGATAAAGTTAAAGTTTACCCAAAATAGCTCTGTTTTCTTTCTATTACTTTAATTTGTAGGAATCCCTGGAAGTCCCTGCTGTGTGGATAGCACCCTTCTCGATTTCCAGCAAAGATACAGATGCTCTCTTGTTTTTATATTTCTTTTGGTAATTTCCGTGGAATTTTGGAAGAAAATTTGGAATATTAAATGTGGAGGCGTAGAGGCTCAAATTGTCTTCTCTGCTTTGAATCACCTAGCCCATTTTTGGAAGCTGCGTAAGAAGATTCGTGAATGGAGAGAAAACATTGTGATGAAAATTTTAAACTTTGGTTAGGAATGATCTTTGAGAGCGAGGAGTTTTGGGGTCTTTTTTCTTTCCCACTGATTCAAATGCTTTTAGAATGTCCCTTTTCTTTCCTCACACTCATCTCATCCTCTTACTAGATGAAAAAATCTTTGTGGTCAAGAAACAAACTGAAGCCCCCATGTTTATTATTATATTAGTAGTAGCTGGGCATGGTGGGATGTGCCTATAATCTCAGCTACTTGGGATGCTGAGGCAGGAGGATTGCTTGAGCCCAGGAGTTCAAGACTGGCCTGAGCAACATAGCAAGACCCTATCTCTGCCAGAAAAGAAAAAAAAGAAAAAAAAAACAGCCAGGTGTGGTGGGATGTGCTTTTAGTCTCAGCTAGTTGAAAGCTGAGGCCGGAGGATTGTTTGAGCCCAGGAGGTCAAAGCTGCAGTGAGCTATGATTGTGCTGCTGCACTCCAGCCTTGGTGACAGAACAAGGCCCTGTCTCTAAAATAATAATAATGACATTAGTCACAGTAATAATAATCATGATGATGCCACTAATTGAATACTTGCTGAATGCCAAGTGCTGTGCTTATCATTTTACATGCGTCATTACATTTCAATTTCACAAGAATTCTATGAAAAAGGAATTTGTATTCCAATTTATAGATGAGAAAAACAGAGGCCCAGAGAGGCTAACCAGCCTGTCTAAGGTTATGAGATGAGATTTGCACCCAGACATGGTTTGACTCCAGGGCTTGTGCGCTTAACCACTAAGGGATGCCGTTTCTCAAAAAGGCTGACTACAGCACATTTTGGGAAAACTTTTGCAGAGAAAATAGCATCATGAAGTCAAGTCCATGGTCACCTAAATGCAGTTGAGTGCCAGGATGGCAAAGTGGCACCCTATGCACCCTATGTAGGGTGAAAGGTAGAAATGCTGGAAGAGCATGACAAGAGTGTATTTACAGTCAGGCAGTGGGGGTTGCAATTTGGGAGGATAGGGTGAGAAGATCACTTGAGGTCAGGAATTCAAGACTAGTCTGAGAAACATAGCCAACTCCCATCTCTACAAAAAAATTTTTTTTTGTTTAATTAGCTGGGCATGGTGGCACATGCCTATAGTCCCCAGCTACTCAGGAAGCTGAGGCAGGAGGATCGCTTGAACCCAGGAGCTCGAGGCTTCAGTGAGCTGTGATTGCACTATTGCACTCCAGCCTGGGTGACAGAGTGAGACCCTATCTCTAAAAGCAACAACAACAATAACAACAACAACAAGAAATTTACGATGAGGGATCTTCATAGCATTCTTTCAGAATAAGAAACTACTTAATGGACAAAAAGTAGGTAAAAATATACAGTAATTTAACGATATAACTAAGAAAACTGTGTAAGTGTGTATAGAGAGAGAGTGAGAACTTTGCCTCCTATGTACATGTGATATACATTTTTTTTCTGCTGTCCATGGAAGAGTTACAAAAATACATAGTGTACCTGGTAGTGTACCATGCACACTACCCCCACCCAACATACTGAAAAACAAACCAAAACAAACCAAAAAACCCTCAACGTATATTTTTTCAAGTAGAGCTTTATATAGGCCTCCTTTTCATATGCTGATCAATAAAATAATACCGAGTCGAGTCATGAAATGTGTCCCACCCCCTTGTCTCCCTTCAGGTTTAAGTTACTGAGCCAGGAGGAAGGCGAGTACTTCAATGTGCCTGTGCCACCAGAAGGAAGTGAGGCCAATGAAGAACTGCGGCAGAAATTTGAGGTGAGGTTTCTTTTCTTTTTCTCTTCTTTCTTTTTTCTCTTTCTTTTTTCCTTCTTTCCTCCTGCTCCCTCCTCTTTCTTTCTCTTTCTCTCTTATTCTTTTTTCTCTCCTTCCTTACTTCCTTCTTCCTCTCTCTTTTCTTTCCTTCTTTCTCCTTTCTTTCTTTCTTGCTTACTTGCTTGCTTTCTCGCTTTCTTCCTTTCTCTCTTGCTTTCTCTTGCTTGCTTTCTCGCTTTCTTCCTTTCTGTCTTGCTTTCTTTCTTGCTTGCTTTCTTTACCCCCCTTTTCTTTGTTTTTTCCTTCCTTCCTTCCTGCCTTCCTTCCTCTCTCTTTCTCTTTCCCTCTCATTCTTTCTTTTCTTTCTCTCTCTGTCCTTCCTTTGTTTCTTTCTCTCTCCTTCCTTCTTCCTTTCTTCCTTCCTTCCTTTCCTCCCTTCCTTCTTTCCCTCCTTCCTCCCTCCCTCCCCCCTTTCCTTTCTTTCTTCCTCCTTCCTCTCTCTTTTCATTCTTTCTCCCCTTTCTCTCTCTCTTCCTCTCTCTTGTCTCTCTCTTCTTTCTTCATCTCCTTTCTTTCATCAGTGGGAACCAGTTAGGTTTGCTGCTGTGCTGATTTTCCTGTTTATGGCATGGTTTCTACTAAGACTTTTCATGACTCTGAGCCTTTGCAAGGTTGTTTTATCTCCTAGAAAACTCTGATTAATCCTTCAAGACCCCAATTAAATGCCCTTGCCTTATGAAGTTATTCCTGCTTCCCTGTCTGCATTCAGGCTTAGACATTTCTTCAAAAGTGCTCATTCACTGCCCACCATTTTGATGGTGACTTGGACTGGAATGGTAGTCATGGTGAATGAAAGAAGTAGACAGAGGGCCGGGTGCGGTGGCTCACACCTGTAATTCCAGCACTTTGGGAAGCTGAAGCAGGCAGATCACTTGAAGTCAGGAGTTGGACACCAGCCTGGCCAATATGGTTAAACCCAGTCTCTACTAAAAATACAAAAAAATTAGCTAGGCATGGTGGTGCACGCCTGTAATACCAGCTACTCGGAAGGCTGAG
Organism: Homo sapiens; assembly: GCF_000001405.40. Classification (NCBI taxonomy): domain Eukaryota; kingdom Metazoa; phylum Chordata; class Mammalia; order Primates; family Hominidae; genus Homo; species Homo sapiens. The sequence goes on from NC_000016.10 coordinate 24,114,123, forward strand.
GCACAAGAATTTCTCTGGGTGGCAGAGGCTGCAGTGAGCCAAGATTGTGCCACTGCATGATCAGTAATGCTCTGTTGCCCAGGCTGCAGTGCAATGGTGCGATCTCGGCTCACTGCAGCCTGGGCAACAGAGCGAGACTTCATCTCAAAAAAAAAAAAAATAAGTAGACAGAGAAGTGATATATTTTGGAGGCTGAGTCAACTAGGCTTGCTGATGGATGGAATCTGGATTGGCTCTATTGACAGAATGATGCTATATAGTTAACGAATGGAATTGATTGTGCTAATGACTTCATGAAATACCCTGGGGGTAGATCTTCCCAGAGAATAGTTTTATCAAATGGAAAGCCCTTGGCTGTGACCTTGAGTTACATTGCTGGCTCTGCTCCTACCTGAAATAAATCCCTTTCCTTCTACGGGGACAAATAAACACCATTTTCAGCTACCTAAGAGCAGCAGGTGTATAGGACACATCCTTGCTTTACAAAGAAAATGTTTGGGGGAAGATAGGTTTGAATACTTACATTATATGTGCATTGAGTGATTTTAGTAGTTTCCTGAGGAAAAGCACATTATTTTGTTCCCACAAACTCAATACACTGAGTCTGGTGGGAGATGATCAATTCTAGATAAACCATGATGGCCTACTAACTCCCCAAAAATGTATATAATAGCATAGCTAAAATGAAATTAATTTTTATTATTGTTATTCATCAAATAATGACACACACAAATAAAAAAAAAACGTGTAAAGACCATGTAAAGTCCTGGGAAAGAGAGGTCAGGTACCTTGAGAACATGTACAAGAGAAATGTCACGTAGTTTGAGAGAATGGGGAGGTGTCAGGAAGGAAACAGCAATGGAAGTTTACCATGTAAAAAGAGGGGAAAATGTATTCTGTTCTGCAAACAGCATGTGCAAAGGCCCTGTGGTTGGGGGTTATATAGCAGCAATGTGAGACTGAAAGAAGACCAGCCTGGGTAGAGCAGAGAAAGCCAAAGAGAGTCCAAGGAAAGGCTGAGGAAGTAGGCATGAGTCACAGTACGTAGGGCTGTGCTGGCCTTGACAAGGATTTTAGCATTTATCCCAAGAGTATTTATCCCAAGGACTTTAGCATTTATCCCAAGAGTATTTATCCCAAGGATTTTAGCATTTATCCCAAGAGCATTTATCCAAGAGCATTTATCCCAAAAGTATTTATCCCAATGATTTTAGCATTTATCCAAAGAGTATTTATCCCAAGGATTTTAGCATTTATCCCAAGAATATTTATCCCAAGGATTTTAGCATTTATCCCAAGAGCATTTACCCAAGAGCACTTATCCCAAGCGTATTTATCCCAAGGACTTGAGCATTTATCCAAAGAGTATCTATCCCAAGGATTTTAGCATTTATCCCAAGAGCATTTATCCAAGAGCATTTATCCCAAAAGTATTTATCCCGATGATTTTAGCATTTATCCGAAGAGTATTTATCCCAAGGATAGCATTTATCCCAAGAGCATTTACCCAAGAGCATTTTTCCCAAGACTATTTATCCCAAAGATTTTAGCATTTATCCCAAGAGCATTTACCCAAGAGCATTTATCCCAAGGATTTTGTTTTGTTTTGTTTTGTTTTTTTGAGACAGAGTCTTTCTCTGTCACCCAGGCTGGAGTGCACTGGTGAGATCTCGGCTCACTGCAAGCTCCACCTCCTGGGTTCACGCCATTCTCCTGCCTCAGCCTCCCGAGTAGCTGGGACTACAGGTGCCCACCACCACGCCTGCCTAATTTTTTGTATTTTTAGTAGAGATGGGGTTTCACCATGTTAGCCAGGATGGTCTCGATCTCCTGACCTCGTGATCCGTCTGCCTCGGCCTCCCAAGTGCTGGGATTACAGGCGTGATATCCCAAGGATTTTAGCATTTATCCCAAGAGCCCAGTTACCACACGTGGTATATTTCAGTACGTCAGAGTTGGTTGCCTCTGTTTGGTTACGGGGCTTTGAGTTCTAGGGCTCTAAATTGCAGACATGAAAAGGCAGCCATTAGTGAGTGTATTCCTGTTTCTGAGGGCACATCGTACACAGCAAGATAAAGGACAAGTTTGTTTGTTGAAAGAAACAAACTATCAAGTTTGTTCTCCCCTCAACTTGATAGAAATAGCGCTTAGGGGCCAGGCACGGTGGCTCATGCCTATAATCCCAGCACTTTGGGAGGCTGAGGCAGGAGGATTGCTTGAGCCCAGGAGTTCGAGACCAGCCTCAGCAACATAGCGACCCTACCTCTATTATTAAAAAATATATATTTAAAAAAAAATAAAAAAAGAAATAGCACTTACGTATTCCCAAATTCCTTGTCTTGAGCCTATGCCCACCCGACATGCTGGAAGATAGTGATAGTTCTGACCCAGTGGGGTCCTCCCTTCCTGGGAACAAGTGGAACAGACACATTGGCCTTGAGCTTATCAGTCATTCTCCAGTGACCTTGATAACAGAGGCTTGTTCCCAAAGTCTTGGACTCAAGCCCAAGTGAACTGAAAAAAGAACCTTCCCTCCAAGTAGAACTAAAAACTGGATACTGTTTGATAAAAATTAAGACAGGAAGGCAGTCTTTCCAGAGAACACTTTCTGTCTCTTTCCCCCAACTTGCTGATGAAGTGGTATCATTTGCTGCTGTTATAGAAATGTACTATTACGGGTGAAAAACACAAGGCCAGTATTTTCTTGTATATAACCAAGTCTCAGTTTTGCAAAATGATTTTTTTCTGTCCTGGGGCAGCTGGGGTGACATTTCAGAACACCAAGGAAAAGATTTGCTACACAAACAGAGCATTTGTCTGGGCCAGTAATTGGCTTGGAATAGGAGACTGTTTTATCCGCATGCAAGAAATTGTGTCCCTTTCTTTCTAGCAAGAGCCTGCAAATGCTTGTTTATGCCTGAATTATAATCGCTGCATACTGTACTTGTTGATTTAAAAAAATGTTTCCAACAGACCGAAAATTGTTCTCAGGCTCACAGAGGAATTTCAGTTGACCTTGAACATGAGAAATGTAATCCCTGGGCGATAACCAATTAGCACCCGGAATGACTCAGAAATTACTTTCAAGCCTCTTATCTGGAGGAATTCTGAGTGACAGTAAAATCGAGCTGCTAGAATTGGGGTAATAGAATTTCATGGTAGTGTGAGCTTGGCGCAGTTACCACACGTGGTATACTTCAGAACATCAGAGCTGGCTGTTTGCTTAGGGGGCTTTCAGTCGACCGTGGGCTTTGGAAAAGAAGACTCCATTTTGGATGGCGCACAGTGGGATTTCTCAGAGTCTTAAAATTTATTTGTATAACAAAGTGCTTACTGTGTGCCATTTATGATTCTAAGTGCTTTGCAAATATTAACTCAGGTAATTTAATCCTTACAACAACCTAGAATGGTAGGTACTATTATCACGCTATTTTACTTTTACAAATGAAGAAACTGAAGCCCACAGAGGTTTAAGTAACTTTATAAGGTCCCAGAGCCAGTCATTGTCCTGGGTTTGGGTTTTCCCAGAAACAGACTATAAGGATTCAAGTGCAAGTACTTTATTTGAGAGGTGATCCTGGAAGCACCATAAGTTAATAAGGAAGCATTGCCAGAAAAGGTGGGAAACCAGGAAAGTAAGTATTATCAAGCAGACTACTGCTGTGGGCAGCTAGGGTTTAACCCTGCTGGAGAACTCTCAAGTCAGCGCGGAATGCATGCCTCAGAATTTCCCAATCAAGGGACAGGAAGCTGAGGGGTTATCCGTCGGCTCCCCTTCCGTTGCAGGCTAAGGGCTGCTCCCAGGGAAATCCACTCACCCGCACTTTCAATGTGCCCTGTGCGCTGTGCCCGCTCCTATAACCAGAAAATAAGCTACAGGCAAAGAATCACAGGTGTTTGCTGTTAGCAGCCCTAGGTGTAGAGAGCAGCATGCTGGTGGTGTCTTGGAGGAACACCAGCGATTGTACCTGTGCAATGTAGCCTAATGGTTAAGTGTGATTGCTTGAGAGCCAGACTGCCTAGATTTGAATCCCAGTTCTGCCACCTCCTTGCTGAGTGGCTGTAAGCAAGTTGCTTTGTCTCTCTGAGCTTCTGATTCCCTACCTGTAAAATGGGGAATTATAGCACTTCTTACCTCATGAGGTTATGTGAGGATTGAATGAGGTAATGCGTTTAGCAGAGTGTCTCACATGTCATACATATCCAGATGTTAGATGCTAGCATCATGGTGGTTGTTATAATTATTGTCTCCCCCTTCGGGATAAATAAAGCTCAGAACATCCTCTTTCTGGGCTTTGGAAGGGCTGCTTGGAGGTTAGGGAAAATCTACAGGGACTCCTAGCCTACAGAGGTCCCTGCCCCACTGCTGGGTAGCTGGGAGTGCCTGTAGTAGTTCCTTGTAGGGGTGGAGTGGCAGAGGAATCTGCAGTTTTAGCCAGGACAGGCATTCATCATCGGGAGTGGAGCCCAGAGTCTGGCTGCCAGGGCTTCTCCACTGTCCCCTCGTGCTGTCTGGAAGGTGGCTTGGCTCTTTGCTCAGAAATGCTATTTGCTTTCTCTCTTAGCATTGAGTTCTAGGGCTCTAAATCGCAGACATGAAAAGGCAACCATTAGTGTATTCCTGTTTCTGAAAGCACATCCCACACAGCAAGATAAAGGACGAGTTTAATTTGTGCCTCAATTTTAAAATGTTCGCTCTTTGATGCAGTGTGTGCTAGGCATTGTCCCCTTGGAACAATGGGATATTTCAAAGGACAAAGGACAGGGCTCCTGTCCTCTGAAGGCTCACTGAGTAGGGGCCACAAACCCAGGTGTTTTCAGGAGCCAGGCAAACAACAAGAAGGCGAAAGAGCTTGGCATCACCCAGTGTTAGCAGATCCCCTTCTTCAAAAGAAGCTGGGGATCTGGGTTTTCATATCTCCAAATTTTCAACAGTTGGCAACTAATTAAATATTAAAATGACAACAAACTCTGTGCAGACCAGACCAACAGGGTTATCAGACTTCTTTTTTTTTTTTTCCAGGGTTATTAGACTTCTGATCTAGATTCTAGAAGTTAAATTAACATGCCCATGAGAAAAGTTATAAAAGCAAGCTGGGAGGGAGGGAGGAAAGAGGGGTGCCAGCCCCAGATTCAGAGGAGAGAAGGGAGTTTCTAGTGCTGAGGGATGAGGCTGTTAGCTGCTCCTTGAAGGACAAGGAAAAAATCAACCCCTCTTCCCACCCCCCCAAAAAAGTCCTTATCTGTCCACTACGCAAAGTCAAATGAAGAAATCAGGAAGTTTGAGGTCCGTGCTCACGTTTCATGGGGAGTGTGTGCTGGGACCCGCAGGTGGATGGGAAAGTTCCCAGGATGGGAAATGGGAACTGGGGCAGGCAGGACTTGGATCTTCACAGTCTGGAGAATGGAGACTGTGAATCAGATGGGTCCTGAGCCAGGATTCAAAGAAGGCAGGACACATGGTGCTAAGGTGATGGGGCAGCAGGGAGGGGAGTAGGGAAAGTGTTTGGGTCAGGCCAGCTTGGGGGTGATGATTTAGGAGGGTGTGAGGACATAGCCCGAGAAAGGTGAGACGGCTTCTGTCCTACCCTGGCTCTTTTGTTTGCAGTTTCCATTGCAAATAAGATGACCTTGTAGTTTTAACTACCCCCTCGTTGCCTCTACACCCCAAATCTCTGTCTCCAGTCCAGATATCTTTGCTCAAGCCCCAAACCCATGTATACAACTGCTTACTGGGTATTTACACTTGGGTTAAACCTCAACATATCTTACTGCAAAGTAAACTGACCAAGTATATTCACAGCAGCGTTGTTAGTAGGCCGAAAGGGGAAACAACTCAAATGCCTGTACACAGGAGACGGGATAAACATCAACAATGAGTGCCATTCAGCAATACAAAGAGACAAATTACCGATTTATGCAAAAACATGGATGCATTTCAAGAACATTTTGATGAGTGAAAGAAGCCAGGCACAAGAGTACACACTCTACAATGCTGTTCAGATGAAATTCAAGAACAGACAAAACTGACCTATGGGATAGAAACTGGAACAGAGATTGCCTTAGTGGCGGGGGTTGCGGGGGGCGTCGACTGGGAACTTTTGGAGGGTGATGGAAATGTTCCGCGTCTTGTTTGGGGTTTGGGTTACATGGGTGTGCACATTTGTCAAAATCTACAGAACTGTGCACGTGAGATTGGTGCACTTTGCGGTGCCCACCTCAAGTTTCAAAACATGAATAAAGAGAAAATGGCGGATGCTTTGTTAGCCATGGTTCCTATATGGTAACAGTGGAATATGCACCCCATGAGGGAGAAATAAACCTTGAAGTTTTAAGCTGCTGTGGGGAAGAGGGGATCTCAACATGCCTGAAATCACACCGGTCATCTCTGCCCACCCTCTTCCCCACACTTCCAAACTTGCTCCTCCTCCGCTTCTTCTCATCTCAGTGGAAACAACCAGCATCCTGCCAGTTGGTCAGAACAGAGGCTGGGGAGCTGTCCTTCATCTCCAATCTCCCTTCTCCCTTGCCCAATCTGCTACCCATCTGGGGTCAGTCTGTCTCCCAAATAGATCCACTTTGTTCAGTCTACACTGCAGACAACTGAGTCCATCATTTTTTTTTCTTTTAAGACAGGGTCTCCCTTTATCACTCAGGCTGGAGTGCAGTGGTGCAATCATGGCTCACTGCAACCTCCAACTCCTGGGCTCAGGGGATCCTCCCACCTCAGCCTCCCGCGTAGCTGGGACTACAGGCACACACCACCATGCCTGGCTCATCATTTCTCTCCTTGATAATGCAGTGACTTCCTAGTGATCACTCAGCCCACGTGCTGGGGGGTCTCCTCTCCACTCAGAGTGACCTGTTAAATATGTATGGTCATACCATAGCCCTGCTTCAAACCTTTCAAAGGCTGTCTGTCATGCTCATAGTCAGCCTGAATTTCTTAAGGTCCTTTCAACACTTTGTCTGCCTCCTGTGCCATATCTGCCTTGCATTTCATGATCCAGCCAGACGATGTTTCATTCCTTGAATGTGTCTTCCCCTCTGTTCCATAAATGCTGTTCCTGCTGCCAATACCAGTTTATCTACTTCAGCAACCCCAACATACCTTTTGGACACAGTATGGAGGACCCAATCCCAGCTAGAATGCACGTTTTTTCAGAGTATCTGTATCCATTTTGCCCTCTGATGTATCCTCAGCACCTAGAGGAGCACTTAGCATGTAGCAGGTACTCAACAAGAATTTTTGATTTGTTTGTTGGTTTGTTTATGACAGAGTCTTGCTCTGTTGCCCAGACTGGAGTGCAATACAGTGATCAGAGCTTACTGCAGCTTCCAACTCCTGGGCTTAAGGGATTCTCCTGCCTTAAGCCTCCCAAGTAGCTGGGACTACAGGCCCACTGCCACCATGTCCAGCTAATTAAACTTTTTTTTTGAGATAGGGTCTGGCTGTGTTGCCCAGGCTGGTCTTGAACTCCTGGCCTCAAGCAGTCCTGCCTCAGCCTTCCAAAGCTTTGTGATTACAGGCATCAGCCACCACATCCAGCCTCAATAAATGTTTTTTGAATGAATGAATGAATCTTCCCTGATATTCAAAACTTTGGAAAGATTTATTTTGCCTCTTTATCTTCAAAGCAACCAAATAATGCAACAATAATAATAGCTACCATTCACTGAGCATGTGTTGTGTGCCAGGAATGATACTAAGGACTCTGTGATACATCATTTCATGTCATCATCTCCATGTCTTGAAAAGGTGATGAATGTTTAGGAAGCTTCAATCACCAAATGCAAATTAAGTGCCTTCTCTGTGCCATACTCCTCTAGGTACCAGGGAAACAGTGGAAAGCAAAACAGACAAAATCCTTGCCATTGGGGAGCTTACATTCTGGTATAAGGAGAAAGATGATAAATTGGGAAACAAGTAAATATATGGTTTGTAAGATGGTGACAAGTGTTTTAGAGAAAATCAAGTAAGTAAGGCGGATGGAGATTGCTGAGAGCAATTTTATGTAGGGTGTTCAGGGAAGAGCCCTCTTATCAGAGGTGAGAGAGTTCTGGGGAAAGAGTGCTCTGAGCAGAGGGAACAGCAGGTGCAAAGGCCCTGGGGTAAGAGCATGTTTGGTGCATTCAGAGAGCAGCAAGGAGGCCAGTGCGGAAGTAGAAAGGAGGCTGAAATCAGAGGGGCTCAGTCATCTGTGGCCTTTGGCTTTTACTTTGAGAATAATGGGATGGTATATATATTGGGCAGAGGAATGTTATGACTTAACTGATGTATTCTGGGCCACACAGCTGATTCATGTCAGAGGATTCTACCACGAGGCTTTTTTTTTTTTTTTTTTTAGTGAGAGAGAGATGGGATCTCACTCTGTCACCCAGGCTGGTGGGCAGTGGTGTGATTATAGCTCACAGCAGCCTCTAACTCCTGGGCTAAAGCAGTCCTCCCACCTTGGCCTCCCAGGTAGCTGGGATGACAGGTGCACACCACCTTGCCTGGCTAACTTTCTTTATTTTTGTAGAGACAGGGTCTTGTTATGTTGCCCAGGCTGTTCTCAAACTTCTATCCTCAATCGAATCTCCTGTCTCAGCATCAAAAAGTGTTGGAATTGCAGGTGTGAGCCACTGTGCCCAGCCACACATGAGCTTTTAACTCCACAGTTTTCTCTCTGCTAAACGTGAATCCAGTAACGAAGTCCTGGCAGCTGCAGGTCTCCCACTCATGGCTTCCAGTTTTTGCCTCATTCCAAAGCACCTGCTGCCACTCTGAGCCCCATTCCACAGCTCATGGCAAGGAGTCCCTCTCCCATTGCACTGAGGACACACGTGGCCCTCACTCATCCATTTATGCAACAAATATTTAGTTGGGAACTATACTAGTTGTCAGGAAAACCATGGAGAATGAGAAATATTCCGTGTCCACAACAGTCTCCAATTTATTGGAAGGAAACAAGTGAACAGGCAGTTATCCTCCAGTATTTATGGGAAGAGAAGTGGATGAAGGAAGAAAATCAGAGGAGAACCTAGTGCAGACAGAGAGAATCGATGAGGGCTTCCCTGAGCCATGAAAATGTGAACCCCAAGCTGGGTTGCTGAAGGGGAGAGAATAGCCATTTGTACCACAGTAGCAGCAGCAGGTGCAAAGGCCCTGTGGTTGGAGGGGCCTGGGACATCCAGGGGAGTGAAAGGAGAATGAAGCTACATTGCAGAGAAGAAGCACCCTAGCAATGATGGAGCTGGAAAGCCAGGTAGGGCCTAAACACACAAGTCCATGAAAGCACCTCGATCTTTACCCTGAAAATGATGGGATGCCACTGAGACATTTTAAGCAGGAGGGGACTTGGTTGGATGAGAGGCTCACTGTGGTTGTGTGTGAAACCCAGTGTAAGGGAAATCACTGTGCCTTGTGCAGGTGAGAGATGATGGCAGGTAGTGATGGTTGAGATGGAAAGAAGTAGATGAATTCTAGAGACAGCTGGGAGGAAAGAAATGACAGTTCTGGTTATGGTTGAGACATGAGGGATAAAAGAAAGATGGAGTTGCAAAGGATGTCCGACAGGTTTCAGGCTTGTGGAGTGATGCATGGCTATGCTTTTCATGGGGACAGGGTGCCGGAGCTGCAGGAACTACAGCTTCCCATTGTGTGCCTGTGCCTTCCTACAAGATCGTCCTCAAACCCTGAGCATGTTTTCTGTGTGCTTCCTTTTTGCAGAGGGCCAAGATCAGTCAGGGAACCAAGGTCCCGGAAGAAAAGACGACCAACACTGTCTCCAAATTTGACAACAATGGCAACAGAGACCGGATGAAACTGACCGATTTTAACTTCCTAATGGTGCTGGGGAAAGGCAGCTTTGGCAAGGTATGGTATGATTTGGTGGCTCCACCTGCTTTGGAAGGAACATCTAACAACACAGGCACATTTGCTGTTCCTATGGGACGGACGTCCTAGTGGGAGAGAGAGTAAGAAGTAAATAGAGCCACACTACACTTTGTAATGAATACCATGAAGGAAATGAATGGAGTGCTGTGTCACAAACAAAAAGGCGACCCTTTCAGTCTGAGGAGGTGACACATATACTGAGACCTGGATGATGAGAAAGAACTAGCTATGCTTTCAAAGAGCTAGGAAAGAATGTTCTCAGAAGAGAGCAAGTGCAAAAGTTCCAAGGTGGGGACAGGCTGGGTGCATCCTAGGAACCATCAGAAGGTGTTGGGGCAAAATGTCACTAGCAGAAGGAGGTATAGGACGTGATGTTGCAGAGATAAGCAGGGCCCAAGGATGCAAACCTTATAAGCTACAATGAGGAGTTTGGGTTTCACTCACAGTGCAGCGGGGAGCCATTGAACCTTTTTAAGCAGATTAGTGACACGATCGGATTTGCCTTTTGGAAAAGATCACTCTGACAGCCAAGAATGGAAACGGTTCCTTTCAAACAGTTGCACAGTGGAAGGATGACCCTGGGACTCATACAGTGTTTCTGGACGCTTTTATAGATACTGCGAGATGCTGTTTTACTGAAGTTGAGATTGTGTTATAAGTATTTCTGACTCATTTAGTGTTGTTTTGGGGTTTTTAGTCTCTTTGCGTGCCACAAAGATGTCTAGCATAAATCTCATACCATGAACTCAGGTGTGCAAAAAATATAAATTTCTTTTCCATCTATGTAACGTAAGCCAAAAACCTGGGAGTTATCCCTGAGCTTCCCTCTTTCCTGTATTCCCACTGTTCCTGGCCACCGCCCCCCACAGCCATGTACAATGCATTGGCGAATTCTGACAGTTCCTTCAAAGTATATCATGTATTCACTAACTTCTCTTCATCTCTCTAATACCACCCAAATCTAATCATTAATATCACCTGGATAACTGCAGAAACTCCTCAGTGGTTTCTCAATCCCAATCTTGTTACCTATAATTAATCCCAATCCCAATCTTTTTTACCTATAATTAATCGTTACCTATAATTAATTGCAATCCCAATCTTGTTACCTATAATTAATCGTTACCTATAATTAATTGCAATCCCAATCTTGTTACCTATAATTAATTTACTTTCTACTTCGTAGCCGTAATAATTTTTTAAAGCTTACATTAGGTCAAGGGGCTCCCCTGCTTAAGACCCTCCAATGACTTTCCATCCAATTAGAAGCAATTCTATGTTACATCCTTAGCTTGTATCACCCTTTATCATCTGGCCCTTGTTCTCTGTGTGACTTCCTTTCTTCTTTCTCCTCCCCATCACCCACTGTGCTCTGGCCACAACATCAGCTCTTGGGTCACTGAAACACACAAAGCTCCTTCCTCCCTTAGAGGCTTTGTGATTCAGCTCCTTTTGCTGTTTGCAAGGCCGGCTGCTTCCTGCAATTCACATCTCAACTTAGACGCCACTTCTTCTGAAAAATCTTCCCCAACTACCCACTGAAAAGTTGCCGCTCATTCACTGTCCATTATGTTTAACTCTCTCATGGCACCCATCACTGAGCAATGCTTTTCTTGTGTCCTTGTTGATTTTTTCTCTCTTCCCTTTCTAAGGTCTAAGCTCCACAAGAGTAGGGATCTTCTCCGTCGTGGTCGCCACTGTGATTTCAGAGCCTAGGGATGGAATTCATTCAGTGCCCAGATTGAATGCGTGGATTCTCTCTGTCTGTGGGTGGCAAGGGCATCCACTGAGATGGACTAAGGGATCTGAAATGATGGCTCAAAGTCTGAAGAGCTTCAGCATGGGATGGGAATAGAGAGTAAGGGCAGCCAGTAAGATGGCCCATCCAGTCCCTAAGGTTGGGAATAGGCAGTTGGCAGTGGTCCACAACGTTGTATGGTTTTTACCAGCAGCTCTGAGTATCCCTGGGGTGGAGATGGAGAAGGAGATGGTGGATTTGAACTAAGCGTGGGATTAGTAGAATCAGTGAACTAGAAGATTATGGAAGAAAGAGAGTTAAGGATTCTGGGAAGAGAGATGTCCACTGCAGATCCACAGAGCCTGTACCAAGTGCTCAAGAAAAGCATGTTGAATACATGAATGAAAATGGTATCTAGATTGGGTTGGGGAAGATGTCTAGCATAAAGAGGGTCATCACCTGGGTGGGAAAAAGGGAGTTTAGAAGTCTAAGGATGAAAAAAAAATAGATGAGGTCAAGATACGTAAAATGTTAGGAAGAATTGAGGCATTGAGATTTCAAACATGGAGCAGTTTCTCTGATGATGAGGAAGAAAGTGGCCTAAATAAAGAAGAGGTTCTAATAAGCTGAGTTTTTACAAATTAAATGAGCACTTTTTTTTTCTTTTTGAGATAGAGTCTCACTCTCTTGTCCAGGCTGGAATGTAGTGGTGCATTACGGTTCACTGCAGCCTCGACATGCTGGACTCAAGCAGTCCAGCTCCTACCCAAGTTCACATCTTTCTCTGACCCCCAAATAACTGCATGCACCACCATGCCTGGCTAATTTTTGTTTTTGTTTTTTTGAATCAGAATCTTACTCTGTTGCCCAGGCTGGAGTGCAATGGCGCCATCTCGGCTCACTGCAACCTCTACCTCCAGGGTTCAAGTGATTCTCCTGCCTCAGTCTCGCGCTCGGCTAATTTTTGTAGTTTTTAATAGAGACAGGGTTTCACCATGTTGACCAGGCTGGTCTTGAACTCCTGACCTCATGTGATCCGTTCGCCTCGGCCTCCTAAAGTGCTGGGATTACAGACATGAGCCACCGCACCTGACCTAATTTTTGTATTTTTTTGTAGAGACATGGTCTCACTATGTTTCCCAGGCTGCTCAAGTACTTATAAGCTCAAGCAATCATCCTGCCGTGGCCTCAGAAAGTGCTAGGATTACAGGTGTGAGCCACCGCACCTGTCCTAAATTATATATATATATGCTTTCTTTTTTCCTTTTTTTTTTTTTTTTTTGAGACGGTGTTTCTCTCTTGTTGCCCAGGCTGGAGTGCAATGGCACAATCTCAGCTCACCGCAACCTCCGCCTCCCAGGTTCAAGTGATTCTCCTGCCTCAGCCTTTTCGAGTGGCTGGCATTACAGGCACGCGCCACCACGCCCAGCTAATTTTCCACTTTTAGTAGAGACGGGGTTTCTCCATGTTGGTCAGGCTGGTCTTGAACTCCTGACCTCAGGTGATCTGCCTGCCTCAGCCTCCCAAAGTGCTGGGATTACAGGTGTGAGCCACCACGCCCGGCCATGATATTCTTAATAAGCAATGCATTCACATGATTCATCATTAAGATTATATTAAAAGGATAAACACTGAGAAGTCCTGCTCCTACCCAAGTTCACGTCTTTCTCTGACCACTTACTGCTACTGCTTTCCCTATGTGAACACTTTTATTCAGTTAATTTGCGTCTTTCCAGTCCCCCTGAGCTAATTTAACATTTTTTATTCTTGTCCTTATTAACTCAAAAGTTCATGTACTACGCCTGTTTTTGATCACTTAACAAAACAGACGAGAGGATGTTTGATGGAGGATTGGAAGTTCTGGAGAGTCCCATGGAAAGGATTGGGGTTGGGGGGTAGTGGGTGGAGTCGTAGGAGAATGAATCACTGGGGAGCAATGAGAGAATAGATCATATGTCTCCATGGAAACTGTTATAATAATTGAGAACTCTGTTCCAGACTGGAGATATAGCATCAGATAAATCATAGATGAAAACAACAGTAAGTCATGAAAGCAAAGTAGAATAACAAACACCTCTATGATCCTTTAAAACAGAGTAATCCTTTGCAACTCTAGTGTTGCCAACTAGGGTTGTAAATTAATGCAGGTTTTATATTTGAATTCCAACTTTGAACATTTTGCAGTCTGGTTAGGTATATAGATCAATCTCCATAAACAGAAGAACACAGCTGCAGTGATTTGCTCTTCCCCTTCGAAAGATGAAAGTGATGGGGCTTTGGGGTAATCTGTTTCCACCTCCCTTAACCCAGGAAAACAAAACAAAACAAAACAAAACATGTTTTTAAACCCTAATGGCCAGGTGCGGTGGTTTGCGCCTGTAATCCCAGCACTTTGGGAGGCCAAGGTGGGCAGATCACAAAGTCAGGAGTTCGAGGCCAGCCTGGCCAATATGGTGAAACCCTGTCTCTACTAAAAATACAAAAATTAGCCGGGCATGGTGGCAGGCGCCTGTATTCCCAGCTACTCAGGAGGCTGAGGCAGGAGAATCGCTTGAACCGAGGAGGCGGAGGTTGCAGTGAGCCGAGATCGTGCCACTGCACTCCAGCCTGGGTGACAGAGCAAGACACTGTCTCAAACAACAACAACAACAACAGCCCCACTAATAATTTGTGGGGCAACTAGGGAATGGCACAAGCCTTTTGGTAAGCCCTGTAAAAATGAAACAAGGCAGGAAGCAATGGTGAAGGACATTGAATTTCAAATGTGTAAGCCCGTTTCAAAATCTTTCAAAAGAAGAAAACTGTGGAGAGTTTGTTTTTTTAAACAGGCAGAAGTGTTTACCTGGAAGGGCTATCTTACCAAAGCAGGGCCTGTTGGCATGGCTGGCTTACTCGGAGGTAGATGCCTTCTAGGACTTTTAATACAGAGCATTCAAACGTGTCATTCACGTTTAAAAATTATTTTATTTCTCAACTTTTATTTTAGATACAGAGGGTACATGCGCAGGTTTGTCACATGGGTATATTGTACCCAGGTAGTGAGCATAGTACCCAATAGGTGGTTTTTCATTTAGTGCTTAATGGTGCTTAGAATTTTATCCTTAACTGTCTGTTTTTATAATGCCTTGAAACTTTGAGTTTTGCCAACGTCTTTCAAGAATTGAACTTTGAATGATTGCTGGAGTCAAAATTATGCTGCATATATATAAATTGGGCAGATTTGTACCGTCCGGATTGATGATACAAGCTTACCTTATAAAGTAAATACAGCAAATACTTGATCAAGTATATACACAGCACAAGGATAACTCTTTATATTATAAACGTGATTCCTCTAACCCTAATGTGCTGCCATAATAAACATGCATTAAATATTTAATGAATGCTAATACTGTGTGTCTTCTGAGATTTCATATGTGCTCATGGTAATGATTTGTATGATCCACGTCTTTAAAAAATAGTATGCAGGAAAGTTTGAATGGAGGCTTTCTTGTTCTCTTATACCCCTGACTCTTGCCTATGGATGGAACTGAGCTAATGTACGTGAGTTGAGATGGGATCAGGGGGTTAGAAAGGAGCTGGGGGAGGCAGCTGGTGTGCTATAGTGGACATAGATCTATAACCATAAAGAAGCTGAAAGAAGCTTCAGCACAGAAGATCTATGTAAAAATGGTATTTACTGGAAAACAGAAATAGCCCAAATGGTATATTCATAATAAATACAAAAAAAAACGAAGTGACTCTCTCCTCTCTCTTTCTGTCCCTCTCTCATGCACGTGCATCTATCTATCTATCTATCTATCTATCCATCTGTCTATCTAATCTATCATCTATCTACCTATCATCTTTCTGTTATCTATCTACCCATCATCTATCTATCATCTATCATCTATATCTATCATCTGTTTATCATCTATCATCTATTTACCTATTATCTGTCTATCTTATTATCTATCATCTGTCTACGTATCATCAATCAATCAATCATCTATCTGTCGTCATAGAAAGATTTTCATAACATATCAAATAAAAATAAAAGCAAATTATGGAACATTATGATTGGCAATATAAAATGTGTATAGACCAATTCCTTTTATGTAATATACTCATGGTCCCTGCTTTCATTAAACTTTTTCTTCAACATTTCATTATGAAAATTTAAAAAATGGAAAAGTTGAAATGATTGCATAATGAACATCTATAACACCCACCACCTGGATTCCACAAGTAACATTTGACTGTATTTGCTTTATCATGTATCCATCTGTCTATCCGTCCATCAACGCTTTTTTAATGCATTTCAAAGCAAGTTGCAGACATCCATACACTTTACATTTGCAGATAACTGCAAATGCACTTTACATTCAGCATGTATACCATTTAACCAGAATTCAATATTTGCAATGATTATTTTAAAGGTAAAATTACACACACTGAAATGCAGCTATCTTAAGTATATCATTCTATGAGTTTTGAAAAACGCATAGTTTTTAAAATGCAGTGGAGGTATACACATTCATTTAAAAAATCACACAGGCATGAAAGCAACTGTGATGTTTAGTATGTTCCATGGGCACCTGCGGGAGTGGGATTTGCCCTGGTTGAAGCCAGAGAAGTCTTCTGTGAGAAAGTGGCTCGAGCTATAGCTAAAGGACGAGTTAAGTTAACTATGCAAAGAGGGGAAATAGTAAATGAAAATCTCAGAATGTCTCTTTGTTCCTGGCCCCCACCCCCAAAATAGGCTTGGTTAATCTGTGTGGCTGACAGGGCACCTAAACTTTTATTAGGGTAGATTCATCTGCTGTAACAAATAGACCCCCAAATATATACTGGCTCAGACACAATAGAAGTTTAAAATTTTCATTAAACTTCTAAGTTTAAGACGTTTAAGACAGGCGCGCCTGGCCACACCCACTCTCTCCATATGGTGATTGGGGACAAGGTGTCTTTCGTCCTGTATGGCTCCATTAATCCCTAGAGCTTTGTTTTTCTCTGCAGTCAGAGGGTGGAGGAGGCACAAGCTGCTTCTTAAAAGTCTCAGCTTGGGAAGTGGCACCAATCATTTCTGCCTACTCTCTATTAGAGAAAATATAGCCACGTGGCCACACTTCAGTGCAAAGGAGGCCGGGAGAACAATTTGGGTGGATGACACGTCGTCTCAGCCACATTCCCTACTTTTCAGTCCTGGCTGCAATTTTTCACGGTGACACACAAAAGACCTTCTGACTTTTCCCTTTAGAGCTCTTGATGTATCACACTCCACACACAAAAAACTTCAAGTGCCTCTTTTCTGTGACATTTCTTTGTGTTCAAATCATGGAGCACGCCAGGTGTTAGTGGTGACTTTCTTGAAGCTAGCACGAGCCAGGAATAAGTCAAGTAGGAAGAAGTCAGCAGCTTATGAAATTAAAAAGAAAAAGTGAAGTTACTATAGAAACTAGGTGCCCAGGTATCACATTTTTTCTCTTTTAAAAATCCCATCCAGCTCTGTTGCTGTCTATGAATCTAAGATGATCTAAAATCAGAAGCAGAGAGGTGAGAGACAGAACCATTAAGCTTCCCCATCTAGTGCTTGACTTCCCTAAAATAATCCCAGGACACTGAACCAATGACATTAAATGCCTGGGTGTATCACTAAGGAGGCTGTGGAGGGTCTGGTGGTGGCCCCTTCCACTAGGGTACCCCTAGAAACTTGGCATTTGTGTGACACTCTCCAAGATGCTGGCATCAACTTTTGTAGCTCAAAATTCAGACCGTACAACAGAGTTGACTATAGTCTTGGCCAAGTTTTCCAAATATTAGTCATTTATGCACCTGTTATGGGTTTTTCCTTGCCATTACATGCCTCCTTTATTCGATCATATTTTTCTTTAAAGTGACTTTAACTTGACTTCCTTTTCTTCTTCTTAACATTGCCCTAAGCAATAATATATGTGAAATCACAAGTTTGATGTACCAGTTATACATTTATTTTAATGTGTTTGGTTTGATATACCAGTTATATATTTATTTTAATGTGTTTTAGGAAAATATATTAAAAGAAGAGTAATTTTGTTCTTGTACTAGTACCTGAACCACATTTGGTGAAAAACTGTCATAAAATCTTACACTTACACAATGTAAGATTGAGGTGATTTGGCAGCTCGATTACCATGGTATTTCTAAGAATGTAAAGTCTTTTGTTACAATTCGTGTGCGTACCTGGAAGTTACAAAAAGTCTCTGTTCATCCCCCTCCTCCATATCCTTTCCTTCAAATAAGGAATATGCGCAACACTGCCTGTATCCTTAAAAATCTTTCGTGTGATCTTGACCTCCCTCTACCCTCCTTTACTCACTAAATATATCCAGACAGCAAAGCTACTCTTTGGAGATTTTCTACCTTCATTTCCTCCCCACCCACTCCTTCCTTATCCTTTTGTATTATGTCTCCTCCCCTTAGCAACTTTCAGAAACATCTGTCTCCCAGGTTATCAGCAGTCTTGTAACTCATATCTCTCCAGATCTGAGCATGAGGCATCCTGGCTTGCTCAGGGGAGTAGGGCAGGCATGAGGGGAAGGGAACTGGAAATAAGATTGGAATCCATACATTATTCTGGGCAGAAGTCATCACCTTTACAGTAACTTCCCACTGAAAGGCATAACTAAGGATTCATTCATTCAAGAAGTATTTATTGAGCATCTACTATATGCCAGGTACCCTTGTAGGTACAGAGGCAATGTCTATGAACAAAACAAACAAATATATCTGCCTGCCCTCATGAAACTTATATTCTAGTGGTAGTGATGGTGACGACGAAGATGATGATAACACCTAACATTTTTTGGGTCCTTACTATGTGCCAGGCTCTGTTATAAGTGCTTAGTATGTATTCATTAGCTCACACTTACTCTATGATGCAGCTACTGTTGTCCCCATTTTACAGATGAGGAGAGTGAGATGCAGAAAGTTGGAATAACTTGCTGAAGTCACACAGCTAGTAAATGGCATTAAACAGATCAGCTTTGATTTAGATGTGTATGATTTGGGGCTTTTTTTTTTTTTTTTTTTTTCTTCTAGAGACAGGGTCTCACTCTGTCACCCAGGCTGGAGGGCAGTGGTGCAATCATAGCTCACTGCAGCCACGAACTCCTTGGCTCAAGTGATCTGCCTGCCTCAGCCTCCCAAAGTGCTGGCATTACAGGCATGAGCCACTGTGACCAGCTGATTTTGGGATCTTGATTGCTTGAAACTTAACATGTAATTTCCTAGTTTTAACAGCGATTCCGTGGAATGTCACAAACATATTCTAGGAGGTTAGTCATTTTTCCCTCTTATTTTCTCATCTTTCCCTCTAAGTGCTAAGCAGAGTTTATGGCCAGGTGCAGTGGCTCACACCTTTAATCTCAGTGCTTTGGGAGGCCAAGGCAGGAGGATCACTTGAACCCAGGAGATGGAGCAACAAAGGGAGACCCCATCTCTATAAAAGCAAAAAACAAAAAAAAATTGCATGCCTTATTTTCAGTGTAAGTTGCTGCCATTAGACAAACCACATACTCCTAGTGATGGAGGGCTCTGGGTTTTCTGTTCATCCTCATCACTCTGTGCTTATTGGCTACCTGTCCATGTGTAAATAACACATGTGCCCTGTGCTCATTGGAACCGTGAGTCATCCGCAGGGATTCCTAAGAGGGCCCATGAGAATGGCTTTCACTCCTCCAGCCTCTGCCCTTCTGACCTCCTCCACAGGCTTCAGCCTTATGGGAGTCCCCAAGTCTTGGAAGCATCTCTAGTGAGTGCAGTGACTCCTTAGCTGGTTCCTTTTCAACCTTCAACCTCCATTTTCTTAACCCTTACCAACTCTACTGCCCAGCTGCACCCACTCCAATTCCACTCACACCCTGCCCATTATCGCCAACGTTTCTGAGCTCATGCTCATTGACAAGGACCATGCCATGGATTTGCATGCATTATATCATATTAATTCACACCATAATCCTGCAAGGTAGTCACTGATAATCACTCTATTATATCATATAGAAATTGTAAGGCAGAGAGGTTAAGTGACTTCTCCAAGAAGGAGGCGGGACCTTGAAAGCTGGTTTTGTGATTTCAGTTGCCTCTTGCCATCTCTTCTCCACTTTGGGGTCCACACATCTTCCCAAACCCCTAGTTTAAATTTTTTTTTTTTTTTTGACAAGAGTCTCACTCTGTCACCCAGGCTGGAGTGCAGTGACGTGACCATGGTTCGCTGCAGCTTCAACCTCCCAGGCTCAAGCAATCCTCCCATCTCAGTCTCCCAAGTAGCTGGGACTACAGGCACATGCCACCACACCCAGCTAATTTTTTTATTGTTTTTGTAGAGACAGGGTCCCACTTTGTTGCCCAGGCTGGTCTCGAACTCCTGGGCTCAGGGAATCCTCCTGCCTTGACCTCTCAAAGTGCTAGGATTATAGGAGTGAACCACCATGCCCAGTCCAAACCACTACTCTTTCCTCTTCCTTTTTTCCTTTCTTTCTTCCTTCCTTCCCTTTCTCTCTTTTTGACTTTTTTGAAACAGCAGTTACAAAACGATTACAAGAGCTACCTAATGAGGCCAGGTGTGGTGGCTCATGGCTATAATCCCAGAGCCTCTAGAGGCCAAGCCTGGAGGATTGCTTGAGCTCAGGAGTTCAAGACCAGCCCAGCCTGAGCAACATAGCAAGACCTGATCTCTAAAAATGTGTTTAAAAATTAGCCAGACACAGCTGGATGCAGTGGGTCATACCTGTAATTGCAGCACTTTGGGAGGCTGAGGCAGGCAGATCACGAGGTCAGGAGTTTGAGACCAGCCTGGCCAACATAGTGAAACCCCATCTCTACTAAAAATACAAATAAAAATTAGCCGGGCGTGGTGGCGCATGCCTGTAATCCCAGCTACTCAAGAGGCTGAGGCAGGAGAATCACCTGAACCTGGGAGTCAGAGGTTGCAGTGAGTCGAGATCATGTCACTGCACTCCAGCCTGGGCGACAGAGCGAGACTCCGTCTCAAAGGAAAAAAAAAAAAGCCAGACACACTGGCACACAGTTGTAGTCCTAGCTACTCTGGAGGCTGGGGCAGGAAGAGAGGTTGAGCCCAGGAGTTCGAGGCTGAAGTGGCTATGATTACACCATTGCACTCCAGCCTGGACAGCAGAGGGACACCCTGTCTCTTATATATTTAGAAAGCTGCATAATGACATTTGTGGGTTTCTCCTTCTTCCATGAAAAAAAAAGCAAAAAATGGTATCTCATGACTGCATTGGTATGAAGACAAATATATTAATATTACATATTAAAACATGTACTTCCACCTAGGTTCACTTTTTTCCTTGTGATTTAAAAAAAAAAATTAAAGTGCCTTATGAACCTTGAAAACAGCATGGGCCCTGAGCACTGTGCCTGGTGGGTTTTGATGGAGAAGTCAGCCCTATGTTCCAGCTCCAGCATCTCAATAGCACCTCCCTCTGCAGCCTCCAAACTTTTCTTCCCAAAGGCCAGGGTGCTTAACTACCATGCTCTGTGAGCATGAGAGAGCATTCCAGAGTTCCAGGCCCCAGACCTCAGTGTCCCTTTTTTTTTTTTTTTTTTTTCCTTTTTGAGACAGAGTCTTGCTCTGTTGCCCAGGCTGGAGTGCAGTGGGGTGATCTTGAGTCACTGCACCTCCCAGGTTCAAGCAATTCTCCTGCCTCAGCCTCCCGAGTGGCTGGGATTACAAACGCCTGCCACCACGCCCAAGTAATTTTTATGTTTTTAATAGAGACAGGGTTTCACCATGTTGGCCAGGCTGGTCTCGAACTCCTGGCCTCAAGTGATCCGCCTGCCTCAGCCTCCCAAAGTGATGGGATTACAGGCTTGAGCCACCACACCTGGCCTCACAGCATCATCTGCTGGAGCCAAGCCCGGCACCAGATTTTAACAGGAAGAAATTGCCTGAGGAGATTAAAAGGCAGCTTAGTTCATGCCAGGAACAAAGGCCTTCTCTAAAGTCTGAGCTTCTGTTGTGGGAGTCTCTACTAATTTTAATCTCATTAGTGGTATGTATTCACACACAGACATATACATACATACATTAGATGTGGTTATATAATCCTACAGACAAAAGCACTTCCCTGTACTTCAGCCTGCTTTGCTATCTTCCTGCACCATATGGTGAGTTCCTTTATCATATGGTTCACAGATAGCTCAAAGTGTTTGCTACCTGTTTCCTTAATCCTCTTCCAGAGAACCTTTTTGACATTTGCTGTCTGATCTTGGATTCCTGCCTTCTCTTTGGTTCTATCGCAATTATGTCACTTCCCTGCCCCCACCAAGCCTTCAACCTTTCCTTCTTTCATATGCAATTCTGATTGCAGCGTGTTTTTTTTTTTTTTTTTGCCAACTCATCTTCCCAGATCCTCGTGAGGCCCTTCTTCCACCTTCCCGAATTTTCCAGGTCTCTCCTCAATGAAGTGACTTACTGCTCTTCCGCAGCCTCTGCCTTCAATTCTCAGAAGGTAGTATGTTACAAGACAAGATAAGGTTCATTTTTCTCAAGAAAATAAATTATATCAAGGAAAATGAAATGTCAGGAATTTAAGTTTTACAACCTTCCATCTGCTGCAAGTAGATTGTCAAGCCAGAGTGAGTAAAGCGGGTATTTGCTGAGAAGACATGGCTTGTTTCTGTGTATCTCAAGACACCCAGAGGCAAGAAGTGCCACCTGAATGAGAGAGCTTCCAGCAGTCTGATAACCATGGCTCCATCTGGGGGGTTGTAGGGGGGCCCCCAGCCTGTCATCCCTGCTTCTCGATGACATCTCTCTGCAGATACGCATCAGCACCACCTCTCTCAGCCTTGTTGATGCTTCTCAAGTCTCCATGTCTAATTCTCACATGTAGAATATCCTAGGAATCTAAAATCCCGGGAAAGAAAAACTGATGGGCCAGTGTGGACCAGGGATCCCTAGGATCCAATTCACTGTGACCGGGGAAGCGGTTACTTTTCCAACCATCCATCAGGAAAGATGACAAGAAAAGCAAATAGGATGTGGGCAGTTTTCCTATGAGAAAGAAGAAAACGACGGGCCTGTCTGGCACACAGGCCAAAGTGGGAGTTTCCTTTAAATGTGTATTATTTTTTATTTTAATTTTTTTATTTTGTTTATTTATTTATTTTTGAGATGGAGTCTCACTCTGTCGCCCAGGCTGGATTGCAGTAGCATGATCTCGGCTCACTGCAACCTCCACCTCCTGGGTTCAAGCGATTCTCCTTCCTCAGCTTCCCGAGTAGCTGGGATTATATGCGCATGCCACCATGCCCGGCTAATTTTTTTTTTTTTTTTGTATTTTTAGTAGAGACGGGGTTTCACCATGTTGGCCAGGCTAGTCTTGAACTCCTGACCTCAAATGATCCATCTGCCTTGGCCTCCCAAAGTGCTGGGATTACAGGTGTGAGCCACTGTGCCTGGCCTTTTATTTTAATTTTTTAGAGACAGCATCTGGCTTTGTTGCCTAGGCTGGAGTGCAGTGGCATGATCTTAGCTCACTGCAGCCCCGAACTCCTGGGCTCAAGCGATCCTCCTGCCTCAGCCTCCCGACTAGCTGGGACTACAAGTGCATGCCATCGTGCCTGGCTCATTTTTGTTTTTTTTCTAGAGATGGGATCTCATTATGTAGACCAGGCTGGTCTTAAACTTCTGGCCACCAGCGATCCTCCTGCCTCAGCCTCCCAAAGCAGTGGGATTACAAGTGTGAGTCACGTCGCTGGGCCCTGTGTTTTCTCTAAAATGTTGCCTGATTCTTTGGGAAAAATATCGCAAAGATAAATCAAGTCCTCTTGTAGAAGGACCAGATAGAGCCCATTAACATGGAAACTCTGTCTCAGGTGATCATTCATGGCTACTGGTCCAATTATTGTGCTATCATGGTACCTGCCATCCTCTGCATATCCATCTCAACTTTATCTCTATGTATTATTTCAGAAATTTACAGTCCTGGTAAAATGAATCCCTGGTTACTAACAGCATAACCCATAATCTTTTCTATAATACAACAAACATAATGGCAGAAATTTGTGGATTGTAATCATCCAACACCCATGATAAATATTTTGGATGTACAAATGTGGATGGTACCTATGATTATTCATGCCGTAGTTGTTTCAAACCCCCACCCCACCCCACAGTTTCACCTTATGTACTGACCTCATTGAACACCACTGCGGAGATTGATAACATTTTTGGAGCACTGGGAACTCATCTGAGTGTTTTATAGGCATTGCTCATTTAATCTTCACCATGGGTCTTGTGAAGTGGGTGCTGTTATTATCTGCATTTTTAAATCTGTAGATAAAGAGACAGAGTCTCTATTTTGCAGATGAGGGAATAGAGGCTCAGAGAGGTGAGAAGCTTGCAGTCCTGAAGCGGTGGAGGCAGGTTCAAACCAGGGAGCCTGGCTGCAGAATGTGTTGCCACTCAGCTCCATAGTCCCCTTGCATCCAGTGCCCCCTACTCCTGCTGTGCTGAAACCCGTTCTCTATTAGCAGTGCTCTGTAACTCCAACAACAAAGGGGGGCAGTGCTTACAAGGCAGATCAGATTATAAACAAGCTTTCTTCCTGCCACCTAATTGTTGCCATGAATGACAGGACTTTAAGGGTTTCATTTCATTCTCTTTCAGTAGAAGCCATCAATTATTAGTTTATTTTCCCAGCAACCATTTAAAAAAGAGTCAAATTAAATCTGCTTTTATTTTAACTATCCAGCTTTGTCAAATATAACATAGGATTCAAAGAAATTTGACTAAGCCATATATGTCACCAATGTTTATTTTATTTATGTATTTTTTTTTGGCATTTCTGTTCTTTTGTGAGTGTGAGTGGTGAGAACACTTGGGATCTCCTCCCTTAGCATATTTCAAGTATATAACACAGTATTATTAACTGAATTACCATGCCATACCTTTTAAATTGCTAGTACTTATTTATCTTGTAACTGAAAGTTTGTACCCTTTAATCAACATCTCCCCATTTTCTCTACTCCCAGCCCCTAGCAACCACCATTCTGCTCTCTGTTTCTTTAAGTTTGACTATTTTAGATTCCACATATGTGAGATCATACAGTATTTGTCTTTTTTTTTTTTTTTTTTTTTTTTTGAGACACAGTCTTGCTCTGTCTCCCAGGCTAGAGTGCAATGGCACAATCTCGGCTCACTGCAACCTCACCTCCCAGGCTCAAGCGATTCTTCTGCCTCAGCCTCCTGAGTAGCTGAGATTACAGGCATGCACCACTATGCCCGGCTAAATTTTATATTTTTAGTAGAGACAGGGTTTCACCATGTTGACCAGGCTGGTCTCAAACCCCTGACCTGAGGTGATCCACCTGTCTCAGCCTCCCCAAGTGCTGGGATTACAGGCGTGAGCCACCGTGCCTGGCCCCAGTATTTGTCTTTTGGTGTCTGGCTTATTTTGCTTAGGATAAGGATAAGGTGCTCCAAGTTCATGAACATTTATTTCAGCTCAAAAGAACCGTTCAGTTACTGGAATTGATCAATATCAATTCTATTGGTAAAAATCAATTCTACTGGTATCAACAATTAGACGACACAGCCCAGAGTGTGAAAATAGTAGTTCTCTCGCATTTCTTGTTACAACCCAATTAGACATTTCTTATTAGACCCAACCACACATCCTCATTTAAATACCAGGGCCAGGTATTTCAGGTTTCAATCTCCTTGTTCCACTCCTCCCCTTTCTAGCAGTCACTGTGAGTCATCCCTTCTAGGGGTGTAGTGACATTTGCTTAACAATAGCAAGTCCACAGAAACCAGAGATGACTGGGCTAAATGCACCTTCATTCTAAACTTCGTTTCACACTTTCATGGCTTTCTCAGCTAGTGGGCAAAAATGCTACTTGATTAAATTACAGGTGTGGCATGGCCTCATTTTAAAAGGTTGAAATCTTAATGCAACCTGTCAATCTGACCTCTGAAATGAAAAATTAGCTTATCTATCACACAGATCCATGCTTTTATCATCTATAAAGAGATTTTTAAATACAGAAAACCTTACGTAATAAATCAAGAAATAGCCAAGTTGTATCATCCGAGTTGATCTATACGCCGGATATCACTGCTCTTCTTTTCATCTGGCCAACGTGAAGACTGTATTCGAAAAGTGCTGCAGTCCTACCTACATCCACACTATTAATTCCCAAGCATCTTCTCCCCATTATATCACTTTCCAGTTTTTCCTGAGGTACGTCTTCACTTGGCAGAGTCTACCCAGTTGCCTTCTCCTAAACAGACTGTTAGAAGTCTGAAATCATTTTTAGACTGCTGGCTTCCTCTTTACTGCTAGAGGCAAGTGCATTTGATTCCTTCAAACCACATGACTTCGCATCAGACTGATGTGGCCACTGTCAAATGTAACATTTAAACATATGTTTGTGTGGACATATGTGTTTGGAACATTTCATCCGAAGTCTGACGCTTAAGAATACACTTTGGAAAATCAGAATTAGGGCCTTCAAGATAAACTAGAATGTGATAGGACATCTTCATTTCTGGTCAAAGTTGGAAGTTTAGGAGAGCCTCAAAAGTGAAGAATTCGCCAACAACCATGGTGAATGCAGTGTACTGAGTTCTTGTAACCACCCGGTGGGATCTTCTTGCCTGCTCCCCAGATAGAGCCGATTTCTCAAGAGGGGAATTATAATAGGGAAAGAGCTTTACACACAAAGACTCAAATCAGCCTCCATGAATATTTGGAGGCTAGAATTTTTCCAAGATAGTTTGGCAGGGAGAGGAGGTGGCTAGGGAATGGGTGCTGCTGATTGGTTGGAGATGCAGTCATAGGGGTGTGGAAAATGGTCCTTATGCTCTGTATCCACTTCTGGGTGGGGTCGCAGGACTGGCTTATGGGTTCACGTCGGGGCTGTCCAGTAGTCAGAAAGGGAAAAGACTGAAAGACATCTCAAAAGGCCAATCTGCAGTTCTACAACAGTGATGTTATCTGTGGGAGTAATTGGGAAAGTTGCAAGTCTTGTGACTTCTGGAATAATGGCTAGTAATCCTTTATGTCTACACCTTAGCCGAATTCAGGCTCCTTTCATCCTCCTAACTTGGCAGTCTTTCATTAGTTTTACAAAGGCAGTTTAGTTTGGGGGAAGGGCTGTTACCATGTAAACTATACACTAAATGTTTCCCAAATTTAGCTTGGCCCAAGTCCAGAAATGACTAAGGGCAGTTTGGAAGTCAAAAGCAAGATGAGGATTGGTTAGATCAGATCTCTTCCACTGTCATCATTTAGTTATAATTTTTGCAAAGGCGATTTCATTCTTTGCTATATGTTAAGCTGTTAACATGCCTTATGTCATGAAATCATCATCATGGCCCTACTAACTCTTGTTAATGGACTCTTGTCTATATTTTACCCTGATATCCAACCTGCTGTGAGACCTCTTGCTTTTGTTTGTTTGTTTTTATTTTTTGTTTTTTGAGACAGAGTCTCCCTCTGTTGCCCAGGCTGGAGTGCAGAGGTGAGATCTCGGGTCACTGCAACGTCCACCTCCCAGGTTCAAGTGATTCTCCTGCCTCAGCCTCCCAAGTAGCTGGGATTGCAAGCATGCACCACCATGCCTGGCTAATTTTTGTATTTTTTAGTAGAGACGGGGTTTCACCATGTTGACAAGGCTGGTCTCGAACTCCTGGTCTCAAGTGATCCACCTGCCTCAGCCTCCCAAAGTGCTGGGATTACAGGCGTGAGCCACTGTGCCCGGCCAAGACCTCCTGTTTGGAATGGCTTTCCCCTCCATTCCAGGCCTCTGGTTATCAGAGATGAGGTAGCTTAAGCCCTTCAGTGCTTAATCCCTGGCCCAGGCAGAAGGAGGGCTTTGGCAAATCCGCATGCTAGAAAAGATGAGTTTGGAAGGGCCTGGAAACCAGGGTACATAGTTCCTTTTCCCTTGAGATTTTAGAAGTTGACAGACGGTTTGCTGGTTTTGTAGGGAAATCCTATCTGCCACAGAGCATGTGGATTACCCAGGGAGGATCCTGGAGGTCACGTGCCCAGTACCACCTCTAAGCACAGACAGTATGACCTTGCCTTTCACTCTGGGCTTTGTGTAAGGATCTCCCAGGACATAGATTTCATAGCGACATTGGTCGATTGCTCTGATTCACTTTCTGCCTTTCTCTTTCTTGCATATGGAGAATGTGGGAAAGAATCCCCTATACACACCCACAGGAGTTAGAACATCCTTCTTATCCTCCATAATCGTGCCTTCAAATTAATAATTATGGCTTGCTGTGTGTTGGGCCCTGAGCTTAACCTGCATTATGTCACTTGATCTCACAACAACCTTCTGAGGGAGAAACTGTCATTATTCCCCTTTTATGGATTGGGGAACTGAGACTCAGAGAGGTTGAGTAACTCAGCCAAGAACACACAGCAAACCATATGATAGAGTCAGGATTTGAGCTCATGATTCCAAAGTCTGAACTTGAACCTTCTATGACTATAATTCTAATTAGATATAAGCTTCCAGATCATCAGACTCTGTCGATGCCATAATCTCTTTCTTACATGGCAGAGATGGTCAGGATACCTGCCACGTGGTAAAGACGTGGATGCAGAAGTTAACCTCCATTTGATTAGCTTCGGTGCACCAAGCTGCACCC
Organism: Homo sapiens; assembly: GCF_000001405.40. Lineage (NCBI taxonomy): Eukaryota > Metazoa > Chordata > Mammalia > Primates > Hominidae > Homo > Homo sapiens. The sequence continues at coordinate 24,142,395 of NC_000016.10, forward strand.
AGGTTTCTCTCGAAATCCTGCTCCTGAGTGGGTGAGTGCCCCGGGAAGAGCAGGTGGTTGGCGTTTGCTCAGTTTTCCAGCCCCTGATCACCCTGATGGCCTCTAGCCAGCTTTTCTCTCTGTCCTCCTCCAGTGAGGGCCAGGCCTGGCACAGGCAGCCTCCCAATGTTTAGAAGGTTCCGATTTAATTGGTCTAGAGTGTGGCCCAAGCATCGGCTTCTAAAACCTCCACAGGGAGTTCTAATATGCAGCAGGGAGAAGCAGCAGCTCAGTGCAGCAGGCAAGGCTCGTCCACGGAAGGGCTGGGGGAAGGAAGGAGATCATATTTGCCTTAAAACTTGGAGTTGAGCTCATCTGACCTACCCTCTGCAGGTCTTCAGGGGGACTGGGAAGAATCCATGCAGGAGATAGCCCCAGAGATCAAGGGGATCCTCAAAGAGATGGGATCTTAAGATAGAGGGAGGGTACACTCCTTGCAACAGATCAGCACCCTGACCCTGTACCCAGCCTCGTCCACAAACCTGCTCCCTAGTGCTGGGCATGGGATACAGAGCTAGGGGTCGTGTGGTCCCCCGGAGGCCTACAGTATATACACATGAGCTGTAACTTGCTTGTCTGTCCCTCCCCAAGTTGACCTCAGTTTATCACACCTTACTGATGCTCTTCTGCCAATTTAGTGTTTGAGGACCCTGTGAGCCCTAAAGGTCTCTTTCTCTTATTTTATTATTTTATTTTATTATTTCATTTATTTATTTTGAGATGGAGTCTCACTCTGTCATCCAGTCTGGTGTGCAGTGGCATGATCTCGGCTCACTGCAACCTCCACCTCCTTGGTTCAAGCGAGTCTCCTGCCTCAGCCTCCCAAGTAGCTGGGATTACAGATGTGCACCACCACACCTGGCTAATTTTTGTACTTTTAGTAGAGACGGGGTTTCACCATGTTGGCCAGGCTGTTCTTGAACTCCTAACCTCAGATGATCCACCTGCCGTGGCCTCCAAGGTGCTGGGACTACAGGCATGAGTCACCGTGCCCGGCCGAGATAGGATCTTAAGACAGAGGGAGGGTATAGTCCTTGCAACAGATGAGTACCCTGATCCTATACCCAGTGTCATCCACAAGCCTGCTCCCTAGCAGGGATGGGAGAGGGAGCTAGGGAGGGAGGGGCATGGGAGAGGGAACTAGGGATCGTGTGATCCCCTGGAGGCCTACAGTATATACACATGAGCTGTAACTTGCTTGTCTGTCCCTCCCCAAGTTGACCTCAGCTCACCACACCTTACTGTGTTGAGGTATAATTTACAGAAGACTCACTTGTTTGTTTCATGTAATCTTGAATGATGCTCTTCTCCCAATTTAGTGTGTGGGGACCTAAGAGCCCTAAAGGTCTCTTTGTCTATTTTAGATGCACCATCTGAATTCAAGTTAGAATCTTTTCCCAATCACTGTTTGTTAGTCAAGCTTGCAGACTGTGACAGTGCTAGATGTTTTGGTCTCTTCTTCCTTGCCTCCTCCTCCTCCTTTTCTGATTCTGTTGCAGGGATGTTATTAAGAACACCATCCACAGCACAGTGTGTTCAAACATCCATGCAAAACATTTCTCTTAGACCTAAGTTCTAGAGAAAGCTTATTTTTCTCCTCAAAAAACGATTTTCATTATAGAAAATATGAATTTTGTTATGTTGCATATATTTCTGATTGCTTTGGTTTCCAGGAAGCAGAAAGAGAAAGTAGGAGAGAGAGAAAGAGAGAGAGAGAAAGAGAGAGACTGAGAAGAAAAGAGGGAGAGAAAAAAAAGAAAAGAGAACGAAGGAGAGAGGGAGATGGCAAAGGAGGGAAAGAGAGAGTATATATCTATAAAGTATATATGCATACATGTACACATACACGTGTATTTACTATATTCTTTTTTTCTTTTTGAGACCGAGTCTCACTCTGTCACCCAGGCTGGAGTGCAGTGGCATGATGATCTCTCGGCTCACTGCAACCTCCACCTCTCGGGTTCAAGTGATACTCCTGCCTCAGCCTCCCAAGTAACTGGGATTACAGGCGTGTGCTATCATGCCCAGCTAATTCTTTTGTATTTTTAGTTGAGACAGGGTTTCACCATGTTGGCCAGGCTGGTCTCGAAATCCTGACCTCAAGTGATCCACCCTCCTTGGCCTCCCAAAGTGCCGGGATTACAGGCATGAGCCACCAAGCCCGGCCACTACATTCATTTTTAACCACCTGTGTTGAGGTATAATTTACAGAAGATTCACTTGTTTGTTTCATGTAATCTTGAATGATCCCTCAAATTCTTTGTGAAATATGAGTTGGATGGAGCCTTATGTAAATTAAACAATGCTGACACCCAAGGAACTGAAGATCTTTAGTGACCTTGATCTGGGAGATTTTTAAAGCAACTTCTCCTACTCATGAAATCCTTTCATTCATTGATTCAACGGATATGTATTGAGTGTCAACTGTGTGCTAGATGTTGGGGACATGACAGTGGGCAGCTCAAAGAAAATGCCTGCCCTCATGGAGCTTCCACTCTTGTGAGGGATAAAAATAAACAGATAGATATTAATATAATGCCCGTGTGGTAAGTGCTGTCAAGAAAAACAAAGGAGGGGAAGGGGATGGAAAGTGACAATGGGGCCTATGAGTTTAGAGAAGGTGGTAGGGAGGGTGTTGGTGACAGGGTCACATTGGAGTGACCTGAACAAGATGAGGGAGCAAACTGTTGAGTGTCCCTAGGGGAAGAGTCATGCAGGCAGGAAGAGCAAAAGGCAGTGATTCTGAGAGGTGAGATTGAGTCCCAAGTACAGTAGGAGGACAGAGGAAAGCCTTAGGAAGGTGGAGTGACATGAACAAACTTAAGTTTCTAAAGCATCGTTCAGGTGTATAGAGAATAGAATGGACCAGGTGCAGTGGTTCATGCCTGTAATCCAGCACTTTGGGAGGCCAAGGTAGGAGGATCTCCTGAGGCCAGGAGTTCCAGACAAGCTGGGGCAACAGAGTGAGACCTAATGTCTACCAAAAAAGAGAGAAAAAGAGAATAGAATGTTTATGAGAGCGAGAAGAGGGGAAGCAGAAAACAGGGTAGGAGACAACTGCAGGAAACCAGGCTAAGGATCAAGGTGGCTCAGATCAGCAAAGAGGTTGAACTTAGTATATATTTTGAATGTAGAGCTGACAAATCTTGTGATTGTACTGGATGAGAGATACAGGAGAGAGGAACTGAGGGTGACTGGATTTGGCTTTGGACTTGTGGCAAGTGTATGTTGAAGTTGAGCAGTTGGGAAGCAAGATCTTGGGTCCCTGGCTGTCTCTGCCCTTGCACACTAGTGTGGCCATTTGCACTGCTCCCTCAGGACAAAGCTCCCGGGCCAGTTGAAAACCGGAGGTTGGTGCTTTGTACAAAGCTCACCATCAGCCCCCTTTGTTGTTTGGTGAAAAGATGATGTTGACGATCACCACTGTAATGGGTAGAATTGTGTCCTCGTAAACAATGTATGTTCAATTTCTAATGAAGGTTGCCTCACTTGGACATAGGGTCTTTGCAGTTATAAGCAAGTTAAGATGTGGTCACTCTGGATTAGGGTGGGCCTGAATCCAATGGCTGGTGTCCTCATAAGAAGAGGGATATTTGGATACCGACAGAACACACAGGGAAGAATACCAGGGGAAGACAGAGGCAGAGATTGGAGTGATGCGCTTAAAAGCCAGGGAGTGCCAACGGTAGCTGGCAGCCAGCAGGACCTAGGAGGGAGGTGTGGATGGAACAGATCCTCCCTCAGAATCTTCAGAAGGAACCAACCCTGCCAGCACCTTGATTTGGGACTTCCAGCCTCCAGAACTCTGAAATAATAAATTCCTTTTGTGTGAAGTCACTCAGGTTTTGGCTCTTCCTTTTGGTCATGCTAGGAAACTAGTAGAACCACCAGGTATTAAATATTTATAATTTGCCATGCACAGTGCTAAGTTAAGGTGTGCACTAAGATACTTTATCCCATAAAACTCTCTCAGCAGCACCAAAAGCAAAGTATTGTTGGCATCTCCATTTTATAAGATGAGGAGAAGATTGAGGTTCAGAAAACAGTGAATTTCTCAAGGTCGTACAGCTTGTATGTGGCAAAACTTGGACACGTACCAGGTTTTCTAACTCTAAAAGTCCATGCCCTAACCATTATGCAACGCTGGGCCACAGTCAGGGGCCGAGATTCCAGGCACGCTTTGCCATTGGGATTCGCCAGTAAAGTTCATCACCACAAACTTTCCAGCCAGGAATCCCTGGGCTACTTTCCTCTGTTTTATTTGCTGTCATCAGAGTTCTGCTATTTATCACATCTCTCCCAGAAGATTCTTGGGGGAACAGATGTGGCTTGGAATTTGATAAGAACGTCACTTCAACACATCCTTTCAGTCTGTTTGGAATCCTCACCCTGGAGAGAGAGGGACAGCTGAACAAACAGCCCACGCCCTCTATGTTGGTATTAAAGTTTCTGGAAGCTCCAGAAACTGCTTGAGACAATTAATAAGAGATCATTTCCATTTAAAGGAACATTTTTGAACGTGGGCATCACCAGCCAGGGCAATGGCTACTTTTCTGCTCTTTTCCTCTCCCATGGCAAAACTTCACAGCATATGGCCGGGCGCGGTGGCTCATGCCTGTAATCCCAGCACTTTGGGAGGCTGAGGCGGGCGGATCACGAGGTCAGGAGATTGAGACCATCCTGGCTAACACGATGAAACCCCGTCTCTACTAAAAATACAAAAAATTAGCCGGGCATCGTGGCGGGCGCCTGTAGTCCCAGCTACTCGGGAGGCTGAGGCAGGAGAATGGAGTGAACTCGGGAGGCGGAGCTTGCAGTGAGCCGAGATCGCACCACTGCACTCCAGCCTGGGCAACAGAGGAGACTCTGTCTCAAAAAAAAAAAAAAAACTTCACAGCATATGTGGAGGCAGAAAGGTCTGCCCAAGCCACTTGATGGAAGCAGGGCCGTGTTTGTCCTGCTTATTGGGCACATCACCAGTGCCTAGCATCATGCCTAGAACAAAATTCCCAATAGAGCTTGTAGACCTGATGGAAGAACTGGAATCGTGACTGCAGCATGAATGCACACCAAGCTCATCTCGCCAAGCAAATGTTAGTGGTTGTATAAGAAATAGAAAAAGGAAATGACTGTTCTCTCTGTGGCTATGTGCAAGGTGGATAGGAAAAGAGGAATAGGACCAGGATCTAAAACTGAATTTAAAATATTCCAGCACTGATTTGCTCACCACTGAACACTTGGCACTTAGGGCTTGATGATGGGTGTGTTTAAGGGCATGGATTTAAGGGACAGGTGACTAGGTGTCACTTCCTAGTGGAATACGGACGAGTCACCTAGCTTTGTTAAGCCCTCCCTTCTTCATCTGTAAAATAGGGATAGCAGCAGTTTCCACCTTACGTATTTACTGTGGGAATTAAATAAGATAATGCATATTGGAAGTAATCAGTGGGCATGTACATGGTTATTGTTATAAAGTCCAAACTGTCCCAACGTTGCCCTTTTTTTCCTTGGCACAAACACTAGGCCTTTGAGTATCACAAATTCTTTGTCCAGCCACCCTACTTGGTGGCTGGATCTCTGTGATTCTATTAGAGACAATTGTCTGCTACATCTCAGAGAGATGGGAGTCAGCATCTGCAATTTGATTTCTGAAGCTTAAGTGCTCATATCCTTATAGGAATCATAGGCCAAGGTTTGTAGATCCAGATCGTTTAATCCTAAGGAAGCACTGTTCTTTTCCCTTTGGCTGAAATATGCCTCCTGTGTCCCCGCCTTGCTAGTCCTATTGATACTTCAGGTGTCAGCTTAACCATCACTTCCCGAAGAGCATCTTTTGCTGACCCACTCAGCGATGTTAAGTCTTCCATTTAAACACTCCAAGAGCAATGTGTACTTCTGTTTCAGGGGTCTCATTATGATTGATGTTAGGTAGTTATTTGTACAGGAGTGTAAGCTTCATGAGGGCAGGAACCTTGTCGTTCTGCATTCCTGGTGCCTATCTCAGTGTCTGACACATCCTAGACCCTAAATTAATGTTAACTGAAAGAATTGTCTAGTCTTCTAGGTGCTGGATAAAACTAGGAAAGTTGATGCATTTGGAAGGCCCAATGAATTCCATCTCTGTTGCCTCTCTCAGTTGAAGCTTTAAACAATATTGTTATTATTGATTGAAAAGAGCATGCATAACCAAACCCAAGGTGGCAGGGACCACTGCTGACCAAGCTGGGTTGCAAATTAAACTGCAGCCATTTTTGATCATGTGGTTACTCTTCTTTTCCCTGATCCTTCTTGAAACACTTATTCTAAAACGAGGGTCAGCAGACTATTGGAACCCAGGCTACTGCTTATTTTTGTAAATAAAGTTTTATTAGACCATAGCCACACTCATTCACTTGATCCAGACCGCCCTGCAAAGCCTATAATATTTCCTGCTTGGCCCTTTATAGAGAAAGAGGGACTTGATAAATCTGTTCTAGTTATCTATTGCTATGTAGCAAGTCATTCCAAAACATAGAAGCTTAAAACAACAGCCATCCTATATTATCTGTCATGGTTTCTGTGGGTCAGGAGATTGGGAATGATCACTGGTTGGTTGTGGCTTGAGGTTTTTCCTGCACTGGCTGGAGCACCTGGGGCTGCCTGGTCATCAAGCTTATCAGGTAGTACCAGGGTTTCTTCATGGGGTCTTGTTCCCTGGTCTAGCATTGTGTCTTGGGGTAGAAAGGAAAGAAACTGACAGAAGCTACAGCCTCAGAAGTCTTGCAGGGTCTCTTCACCACATTCTGTTCATTAAGGCAGCCGCAGTGCCTGCCCAGGTTCAGAGACTCTGGCTCTGATTGGAGGAGTATCAAATATTTGTAGACATGTTTTAAAACCTCTATAAAGTATCACTTCCTTCGTGCTATGGGGACAGCTCTCAAAATGTAACTCCAAGAGAGGACAGAGAGATTTATATCGAAAATGAAAGCTTGATTAGAATATTAAGAAGAAAAGGAAAGTTTTCTCTCATCCTATTAATGACTGCTGAGAAAGTGTTAGGAAAATCAGGATGGAAGGATTCTGTCAGCTTTACCTACTGACATCTCCTAGCCACCTTATTAAATGAATCAATTTTGATAATATCTGGTGATTATAATCAACATAGGAAGAATATGTTTATTAAAATGCAGACTCCCAGGTCACAGCCCAGAGCTCCTGAAGGAGAGGGAGTGCTTGGAATCTATATGGTAAGCAAAGACCCTCAAGTGATTCTGACATAGGCAAGAGGCACTGTCCTTTATAAAGACTGGAATTTGCCTTGTTTTAGGTCACATACTGACATGATGCTACTTGGCTTCATGTATTTTAATTATTAGTAAGAATTTGAGCTACCTATGTAATAATTTTGTTTTAGGGATCTCTAAGATACATAATCCATTCAAAGTAATATAAATAAAAATAACTTTATTGGAGGAACATAAAGGTTTCAAACAGAAAATGGCTAAGCCTCATGAGAGATTGGAAACTGAAAGCAAGGCCTCTGCTTGTTCTCTTACCTTCTTTGTTTTTTTCCCCCTGCCTCAAACATCTATTTTATTCCTCTTTGCCTGCACAGTGGTAGAAAAGGACCACGCTAGGCTGAGTGTGGTGGCTTACGCCTGTAATCCCAGCACTTTGGGAGACCTAGATGGGCGGATCACTGAAGGTCTGGAGTTTGAGAACAGCTGGGGCAACATGGTGAAACCCCATTTCTACTAAAAATACAAAAATTAACCAGGTGTGGTGGTGGACGCCTGTAATCCCAGCTACTTGGGAGGTTGAGGCAAGAGAATTGCTTGAACTCGGGAGGAGGTGAACGAAGATCATGCCACTGCACCCCAGCCTGGGCAACAGGGTGAGAATCTGTCTCAAAAACGAAAAACAGAAAACAAAACAAAACAAAACAAAAAAGGACCACTCTAGGAAGATCTGTGTATTCTCTGTTGAGGGACCCAGGACTGACTCCTCAGAGTACCCTAATTCAAATTCTTGGGAGGGGGAATCCGATTGGCTTGGCTCAGGTTGAGGAACTTACCTCTGATCCAATCAGCTGTGACCAGCTGTATCCACTGCCCAATCAGAAGGTTCTTCTAATAACACAGAGTTGGAAGAAGTGAAAGGCATGCTAGGGTTTTCATTTCCAAATTAAACTGCAGTCATTTTTTATCATGTGGTTACTCTTATTTTCCCTGATCTTCTTGAAACACTTGTTGCAAAACAAGGGTCAGCAAACTATTGGAGCCCAGGCTATTGCTTATTGTTGTAAATAAAGTTTTATTAGACTACGGCCACACTCATTCTCTTGATCCAGACCGTCCCGCAAAGCCTATAATATTTCCTGTTTGGCCCTTTATAGAGAAAGTGTCCTGACTCCTGCTCTAGAATTCAGTTCGCTTCTATGTCTAAATTTTTGCTATGCCTTATGCATGCCCGTTCTGTTTTCCGTTAATCAGTATAGGGCATGTTGTTGAGGGCAGGGCAAGACACTGGGAATCTTCACACACCCCTGTTTATTGATTTTTAAAACTATCTGTACAAATGCAATAGTATCTCCTACGATGCGGAGCACATAGCATTGCTGATTTGCAAGAAGATTTCAACTGCTACTTGAGATTGTTTTAGGTGCCGTGTAGTTGCACTATGAAATAAAATTAAATCACGTTATGATAAGGTTATTTCTGTGTCTCCTTTTACTCTTTCTAATTACTTGAACAAGCAAATCTCATTTGATGACAATATGCTCTCTAACAACTTTCTAATACAATTTTTTCCTTTAACAAGGAGAAGATGCAGAGCCTGACTCAGAACCTTCAGCAGCCAGCAGTATATAGCTAGAATTTACTGGCACCGCTTTGCTTTTATTTATTTTTATGCTTATCTTCCATTTATGACTTGTGATACTGGCTTGCCATTAATAGTGGTGATATAAAGTTTCCTTTTCAAATTTAGTTAAGTTGAAATGTGACTAGATTTTTAAAATGCTAAGCAAATAACAGTTTAGGTGGCAGGAAGAAATGTGAAAAAACGGATATGAATGATTGAAGTGCGGAAATGCCTGAGCTACAGTAACTGACATAGTTACAAAGCAGCCCTGGTGCCCAGAGGAGGTAGTGGCCGATTTGGTCTGAATGGAACCTCCAGATTAGAGGAGGAGATAACAGCCCAGTGGAATCTCAGATTTTCAAAGCAGTGCAAGAGCATGGAAGGACGTCATAGACAGTGGGAGTCGAATGTTCAAAGGAAAAGAAAGAACAGGATGTGGTCATGGAATTGTTTGGCTTTCAAGAGCCACTGAAGGGCTTTCAGCATTCAAGTGGCACAGTCAGAGCTGCATTTTCAGAACAGTCATTAGCTGAAGCAAGTTAATCTCCCTGAGCCTCAGTGTGTTTATCTACGAAATGGGGGTAATTGACACAGATGTAGGATGTCCACCCCTGTCCCTGGTGAAGGGGGAAATTCCCAGCCATTCTGCCCTGTCTCTCTTCCATGTGGAAGGCTAAGATGTCCTATCATGACTGCATCTGCACTGAAGGTGTCTAGGGCCCCTCCTTCTCTCGTTTTGGTTGGGGGAATGGGAGATAGTTGCAGATATTCAGGATTGTTGGATGGTGCCTTGACCGGTGGTGATGGGTCAGGGAGAGTGTATTAGTCCGTTTTCATGCTGCTGATAAAGACATACCCGAGACTGTGTAATTTATGAAAAAGAGGTTTAATGGACCTGGGGAGGCCTCAATCATGGTGGAAGGCTAAAGTCACGTCTTACATGGTAGCAGTCAAGAGAGAATGAGAGCTAAGCGAAAGGGGAAACCCCTTATAAAATCATCCGATCTTGTGAGACTTATTCACTACCACTAGAACAGTAGGCAGGAAACCGCTCCCATGATTCAATTATCTCCCACCAGGTCCCTCCCACAACACGTGGAAATTACGGGAGCTACAATTCAAGACGAGATTTGGGTGGGGACACAGCCAAACCATATCAGAGGGTGTCCACTGTCAAGGACAGCTCAGCACCAAGCCCTTCTTACTGGGCTCTGGAGTTTCTCAGCTGAGAACTCTTCTTCTTTCCATCTCCAATTCCTCTGCTCACTTGTCTTCCAGCTAAGTCACCTCCCTGCCCCCTCCCTGCACATGTCCCGGCCCCAGCTCTCTCTGGAATCCAGGAGCAGGAAGTCCCTGTCTCCACCTGACTCTACATCTTAGGAAAGTGACTCCCTTGAGTCATTGTTTCTGTGTTAGTAAGCATTGAGGAAGGAAAATACATCCCTTGGGTACCAGGGAGAGAACAGAGGGAGGCAAGAAATAAACTGAAGGTGCCCATCCTAGCACTTGGAGCCCTGTCTTGCCATGCACGTAAGCAGAGGGTCTGCAGGAGCCACTCAGACTGGCAGCTTTTCTTTTTTATTGTGCTGGGGAAGAAAGAGGTTAAAAAGAGTTCTCTTGCTGTGGAAGTGTGTGACAGGGACCCTCTTCCTAAGGTGTCCCAAATCCCTGCATCTGCCTGGCCTTTGTCACTGTGGCTGTGATGAGAGAGAAGATGGTGAGGACAGGAGATAGGAATGCTGTGAGCTGGCAAGCTCAGCTCGGAAGCTTCAGTGCATGGGTGCATGATCTGGAAGCTTCTGTGCATGAGTTTAGCCAGACCTTTTGCTGCTGGGATAAGAGCTGAGTGGGGTGTGCAGAGCTGCCTTCCTGCTGCTAAGCTTATTCTATATGTCACCCCTTCTAGCCTGAGTCCTCTGTTGCATCCTCTGGTCCTCCAGCTGAGTTGAGTGTAGCATCTAATTTCCTCAATCACCTGAACTCTGGCCCTGATTGGTTCCCTTACCCTCCTGAGCCTTAATTTCCTGCAATATGGGATTCACAATGGCACCTACTTCCTATGATGTTATGCAATACAAATGAGTAACAATAAGTGAAAACCTGGAATTGTTTGGTCAGTAGAAAAGTGCTCAAAAATGTAATGGTGGTTAGTATTGTTGCCTGCAAAATATCTGACACAGTGCATGCAGTGAATACTTCAATCTGATTCTTTCTTCCTCCAGGAAGCCTTCCTAGAAGTCCCCAAACCAGGTTAGGACTCTTCGTAATGGGGTTCTGCCTTGTGCTTCCTACAGGGCTTCTTGAGACAATCTGCTGGTCATTGTTCTGTCTGGCATAATCACAACCAAAGAATGTTCAAAGAATATTCCCCCGGTTGGGAGAGTGGGAGAGGGGGTGACACGCAGAAAATACCGATGTGTCTGTGAGCCACACTGGTTAACTGGCCCTGAATATGACCACAGCACAGCTCATAGAAGGAAGCCCCAAGACAACAGGAGAGGCTGTTAAAATATTAAATTAATCATCTCTGTAATTAATTTGCAAAATATTTCTTCCTCTCTGGAGTTAAGGGTCAGAGAACGTGCTTGTTTCTTTATTGCTGTATCCCCAGTGCTTAGCAGGTTCTTAGTGAACATTAAATACTTGAATTAATAAAGGAACAAGTGCCCTAATTTTAGTTTTGTCAGTCATTCACTCATTCTGTCATTCAACAAACATTTATTGAACATGTACTATGAGCCAGGAGCTATTGCAGGCTCTTGGGTTACACCAGTAAACCAAAACAGCAAAGATACTTGCCCTCATGGGGCTTACCTTCTAGCTGGGCATTGACACATTGCCTGTTACCTCAGAGGGATCAATATACAATCATCTCCCCTGGAACCATCCTCTCTTGATTGAGTTCAGCTATTCAAAGTGCGAGGTCAGGGCTGGATGCAGAATCACCCCTGTAATCTTAGCACTTTGGGAAGCCAGGGCAGGTGGATTGCTTGAGGCCAGGATACCAGCCTGGGCAACATAGTGAGACCTTGTCTCTACAAAAAATAAAAAATAAAAAAATTAGCCGGACATGGTGGCACTTACCTGTAGCCCTAGCTACTTGGGAGGCTGAGGCAGGAGGATCACTGAGCCCAGGATTTCGAGTCCGCAGTGAGCTATGATCATGTTACTACCCTCTAGGCTGCAGTGAGTCATGATCATGCTATTGCAATCTAGGCTGGGTGGCAGAGCAAGACCCTGTGTCTGAAAATATAAAAGTGTGAAGTCAATAGAAAACATTACCTGTTGTTTCAGAGTCAACAGAAGGCACCTATACAAAGCTAAGTGTGGCTACAAATGAACACCAGCTGCTCATAACTGGCCCCCAGACTCCTTCCAACTGCCCTGACATGCTTGCTCTCTTTCCCAGGTCATGCTTTCAGAACGAAAAGGCACAGATGAGCTCTATGCTGTGAAGATCCTGAAGAAGGACGTTGTGATCCAAGATGATGACGTGGAGTGCACTATGGTGGAGAAGCGGGTGTTGGCCCTGCCTGGGAAGCCGCCCTTCCTGACCCAGCTCCACTCCTGCTTCCAGACCATGGTAACTTGTCCCATGGCCCTGGGTATTCCACCTCCAGGGCTTCACCAGGCTTTGGCCAAAGCTATCTTAGCAGCACCCAGCACAGAGATACCTGCACCCTTCCCTTTCTAGACACAGAAAGATGTAAGGCCCAGGGAAGTCAGCTGAGAGTTCTGAGGTTGCTACTGAGAAACGCTCTCCCCTGAGACAGATGCTGTCTCAACTTAGATAAAGGAATTCAGGCAACTGGTTTTATAATTAACAGAGCAGGGCCTTTCTCTGACAGCAAGGAGTGACTTGGGGACAGGAGCTGGGTGAAAAGGTTCACAGCTTGTGGATCTAGATGGTTCCATTCAGCCCTCTAGACCTTTGGATAAATGCACAAGTACATCTCTGCAGGTTGCCTGAGGCCTTTGCATGGGCCTCATTGGAGGGAGGATGTTGCCTGAGAACACAGCCCTCGAGGACTCTCAGGGAAGGTACACAGTGTCCTGGGAAGGAGCTAGTGAGTTCAGAGCCATGGCTGCCAAGGTGAGAAGGGAGCACTTGTCCATTTGTCCATTTTCTGCTCTTGACTGTGATTTCAACCCTATCTGCAAGAGCAAGAGTCCCTGCTTTAAGTAACCTCTTACCTTTCCCTGTTCAAATTAGACCTTGGTTTCCATACCCAGGGATGGAGAGGCCAGAGCCCAAATGCAAAGGGGTACAAAGTTAATTGATGCCTTTTAGGATTCTCAGGGCCAATGACCTGGTGACTTAAGATGTTTTGGGGACTTTTCAAGATTAATTTTGACTCTATCCAGTTCTCAACTTACTGAGTAGAGTGACTGATTTTAGAGCCCAACCCATATATGAGATGGGACACTACAGTACTTTGCATCTAATTTGATGTCTTTAGTGATTTCCCTCTCACTTTAATTCTTTTCTTTTATCTGTTCTATTATCTGCTGAAGATATCCTGGGCTGTGTGACCTGTAGCATTTTCACAGTCTGGATTTCACTGACTGTACGGTCTTGGGGCACCTCAACATGTTTCCTCTGTCTTCTGTATTTCGTGCAATTGGCAGCTGGTTCTGGAGGCTTGGTCAGACTCAGCTAGGATCTCTTTGGCAAGACCATAGATGGTGACCTGTTCTTTCATCTGAAGTCGTATAATGGCTTGTTGTCTCTCATAGTGAAGTTGGCAGCGACTGATGGTTGGTGCCTAGATCTGTTAACTCATTAGGGATTGTAAAATGGTGATATCCTAATTCTATCATTTATTTTTCATTTACTAGTGAGAATGCCTTTATAAAGAAGGGCCTCCCTTCACCTATTACTTAGTTCCCTAGTGGTATAGTTCCTGTGAGAAAGGCAGGATAAATGCTTGATTCTTTCTCTTTATTTAATAGTTCTCAAGATAATAAATTGGTTCACTGTTGTGCTCCAAGGGTGGCTAAAGTTGGCTTTTTTTTTTCTAAATGGGTCTGGCTCTGTCTCCCCAGCTAGAGTGCAGTGGCATGATCATGGCTGACTGCAGCCTCGATCTCCCATGCTCAAGTGATCTTCCCACCTCAACCTCCCTAGTAGCTAGGACTACAGGCACACACCACCACGCCCAGCTAATTTTTGAACTTTTAGTAGAGACCGGGTTTCACCATGTTGTCCAGGCTGGTCTTGAACTCCTGGACTCAAGTGATTCACCTGCTTCGGCCTCCCAAGGTGCTGGGATTACAGGCATGAGTCACCATGCCCGGCCAAAGTTGGCTTTTAAAATAAACTGTTTTGAGTGGAAGAAGAGACAATAGAAAGAAAAATATTAAGTGAATGATAATTTACATCATGCAATGGAGACTTGGCAAAGACCAGGAAAGGGGTACACCTAACCTTACTAGTCCAAATCTCTAGTCTTACCATGGGGATTTAAGGCCTAAAGGTGTTCAAGTGGTGATAGAGACAAGGCTGGGATTTAAACCTCTAGGCTCCCCTACTCCCTTACCTTCTCCCTTTTCCATTGGTTATCCCCAGATGGATTCATTGACATCATCAGGCAAAGGACAGTCTCCGTCCAGTAAATCAACTAAGTAAGAAAGGGACCTTGTGCCCAGCATAGAGGCTGAGCAGCAGCAGTTTTCCATTTTAGTTGGATATGTTGAGAGTGGGAGAAATGAATCATGGGTGACTAATGTTCATTGTAGTGTCTTTGTGGTTTATTATTTTAAAAATGATTAAATAGAGTAGATTTGAGATTATTCTTTTAATATTGAACCAACCTACTCACCTATATTTCAATATGCTTTCTGGAATTAGAGAGTAGGGGCTGGGTGTACATGGAAATTTTGCAGAAGTCTGGGTCCCCTCCAGGGATTGTCATGTGCCAGGGAAGAGAGACTGAGAACCAGGAGAGCCTAGAACACAAGAGCCCAGTGGGTTTGGGTCTTGCATGGTGACATGATTTGGCTGTGTCCCCACCCAAATCTCATCTTGAATTGTAGTTCCCATAATCCCCATATGTCGTGGGAGGGACCAAGTGGGAGGTAATTGAATCATGGGGGCGGTTACCTCCATGCTAGTTATGATAGTGAGTGAATTCTCACAAGATCTGATGGTTTAAGAGGGACTTTTACCCCACTTCGCTCTGCACTTCTCCTTGCTGCTGCCACGTGAAGAAAGACACGTGTGCTTCCCTTTCTGCCATGATTGTAAGTTTCCTGAGGCCTCTCTAGCCATGCTGAACTCCGAGTCAATTAAACCCCTTTCCTTTATAAATTATCCCATCTCAGGTATGTCTAATGGACTAATGAGAATGGACTAATACACATGGGAATGAAGGCCTCCCATGTTGGAGACCAATGCAAGTAATTGAATCGTGGGGGCAGTCACCTCCATGCTAGTCATGAGAGTGAGTGAATTCTCACGAGATCTGATGGTTTTATGAGGGACTTTTACCCCATTTCGCTCTGCACTTCTCCTTGCTGGTGCCATGTGAAGGACACGTTTGCTTCCCCTTCTGCCGTGATTCTAAGTTTCCTGAGGCCTCTCTAGCCGTGCTGAACTCCAAGTCAATTAAACCCCTTTCCTTTATAAATTACCGAGTCTCAGGTATGTCTAATGGACTAATGAGAATGGACTAATACACATGGGAATGAAGGCCTTCCCATGTGGAGACCAATGCAGAATCTCCCCAACCGACAAGTCCAAGGATGGAACAGATTGCTTTCTCAGTTGTTGAGGGTCTGATGAAGTCTTTAACCTATCTCTAGGGATTGTATCGATTGAAAGAAAAAAGTGCTTGGAGAGACGCACTCACTGCAAGCAAGAGACCCTGAGATGCCAAGTGCAGTTGGCTGAAGGAAGAGCAGATCCCCTTCCATCTCACCTGCACTCTGCGCATATGCTCATTGAGTGAAATGCTCCAATTTAAATTATTTTTTCTCACTTCTTTGTGGGCTAAGCACATATATTTTAATGTTGCATAAATTAAATTTATTTTCAAAGACTTATAATAATGCCTACTATATGTGAGGCACAAGGCAAACAATTTTAAGTCTCTTGACAACTTAGATAGGTTCTGTCATCATTCCCATTGTGTAGACCAGGGGACTGAGGCCACACAGCTAGTACATTTCAGGGCCAGGATTTGAACCCAGGCAGTCTGGCTTTAAGGAGTTTTGCATTTAATTGCTATGCTCTGAGATCTTTTTAAAAAAACATGTATATGTATAAGTATATGTATATGTATATGTATATGTATATGTATATGTATATGTATATGTATATGTGTGTGTATGTGTGTGTGTGTGTATGTGTATGTGTGTGTATGTGTATGTGTGTGTATATGTATAAGTATATGTATTTTTAGAGACAGGGTCTTGCTCTGTGGCCCAGGCTTGAGTGCAGTGAAACAATCATAGCTCACTGCAGCCTTGGGCTCCTGGGCTCAATAGATCCTCCTGCCTCGGCCTCCCTAGTAGCTAGGACTACAAGCATGCATCACCACGCCCAGTTAATATTTAAAAATATTTTGTAGAAACAGGGTCTTGCTATGTTACCTAGGCTGGTCTCAATCTTCTAGGCTCAAGCAATCCTCTTACCTCGGCCTCCCAAAGTGCTGGGATTACAAGTATGAGCCACCACACCCAGCCTGAAGTCTTTTGAGTGTGGATCACCCAAAGACCACTCCACCTGACACCCCTGGGTTAGAATCCCTCCTGCAGGCCTGTCTCCAGGCTCCACCAGGAGCCTGTGCTCTAATCTAGCCATGGTCACCTCTCACCTGTTCAGTGAAGCCACACTACCTCCACCTCTTAGCTTCCCTATCTCTGCATAAAACTTGATGTTCCATCTGAGCCTCTACCATGCATGGGTCTTCAACAACGTTGCTTCATTCCAGCCTCACAAAAATCTTGCAGTGAAAGGGATTATCTACTCTCCCATTTTGCAGGTGAAAGGATTGAGAATCAGGGCTGCATGGTAGTTCTTCCTCGACACAGCACTGGGTCATTGGCTCATTGAGCTCAGAGCCCAAGCTTTTGTTAGTACATCATGTTGAGTTGCCACCAAAATGGCCTTGACAATGATGATACAAACAAGAACAAAAAGCAGCAGCTAACAGTAATAGGTTGGGCACTCTACTCAGCACTCTAGCTGTATTATCTCATTTTATCCTCCTGATACCTCTATTGGAAAGGTACTATTACTAACTTTAATTTACAGACAAGAATGCTGACATTCAGAGAAGTTAAGTAACTGGTGCACTGTCACACAGCTGCTAAGTAGTGGAGCTAAGATTTGCTCTGCAAGACTCTAGAACCCCAAACCCGGAAGCCTTTGCTAACCTACCTGTGCCTTAACTTCACATTCCTGGTTTTGGCTTATAGAATATTTTCACTTTACAGCCAGGCACAGTGGCTCACACCTGTAACACCAGCACTTTGGGAGGTGTAGGCAAGTGGATTGCTTGAATCCAGGAGGTCAAGACCATCCTGGGCAACATGGCAAGATCCCATCTCTACAAAAAATTAGCTAGGAGTGATGCACGCACCCGTAGTCCCACCTACCCAGGAGGCTGTGGTGGGAGGGTCAACTGAGCCTGGGAGGTCAAGGCTGCAGTGAGCCATGATTGCATCACTGCACTCCAGCCTGAGCTACAGACTGATACTTTGTCTCAAAAAATAAAATAAAATAAAATAAAATATAAAATATTTTCACTCTTACGATCACATCTAATCTTCACAAAAGCACTATAAGTATTATGGTCCACATTTCTATTCAATGGAAACTGACCCCCAGAAAGATGAAATGGCTCAAGTTCCACAATCAGTAAGTGGCAGTTCCAGGGCTTGAGCTCAGGTTTTCTAATAGCCCTTTGGGTGTTTTTTTTTTTTTTTTTTTTTAATACTATGGAAGTTACTCCGCTTATCCTACAGGGATATTGCAAGGATTAGATAAGATTTTATCCATGGGAATGATTATTAAAATTTAGGGAGCACTGCATATACATGAGGCAAGCCATTGTTATCATGACTAAAATGAGCAGGAAGGTGACACCTCTTTCTGGGGATGTCCTTGAAAATGGTCATCTGGCTCCTGCTCATTTTCTAGCATTGCATGGCCTGGATCTGCAGAGCAGGGCTTCAGAGGAGGCAGTGGAGCTGGAATAGGCCATATCCCTAAAAGGGCATTACTGCCTGTATACAGAGGGTATTACTGCCTGTATGCTGCCTGTATACAGAGGGTACTAATGCTTATTGATTATTTCAACAAAGACTTATTCATTGAAATAATTGTATCAGGCCCCATTGCATCACCATGATGAGGTACAAAACAGATAAAGTCCCTGTTTCTTTGGAATTTACATTCTCTTGGGGGAGACTGATAATAAACTATAATAATGACACAAAGTAAAGAGGATGGAGATGGATGGATTGGGGCAGAGAGATGCTATTTTTGATAGGATCATCAAGGAAGGTCTCTCTGATAAGGATGACATCTGAGCAGAGACCAGGGCAAGCAAGGGAGCGGGGCATGTGGCTATCTGGGGGCAGAGTGTTCCAGGCAGCAGGAAGAGTGAGTGTGAATGCCCGCGGCATGAGCATGCTCCGCGTGTTTGAGGAACAGCGAGGAGGCCGGTGTCGCCCCGGTGGATTGTCATTTTGTATTTTGTGACCCAGAATTCTTTTTGAATCAGCTACCTTTAAAAAAAAAAGAGACAAATCCAATATAACATGCTGTAAATTTGATGTTTTTCTTTCTAGAGACTCAGAATTTTAAAGATAAAAGATTCTTAATAGGCTCTTAAAAAATCTCAAAAGTGGCCAAAATACTGGATAAAAGTGAAAGAGACAACCAGCAATGTACAAAACCATTTTTTAAAAATCAATTTTTAAATGATGTAAATTCGATTTTTAAAAACTTATTTAAAAAAGCAAAGTTACATCAGAAATAATCTTATATTGGAATAAAAATATCTTTCAAACATATGCACAGCACGGTGTTAACAGAAAATGTAGGATATTAAATCCTATTTAAGATATTATTTTAAGTGTGTTAAAATTGAATATTCACATGGAAAAGAATCAGAAGGGGGCATAAACAAATCAAAATATTGATTTGATTTAGGGAGGGGTCTGTGGATAAGTGCCTTCTTTTTGAACTTACATCATTGCAGAAGTAGTTATAATATAGTTGTTTAAGTTTTTTTTAATGTACCACAAGATGGCAAAGTTAATATCCAAATAGATGCAAAAGCTCCCAGAAGGGGGTTGAGTTTTCAGAGATTTGCTCATTAGATGGTTTAGGCAAATTGTCCTAGAAGCACAAAGGGATAATAAGCCTGTACTCCACAGTCAGGTGAATCTGGATCTGTGATTGCTTGCTAGATGACCTCTAGGAAGTCACTTAACAGCTCTGAATATGGATTTCATCATCTTTAAAGTGGGCATAATCAGGGAGGATTGAAAGAGATGGTGAATAAAATATAATAAACATGAAATGGAGGTTGCCGGCATTATTAGAGCTGGACTGGAGGTGCACCTTGCTGCATAGGTACGAAAGAATTATGTTTCTTCCATTCCTTTTGCAGTTTTTCTCAGGGACAATTGTCAGCCCGGCACATTCATGCAATTTCCCAACTGCCAGTGGGCACAGGCAGTTAAGTTTCTTTAGCAAAACATCTATTTTAACTGTTTTCTTTTCAATTGAACATATGCACCTCTTTTTTTTTTTAAATAGAATTAGATTTTATGAGTCATTGAAGGACAGAAGTTACTTCCTCCCCAAATTTGCTGCCATGGCCCAGCAATAACTCAGTTGCAAGGCATGCTGGGAGGAACGTCAATTCAGAATGCAAGAGAGGACAGGGATGGGGTGAGGATGATTCCCACATGTAGAGTGGACCCCTGATGGCCCAAGAATGAGCCCCGAGAATGTCCCAGGGGTCCTGGTAACTCGGGCTCAGCTCTGGGCTGGCAGCAGTACCCAAGGATATGGTTGGACTTAAGGGCATTGCTGCAGGTGGCTCTGGCTGTTGTCTCAGTCAGCAGTGATCAAGTTGTAAGAAACAGAACACCCCTTCCCCTGCCCCCCACCAAACTGGCTCCAATAGCTCCAAAAAAACAGAGAAGACTTTTTTTTTTTTTTTTTTTTTTTTGAGACAGGATCTCCCTTTGTCACCCAGGCTGGAGTGCAGTGGTATAATCATGGCTTACTGCAGCCTGGACCTCCTGGGCTCAAGCGATCCCCCTGCCTCGACTTCCGGAGTAGCTGGGACCACAGGCATGCACCACCAAGCCTGACTAATTTTTTAAAATTTTTTTGTAGAGATGGGGTTGAGACCTATGTTGCTCAGGCTGCTCTCAAACTCCTAGGCTCAAGTAGTCCCCATACCTCAGCCTCCCAAAGTGTTGGAATTACAGGCATGAGCCACCGCGCCCAGCCTGGAGAGGATTGTTGATGAGAAATTAGTTAATGCGTGCAATGTACCTTATTCAGGTGATGGGTGCCCTAAAAGCCCTGACTTGACCACTATGCAATCTATGCAGGTAACCAAAAAAAGAGGATTTTATTGGAAAGAAACCACCCAAAGACAAAGGTGTACCTGGGCCTCATGAGGAGCTAGAATCTGTAATCCTAAAGCAGTCTAGAATAGATTTCTAGGTTTCTTTGTCCTTGCTTTCTTTGTTTCTCACTGCTCCTGGTAAACATGACTTCGTTAGCTCCTTGCAGTTTGCCTATCTGGCAAATTCCCTGCATTTCAGATCATAGTCCTGGGAAAGAGAATCTGGTTGGTTCAGCTTGGGTCAGGTGTTTATTCCTGGCCCAATCAGCTGGCAATTGGTTGCTACTAACTCACTAGGAACCTTTTAAAAGGGGTTGTATCTACAGGGAGGGAATAATTGGTGCTCATGCCAGGTGAGAGGCACCATCTTGAGTCCAAGGAGACTAACTGGATTCAAGCAGGACATAGTTATAGGCTAGTGGTACAAACATGGCATCATTGCCTCCCAGGGGAGGAAACTGGTGAGAGCTTGGCAGGTGTTAGTGCTTTAGCCAACTAAAGCCATCCAAGGATCTTGAGTACAGGAAATGAATCAGAAATGCAACCCAGGCAAATAGAGCTGGGGCAGGTGGGAATAGACACAGCCTTATGCTCTCTGTTTTCTTGATGGTGGCCTTTGCATATTCATTCAATAATCAAAGATCTGTGGAATTCCGAGGAAGAATAGAGGTAGTTCTAGCCTTTGAAAACTTTGGCCTCTATGTGGAGGGACAAGGCTTAGAAAGCTGAAAACAAACAAACAAAAAAGCTAGAGGAGCATCAATTGCTTGATTCTAACAGTGATTGCAAGGCTATAAAATACAGAGGAAGGGAAAGTTGTGTGTGAACACATGTCATTGAGTGCACACTTACTTGGGTAAGGCTTTTTGAGTTTGCATGGACTTGACATGCGTCATCTGATGTATCTTGGCAACACCCCTATGAAGAACAAGCTGTCATTACCCCCTTTTGGGAAGGTAGAGACTCTAAGTAACTGACCCAAAGTCTCAGAGCAAGTATCCAGTATAACTGTGACTAGAACCCAGGACTAGCTGATACCAGAACCAGGGCTCTTAACCACAGCACTACACAGCCTCTCTGGAGAGAAACAGATGGTTCTGAGCAATAAAGGGATCAGCTTCCAGACGGGATGAATCCACAGACCAGCTTGGAAAATCATTAAAGATCATTAAATAGACAAATTCTTGCAGCAACTTCCCTTGGAGCATGGTACATAGAGCTGCCCACGTGGTCGGTTTTCTCTGTTCATGGTATCTGATTAAAAGTGGCAAGTGTCCCCCTGGCAGTCACACAGGCATCATGTTACACTCCACTTTCAGCTGTCTTAGGGGAAGATTGTCTCTTTGAATTCCCTTGCTTCCTCTGGAGACCTCCAGGTGAATTCTGCACCTCCCACCTAGTCATCATTTTAAATCAGACTATCCTCATACTCATGTTCCAAATTTGGGAAATTCTAGCCAACCATTTTGCATAATGTAGTGACAGACAGACATTTAGTTTTATTTATTTACTGATTATGAGAGATTAAGGAGAAAGGGAATTTTAAATTACCTGAAGGCACTTGAAGCTTAGAGGGCAGCGGTAATAGTGTAATGAAGAATCACAATAACAATGACAATTTTGAAGAAGCCCTTTAAAGTCAAGCAGACTAGCCAGTTTGAAGAGAAAGATGGTGAGTTTGCCTTTCCGAGCTTTTAATTGGAGTTGACGGTGGAACACCCACGTAGAAACGTCCTGTAGCCAGCTGGAGCTGACTGGAGCTCAGGAGAGAGGGAGAGGATAGAAATATAAGTCAAGACTCATCAGCCCAGCGAGATGAGAGTTGAAATTCTGAGCTGTGACAAGTTCTTCTTGGAAAATTGAGTAAGTAGGAGAGAGCCAATCTGGACTTCAAGTCGATACGCAAGAAATACTTTTTTTGATTTTCATATATTAGAGTCCAACAAATAAGCCCTAATCAAAAAACACTGAGTGTGGTGATAAGGAAGATTTTGCAATAATTTCGTAGGAGGAATGGGGAACAAAGGCAAATTTAAGGGTGCTATGGAGGGGAATAATATGTAAGAATTAGAGGCAGTACGTGAGGTCCATTTAGTTAGCCGAAGCCCCCATAGTTCACTCTTTATGCCTCTCATGCACTTTCTTTTATCGCATTCTATTTTATTTATTTATTTACTTTTATTTGAAACAGGGTCTCACTCTGTCACCCAGGCTGGAGTGCAATGGTGCAATCACTGCTCATTGCAGCCTTGACCTCCTGGGCACAAGCCGTCCTCTCACCTGAGCCTCCTGAGTAGCTGAGACTACAGGTGTGCGCCACCATGCCTGGCTAATTTTTTTATTTTTTGTAGAGCCAGGGTCTTGCCATGTTGCCCAGGCTGACCTGGAACTTCTGGGCTCAAAAGCAATCCTTCCACCTCAGCCTCTCAAAGTGCTGGGATTGCAGGCATGAGCCCCTGTGCCCAGCCACATTCTATTTTAGATTAGGGTTTGAATTAGTTGTATACTTGTTTTAACCAAGATTCTGAATTCCCTGAGGGCAAGCCTGAACCTTATTCATCGTTTTCATCCTTTTAATGCCTGCCTAATGCCATGACTTGCAAAAATAAGCGCTCGATGAAAGTTCTAAAACTCACTTCTCTGCTCCAGATTGGCTCTGGATTGCCTCTGACAATATTTTCCAGATTTTGATGTTGCTTACTGTGGAGTGGGAGATGAACCTGGTGGTACATGAACACATTGCATTTATTTTTAAAATAAGTCATTTAAAGGATTGATGTACCAGAGCCAGACTGGATATTGCATAAAGATGATGGACTCCAGATATGCACTTCTTTTCTACAGAGAGGATGAATTTCCATTTATGACTTTAGTATGAAATTTAAAATTTTTAAAATAATTGTGTTTAAGTTTTTTTTAAGTGAGTTAATAAAAATACTTTTAAAATAAGTCAATTTTAGTAGAAAAGGCAGACAAACTTAGTAAAGATTTTTTTCTTTTCTTTCTTTCTTTTTTTTTTTTTTTTTTTTTTTGACACAGGGTCTCACTCTTCCCCAGGCTGGAGTGCAGTGGCATGATCTGGGTTCACTGCAACCTCCACATCCTGGGATCAAGCCATTCTTGTGCCTCAGCCTTCCGAATAGCTGACATTAGAGGTGTGTGTCACCATACCTGGCTAATTTTTGTATTTTTAGTAGAGATAGGGTTTCTCCATGTTGGCCAGGCTGGTCTCAAGCTCTTGGCCTTAAGTGATCTGTCCACCTTAACCTCCCAAAGGGCTTACAGGTGGGAGCCACTGCACCCGGTCCAGATATGTACTTGTTTTCTATAGAGGGGATGAATTTCCATTTATGACTTTGGTATGAAGTTAAAATATTTTAAAATAATTGTGTGTAAGTTTTTTTAACGGAGTTAATAAAAATATTTTTAAAAAATAAGTCAATTTTAGTAGAGGAGGCAGAGAAACTTGGTAAAGATCTTAAAGCTGGTTGGGAGACAAGTCACGTTTGGGTGGATGGTCTTAGGCAGTGCATCATAATCTGGTCTTACCCTACCTTTCCCCTTTTTTCTTTTATATGACTCCATGAATTTTACTCCCCCTCTCCAGCAATAATAGCCATCAAATCAGGAACGTAAGTGCTTAGTTGTATTTTCCACAATATACGTTAAAACAAATACAAAGCCATAAAGGTGAAACCATCATACATCCATGGACTACCTAAAATGATCTCCTACCCATTTTGGGAAACACGGCCGTTTGGAAATTTATCTGGCCCCTGTCCCTCGCCTGGGAATCCTTAACATCTGGCACTGTGGATTATCCACAGAAACATCTCTGGCAATAGAGTTGCTCCTGGCATAGAGTGGGCATCATTAAGTGTTTGTTCAGAAATAAAAGGACAGTGAGATGCCAACCGTAACATTTAATAGCTTAGGCACTGGTGTGTTGAAGCCACATGCTCAGTACAGTTCAAAGATGATAGATCTTAGGGTTTCCCTGCATATGGTTAGCGGTAGAAACATACCACAAAACACGACCTTACCTACAGTGGAGCGATCCCCTGATGTGGGGATTCCGACTAATGAGTCTGGGGGGCAAGCCGAGTTCTTCCAAGCAGAAAGCAAGCAAGTGAAATCTCTCTCTCACTTACTTCTCTCTCTGTGGCCAATGCCATCTGCTAGCTTTAAAAATAATTTTTAAAACAAGTGTTTTGGTTCTCTTCAACGTGCAGCAAAGACAGATGCTATTTTTAGGCTTGTTTTCTATTAAAAAAAAAAAAAAAGCCAAAGAACCAGGGGCTGGGTGTCGGCAGTTCTGGCTTACTGTCTGCATTTTGCCACCAACTTGTATGTGACCTTTTGGCAAATCTCCTATGCCTTGGACCCTGAGAATATAAGTGATCATTTCACCTCCTTTTCTCATTAGACATGTTGAGAGGGTGAAGCAGTATTGGTCTGAGAAATAAAAACCATTTTCTAAAAATTAGTCAGTGTGGGCAACATGGCAAAACCCTGTCTCTACAAAAAATACAAAAATTAGCCAAGTGTGGTTGTGTGAACCTGTAGTCCCAGCTACTGGAGAGGCTGAGACAGGAGGATTACTTGAGCCTGGGAGGTTGAGGCTGCAGTGAGCAGAGATCACGCCATTGTACTCCAGACTGGGCGACAGAGTGAGACCCTGCCACAGAAAAAAAAAAACAAAAAAATTGGTTAACTTGTGCTCTCCTGTAACCTGCCAGCTTCTGTCTTGATGTACCACTAAATCTCCATGTTCCTTCTCTCCCATCCTGGACTGGAAGCTCTTTGAGGGGAGGACACATCCACACATCCATACAATGTCTAGCTCAGAACCTTTCACACAAGATGTACCCACTGGAGGCAGCATCATGAGGGGTTGAGAGTGTAGAGTCTGGAACCCAATGCCTAAGGTTCAGACCCTGGCTTTGCAGCAGCTTATCAGCTGAGAGACCACTGGCAAGTTACTTACCCTTTCTGAGCTTCAACTTTCTCCTCTTTAGAAGGGAGAGAATGATTATACTTGTCACATTGAGTTTTGTAGAGGGACAAGTGAGACAAAATATGTAAAGCATTCAGCTCATCACGTGGTAAGTACCCAAGAAAGCTTAATTTCATTATTGTTGTTGTTATAATTATTAGGCACTCCCACATTTGATAAATGCACATATGACTGTTACATATAAGATAAAGTTCTATGTGCTGTATGGAAGATTTTTTTAAATGGTGAATTAAATGCTTGTTATATGGCCAGCATCATGTTAGACACTCTACACATGTGTCCTTGTTTAATATTCTGTGGGCAAGTGAAAAATGTCCCATCTACAGGTGAAGAGAAAGCCCAAAATTAGATTAAATAACTGCTCAGTGTTGCAGTTAGTAAGTAGTGCAACAAGACTTCAAATACTGTATTGACTTAAAAGGTGAAATCTTTGCTTCACTTTCCCACCACCTCTTCTCCCGGTTTTATAGCCCCTCACAATAGCTTTGCAACTTTTGACAGCAAGTCACCTTTTACGTTGTGACTCAGCCATAGCAACATATAAATATAACCAAAACATATATTCCACAAAAAGTACTTAGTGGTGTTCTGTGCAGCATGCACTGATAATTTCCATTTCATCATTTCATTATTTTTCTTTCTTCTTCTACTTTTTTTTTTTTTTTTTTTTTTTTTTTTTGAGACAGTTTCACTCTGTTGCCTGGGCTGGAGTGCAGTGGCACCACCATGGCTCACTATAGCCTTGAACTCCTGGGCTCAAGCGATCCTCTTGCCTCAGCCTCCCGAGTAGCTGGGACTACAGGTGCTCACCACCATGCCTGGCTATTTTTTTTTTTTTTTTTTTTTTGGTAGAGGCAGAGTCTTGCTATGTTCCCCAGGCTGTTCTCAAACTCCTAGCCTCAAGTGATTTTCCTGTCTCGGCCCTGCCAAAGTTCTGGGATTACAGGAGCCAGCCACCATGCCTGACCTCTTTTTTCTATTATTTTTTTTTAAGTTGATCATGACCCACCAAATTGATTCAATCATCAATTAAAGTGAGATACAACTTGAGTTTGGAAAACACTTGTCTGGCTTCAATACTCAGGCAGTATTGCCAGGACATCTCATTTTCATCACATTTACAGTTTGCAGCCCTGTGTATGTTTCATTCCAGCCCCTCAGTCAGTCTGTTAGAGATTATCGCATATGTTATCCTCATTTTATAAATGAAGATATCAAGGCTCAGGGATGTAAAATGGTCTTGCCAAGCCTCCCCAGTAGTCAGAAAACGTGGAGTCAGAGCTTTGATTCCAACCTTCTGACTGTATGAATGCTGCTTTGGAGACCCAGTAACTCCTGCTGCCTCGAGGATCACCCATTTATTCACTTAATTAATGTATATTGATGGCTCGCTTTGGTCAGGCATGGTGCTGGGCTGTTGGTACACAGCGGTAAACAAATTTTACATGGCTCCTGGATTTGTGGAACGTTCAGTCACATTTCGCATTAGTCCATTTCTTTCAGAGTGAGACCCCGAACCTTTGTGTTAGCCTACGTGACCTTACATGATGCGTCCCTCAGCACCACCCTGGGCTCATCTCCTACCCTGTCCCCCTTCTTCTTTCTTCTCCAAGCACATGAGGTGTGCTCTAGCCTCAGGGCCTTCGCACAGCCTGTTTCTCCGCCTGGTAAGCTCTCACTCTCAATACCTGCATAGCTGCTTTCGTCATCTCCTTCAAGTCTTTGCTGAAGGATCGCCTTCTAAATAAGATTATCCTGAATACTTTATTGAAACTGGAACTCCTTTCTCCCATCTCATCCAGCTGGTACTCCCAATCCTCCATACTTTGCTCTGTTTTTCCCCCGTGGCACTTTTTAATCTTTTAGCCTTCTATTTTTATTTTTATTTATTTATTTATTTTTTGAGACAGAGTCTCACTCTGTTGCCCAGGCTGGAGTGCAGTGGTGTGATCTTGGCTCACTGCAACCTCCACCTCCCAGGTTCAAGCAACTCTGCTGCACCAGCCTCTCGAGTAGCTGGGACTACAGGCGCACACCATCATGCCCAGCTAATTTTTGTATTTATATTTTAGTAGAGACAGGGTTTCACTATGTTAGCCAGGCTGGTCTCGAGCTCCTGACCTCAGGAGATCTGCCCGCCTCAGTCTCCCAAAGTGCTGGGATTACAGGCACGAGCCGCTGTGCCCGGCTATCTTTTAATATTCTATATAATTTGTTTATTATGTTTAGCATTTATTGCCTTTTCTGTGTCTACTTGCTAGAATGAAAGACAAAGGCCAGGAATTTTTGTTGGTTTTGTTCACTGCTCTATCCTCAGCACCCATCTATAACCTGGTACCTAGTAGGACTCTGTAAATTTGTTTTTACTTGAATAGATAGATGAAATAAATAACCATCAAGTTCAAAATATAATTAACAAATTATGATGTGGTCAGAGATTAAAAAAAGAAAAGAAAAGAAAAAAGCCCACAGGCTTTCATGAAAGAGTATAACGGCAGACCTAATTTAGATTGGGTGGGTTAGAGGAAGTGACTTTTTTAGGCTGAGAACATAAGAGGGACTTCAGTTCCCAAATTCGTTAGCGCAGACTCTGCCATTGCAAGCCAAAGGAACGTAGCGTAAAGGAGAGATTTCACCCAAGCAGAAGTCTCTAAGAAGAGATAAAGTGATTCATTCATTCATTTAGCAAACACCCTCTGATGGAAGGAGAGAAACGAGTCACATATTGGTGTTGCCCAAGGGCCAAAACACACATCTGACTTATTTAATTCCAGCAACATCACTGAGGTTCTACTATTATCTCCTCTTGACACACAAGGAAACCCAGGTGTTGAATAACTTCTCCAAATACATCCAGCTATTAAGAGACAGAGCTGGATTTCCAAATGAAGTATCTTTGGCACCAAAGCTTGTGCCCTTTCCCTCTCTGGGCACCTGCTATGTGCTAGTTGTGCTATCAGAAACAGGGCTTACACAGCCAACAAGGGCATAGCCCCTGACTTGAAGAAGTTCACAATATCCCTTGAAAGACATGCTGAAAAACTTCCCTGATTAGGACACAGATTTTTTTTTGTCCCCAGTTCTTTTACTTCTGGACATGCCTTCCTAGATTACTGTTTTTCAAACCTTGATAATTCATCTTTTTGTTTTTGATAGCCACTATGTTATCTATTGGTGAGTACCTCAAAATTCAGTGGCTTAAAACAATAAGCATTTATTATCTCAGTTTCTGTGGGGCAGGAATTTGGGAATGCTTTACCTAGTTGATCTGGCTCTGGGTCTCAAAGGAAGCTGCACTCAGATTGCCAGCTGGAATTTTAGTCATCTGAAGCCTTGTCTCGAGTGAAGGATCTGTTTCCAAGGTGATTCTCTCACAGGACTGGAGTTGGTGCTGGCTGCTGGCAGGAGGCCTCAGTTCTTTGCCAAATGTACCTTCCCATAGTACTGCTTGAGCATCCTCATGGCATGGCGGCAGGCTTCCCAAAAAGCAAGTGATCTGAGAGAGAGCAGGGTGGAAGTTGTAGGTCTTTTACGCGCTACTCCTGGAAGTCATTCATTGTCATTTTTGCAGTATCCAATGGGTTACACAGGTCAGTCCTATTCATTAGGGGAAGGTACTACACAAGAACATAAATACCAAGAGACTGAAAAATCACTGTGGGTGGGGGGAGCATCATAAAGGCTGGCTACTACAGCTATCTATCACCTGTAACATTATTTACTTAATATTTTCCACTTTTTGTTAAAATCAGCCTTATCCTAAACAATAATATCAGTTAAGTCACAAGATTAATATGCTAATTGTATTTTCCAGCAAAAACAAATATAAACTTGTAATTATTATTATTATTATTATTTTTGAAATGGAGTCTCACTCTGTCACCCAAGCTGGAGTGCAGTGGCATGATCATGGCTCACTGCAACATCCCCCTCCCGGGTTCAAGTGAGTCTCCTGCCTCAGCCTCCCGAGTAGCTGGGATTACAGGTGCCTGCCACCACGATTCGCTAATTTTTGTATTTTGTTTTTTTTCAGTAGAGATGGAGTTTTGCCCTGTTGGCCAGGCTGGCCTTGAACTCCTGACCTCAGGTGATCTGCCCACCTCAGCCTCCCAAAGTGCTGGGATTACAGCTGTGAGCCACCATGCCTGGCCAAAGTTGTAATTATTAATGAAAAAAATTATCTGTGTATCACCTATGCTCACTTGCGTAGTTCCAGTGACACAAACCTTACCCTTGGGGAAACAGGAAGCCCAGCAAACAGGGATCTGTCAGAGAGCCCTGGTAGTTTTCATCATAAATTCCAGCTCTTCCCCCACTGTCCATTTGGAGCCCCAGAAGCTACGGGATGCTAATGTTGCTGTTTGCTGTCCTCTTCCAGGACCGCCTGTACTTTGTGATGGAGTACGTGAATGGGGGCGACCTCATGTATCACATCCAGCAAGTCGGCCGGTTCAAGGAGCCCCATGCTGTGTAAGTGAGAACTAGTGCTGTGCTTTCTCCTTGGGATAAATGGGTAGGTTAGTGGTTCCTTTGAGGGTGTTTTTTTGCCAAAGAGGGATCTTTAAACACCTCGGGCATCTTTTTGAAAAAATATTTAGCCAGGGAAGAAAGGTGTTCTGCTTAATATGAGATACTTCTTTTTTTTCTGACACCAGCTAAGAACCTGAAGCTCAGACAGACACCATGGCTCATACCTGTAATCTCAGTGTTTTGGGAGGCTGAGGTTGGAGGATCACTTGAGCTCAGGAGTTAGAGGCCAGCCTGGGCACCATGACGAGATCTCGTCTCTATAAAAAATAAAAAACTTAGCTGGGCATGGTGGCGCACAGCTGTAGTCTCTCCTAAAAATAAAACAAAACTCAAAGCTCTAAAACCACAGCTATTTATTTATTTCTAATTCATGTCCCTGACTGCTTAGAAAGGCCCTATATCTTCCTTGGGGATTATCATTGTAGATTTTATGTGTCCATTTGCTAATATTTATTGAGAACTTACTATAAGCCAGGCCCTAAGTGCTTAACAAACATCGTCTCACTTAACCTTGAGAATAACTCTGGGAGGGAGATGCTACCATCCCTGCTTTACAAACAAGGAAATGGAGATGCAAGGTTTTGAAAGCTTGCCCAAAATCATGGAGCTAGTAAGAAGCAGTTCCCAAATTCTGACCCCGGTTTTTCTTTGCCCATGTTCTTTATCTTACACCACTCTCCGTCTTAGATGCCTTCACTCCATGGGGGTGAAGGATCAAGGTGCTCGGTGGCAATGGTCTGTGGTTCCTGTGATGGGGAGACTGATTCTGGGTTGTTGGAAATGTGTTTCCTCTGCTGAGTCAATTCCATCCCCTTCGGTTCAAAAGGCAGCTACAGTCTCTTCTTTTTAGAACACAGATTTCATCATGTCATTCCCCTGCTTAGGAACATGGCAAGTTATAGGAATTAGCAATGATAACCTCTCCTGGGGAGTTTTCTAAGATCTTATTGCCTCTCCAGAGAGCCCCCAGAGCTCATCTAGAACCCCACCTTGTCATACTAGAGGCTTGGTGGCTCCTACCCAGTTCAGCTTGCCCCCTCTCCTCCCACCTGGACAGGTTGTGAGCACTATGTTCTGATAGGATTTGCATTATTCTTGTGCTTCCAAATCTAGCCATTTGTATCTCCTGGCATGACTCTAATAGGACTAGCTTTGCTTTTACTTCTAACATCTAATTGACCACAGGCTTTAATTCCATTGTCACACAAGACATGTCAAGACACTTTACATAGTTCCCCAAAGCCCTGCCCAACCTTTGTGGCATAACTGGGCTTCCCAGTTCTCTTGAAACCTCTTTCTTTCTGTGCTGACCTTCAATAAGAGGTTACACTTTAGACAGATGTTGTTTCTTATTCCAGCTGCGCCATTCATTCACTATATAACTTGCCCAAGTTAATCTCTCTAACCCTCAGTTTCCTCATTTGAGGAATGGGGAGATACTAGTAGGACCTACCTTACAGGATTGTTATTAGGATTAAGTCAGGTAATGCCTAAAATGGTGCTGGGGAGATGGTAAACCTTCAACAGATGTTAGCTGCTATTGTTAAGATAATTTAACTTGCTATATAGTCTGAAAGTATAATTCTCTCTTTTTTGGGGGGGTGGGGGACAGGGTCTCACTCTGTTGCTCAGACTGGAATGCATTGGTCCTGACCATAGCTCACTGCAGCCTTGATCACCTGGGATCAAGCGATCCTCTTGCCTCAGCCTTCCGAGTAGCTGGGATCACAGGCATGTGCCACCACACCCAGTTATTTTTTTTCTTTTATTTTTAGTAGAGACAAGGTCTCACTATGTTGCCCAGCTAGTGAAACTATAATCCTTCATCCAGTTCATCATATCCCATGTCCCCTTCTCCACTATACAATTGCTGAACTTCTGCCTACCCCCAGTTTGTCCTTAAGGCAACCCCATCACCCTCTAAACCACCCTTTGAATCCATCTGTACTTTCAGCACTTTATGAGCTATATAGCTGACCATCCATGGGTTCTTTAATGTCCTACACCTAGTTCAATATTGTATTGAATTCTGAGCATTGCCAAGCATATGGTGTCCTTGAGTTTCTCCATCGCTTTTTTTTTTTTTTTAATTTCAGATTTTACGCTGCAGAAATTGCCATCGGTCTGTTCTTCTTACAGAGTAAGGGCATCATTTACCGGTAAGTGAACACTGCTGTACTTTCCATCTCTTCATCTCCCTCAGCTCCTCCCTGCCCTGCCTCTTTCTTCAGCTGCTTTTAAAATTAGAATCCGCGGTGGGGGAGGAATCCTCCAGAACTAACTTGGGCATGTGTTCTGCCAGGCAGCATCGCCCACTGCCCTGGCAAAGTTTGGGCAGCTCTATATGGTGGTAGAAAATCTCGGTGGACTGTGTCACCAATGATGGTTCAGAGCCTCAAACAGGAGACTGTTTGCTCTAAGAGGAGACTCACAGAGAGGACCTCAGTACTTCTTTCTCTTGCTTGTGGACCCTACATTTGAGGAGCAGGCAAAGAATTTTGGCTGGCAGAATGTGATGGATCACATTATTATGAAACATTTTTTATTTATTTATTTTTTTCTGCTATGTAAGTACAACTTGGAAATGGATCTCTGAGTGGCTGCCCTGAAAGACAGGATTAAGTTCAGGACTTGGCATTTGCTGGTTTTTGGAGGAGCAAATGGATGATCATAGCTGCATGAGTCATACCATTTTATATTTCATGCAAGGCAGACGATTGCACCCGAGGCTGCTATTTGTCAGCAAGTCCAGGGCGTACAATTCTCCTTGTACTACATTGATGCAAATGGCATAGCCAGGGCAGGCTTGGGCTGGTTTGTTATGCAAGAGAGGCTGCAAGGTATGAGGCCTCCAAATAGCATTTGGCATGGGTGGGGGTCTATTTCAAAGATTATGAAGAACCACAAGAGTCTCTTCCATTCATGTGTTTGACACACATTTATCAAATCCTACTATATTCTAGGCACTCTTCTGGGTGGTGGGCATACAGAAGTGAATAAAACAGATGAAACCCCTTGCCCCCGTGGAGTTTATCTTTCTCATGGTGGGAGTTAGATAAGTGAATCATAAAAACATAGTCTGCCAAGTAGTGATAAGTACTATGGAGATAAATCAAGCAGGGGAGGGTGCTGGTGTACACTGGGTGTTGGAGGGTTCTCTCTCATTCTGTAGAGAGCATGATGATGAGGGCCTGGAGAGTTAGGGGTGACTTGAGAGTCCTGGGCCTTTTGCCTTAACTGCGGGATATGGGATTAAAAGGCATGAGGGGGCTGGGCACAGTAGCTAGCACCTGTAATCCCAACGCTTTGGGAGGCTGAGGCAGGAGGGGTGCTTCAAGCTAGGAGCTCCAGACCAGCCTAAGCAACATAGTGAGGCCCACATCTCTAAAAATAAAATAAAATTAGCCAGGTGTGATGGTGCATACCTATAGACCTAGCTACTCAGGAGGCTGAGGTGGGAGGATCAATTGAGCCCAGGAATTCAAGGATGCAATGAGCTGTGATCATACTACTGCATTCCAGCCTGCGTGACACAGCAAGACCCTGTCTCAAAAAAAAAAAAAAAAAAAAAAGGCATGTTAAGATTAGCCCTGGTAAGTACAAGGCAGATAGCGGAGGCCAGGCTATGGGATGCTGGTAGGATGGAGAAATGGGAAGTGGGGACCTTGTCAGAGGCTTTCAGAGTCCTGGGGCTTTTAGTCACACCTGAAGTGGTGATATGGAATCTATAGGGGGAAGGATGATCTTATTCTGAGGGCACAAAGTCCCCGCCATTCCTACTTTCTCCTAATGATGGAGGGAAGAAGGTCAAGAAGAGGAGTGGTTTTACTTGGCATGTGGGTGATCCTAGTGAAAATGTAAAAATAGAGAGAAGAAGAAGAATTTAGAAGCTGAGGCAAGAGGATCACTTGAGCCCAGGAGTTCGAAACTGCAGTGAGCTATGATTGTGCCACTGCACTCCAGCCTGGGCAACAGAGCAAGACCATGTCTCTAAAAAAAGAAGAATTTAAATTTTAAATAGTATGATCATTCTGCCCATGCCCATGTTTGCCCTCAATGAACACGTTCACTATGTGTGCATGAAATGGCACATGGAAATCCTCTAATTCCCTTAGTTTCTCTTTTGACTCTCATAGTGACAACATCTTTTTGTGCTGAATATTATTCTGGTTTTGAAAGGTGCACATGAGGCTGGGCGCAGTGGCTCATGCCTGTAAACCCAACACATAGGGAGGCCGAGGCAGGCGGATTGCCTGAGGTCAGGAGTTGGTGACCAGCCTGGCTAACATGGTGAAACCTCATCTCTACTAAAAAATACGAATATTAGCTGGGTGTGGTTGCACATGTCTGTAATCCCAGCCACTCGGGAGGCTGAGGCAGGAGAATTGCTTGAACCCGGGAGGCAGAGGTTGCAGTGAGCTGAGATCACCCCGTTGCACTCCAACCTGGGCAACAAGAATGAAACTCCATTTCAAAAAAAAAAAAAAAAAGTACACATGATCCGCCATATGACATGATCCCTAAATTCAAGCCGATGACTTCAGCTGGTGCTTAACCAAAGAGACAGGCATCATGGGTGATTTTTCACTCTACATGATTTTCAACTTGGGTGCTGACATTAGGACCTAACTCCTATGTGGGATGTGCCTCTACTAAAATAGAACCAACTGGGTTCTTGAGAAGATTAAATATGGAACTACAAGTTTATTGGAAGAAAATCCACTCCCATTGTAGGAAACAGGAGAGGAAATAATTAGTGTTCCGGTCAATTGAGTTGTGATTCAGGGCTAGTTTCTAATCAATCAGGAAGCCGCACTGGGATCTGGGATCCATGGATCCGGCTCACTGGCCAGGCAGGTGGTAAAATTAAAAGATTAGCATTTCAGGTGCTAAGATGATACCTATTCCAAAGCCCCTTTTCCTAAACTAACTACACACTCTCCCTTTCATCTTCCACTATTAATATGGTCTTTAAAGGGGTATTTATCAATCTTTTAAGCCAGTCTGCATCTGAACCCTTCTTTTGTGTATGTGGAAGAACAGAGTCAATCTTCTACTATAAATAATGAAAATGACAGATACTCATTTCACAGCCCACCTGTAGCCAGGGCAGGCACACAACCCAAGCTCTGACAGTTGGTCATACTTACTCAAGACCTTGAATCAGAAACTAGCGGCCAAGGAAGCAGAAAGCATAGAATCAAGAGTGACCATAGTAATTATCAGCAACTACTTTCCAGAGGCAAGAGAAGAGGGTCTTAATAGCAATAGGCAGAGTCCAGCATTAGGGCTTCGTGGAACAAGGGGTGATGTGTGTGTCCCATGGCAGCTTGGGTGGTGGTGTCACTGGACAAGCCCTGAGTTGCAGTTAGGCATTGTTTCAGGCTGTATAGACTCTTAATCTGGTTCTTCAGTCTCCTCAAAGATTCTATGAGCTCCCCAATATCCTTTGATGAATTCCTTTTCAGGTAAAAATCATCATAGTTGGTTTTTGTTGCTCACCATCGAGAACGCTGATGGAAATAGAGTTCTTGAAATTGATAGTCAAATGGAAATGGTAAAAAATAAATTACTTGACAAAAGATGTATGGTTTTATCATTTCACAGAGATTGATTTCATAGTGGTAAGATCTTTTAAGATGTTACAAATCACTACCTCCTTCATCTAAATCTCTACTTAATTGAACAGTTCTTAAGTAAAGAGGATGAAGGATTATGTTAGACTTACCATCTTTAAGGAACTGGAGATGTTGGGTTGTGGGGTGGGAAGGGAAAAAGATTCTTCCTATCAAACTTAGTGTCTGATTTACTGACCACTGTCTCTGGAATGTGTGTTGGTTTTGCCCTTGATGGTTTTCTGAAAAATGAAAATAATTTCTCCATCCACCTTTTGAAGCAGAAATGCGGATTTATTACACAGAACAAAAGATTAGGGTGTGATATCAAAACACTGTATGTGACAGTGAAGATGACAGAGGTGCCCTCCAGCCTCAGGACTGCCTGGCTCTTGGCACCTGAAACTTCTTTTCTATAATAGATGAAGATTTTATCACTTCCCTAGTCTACCCAGCTGCCTGCTTCTGAGCATGTGGTCGAGCTGAAGGGTTGTCATTTGTCACTATTAGAGAAATCACATATATCACATATAGACCTACCTAGTAAGTTTATGAAAAGCAAATTGCTGCAAAGCCTGGGTTTTCTGAGTTCCAAACTTTCACACAAATCATGGTGGCTTGTAGATGAGCATGAAGGCTGGATATGAGCAGCACCACGGACAGCGCCAAAGGCATGGCGTGTTGGGATTGGCAAACATCAGTGGGCAAGTGCAAGTGGACCTCCCCATCCCTTTGAATAAGGAGACCCCACAGACACAGATAGGAGATGCCAGGATATAGTTTTCAGATTGTATTCTTTTAGTTGGAAATGATGACAGCAACTCAATTCAAAGTAACTTAGGTTAAAAGAGGCATTTATTGGTGACATAACTGAAAAATCCAGGTGCAGATCTGACTTTAGGCCTGGATAAATGCAGAGGCTCAAGTGACGTTATGAGGGCACATTTTATCACCCTCCCTCTAGGCTCTGCTTTCTCTATATTAGATTGCTTCTTTTCATCTGGTGACCCCTGGAGTTTCTAGACTTCCATAATACCACCTGAACAACCCCAATGTAAAATGCACTTATCCCTTTCCTGATTATGCCAGCCAAAGTGCCAGCACTAATACTTAACAGCTTTGATTGGCCCAGATTGGATCACATGCCCATTCCTGAATCAATCACTGTGACCAGCAGGATGGAATATTTCCATTGGCTGGGACAGGCCCACTTGACCACTGCTGGAGCCATGTTACATGGAAGCCATGTTACACCCATGTTACATGGAAGAATTGAAGGAGGGTGGTTCTTCTAAGAAATATTAGAATGCTGTCATCACAAAACACTAGAATAGACAGAACCACAGATGCCCACTACCCAATCAAGATGACCGAAGGGAAAGATCTGAATTAAGGAATAGATCCCCCTACCTCTCAGGAAATCGGATTTCCCCATCTTCTATTAGGACCGATCCATCTCTCAGCCTTGCTCACTGGTGCAGAAATATAAAGCATTGACATTGGAGTAGGTGTTTAGGGAGGAGGAAAGTGTGTTGATATTGGAGCAATCTTGTGTGCTAAAGACCTACAACTGTTCCCCAAAATATCAAGCTCTTCTCATCAACACAGATGAAAATAAAAGAGAATACAGCACATATCCTTTAGGTTAGAGCTCAGATGTCACCGCCTTAGACAGGTCTTTTCTGACTGACACCCTGCTTAAAGTGACTTCCTCCAATCACTATCTTATGTCCTCTTTATTTTCATCATACCACTTATCAGAATCTGTAATAATCATGCTTACAGAGTAATTGTTATCTTTTTCCCAGCACTGAAATTTAATCTGAAGAACAGGAGGCTTGCTTATCTTGTTTACTGCTACATACTATACCTGGCTCCAGGCATAGTGCCTGTCACATAGTAATTGTGCAACATTTTTTTTTTTTCAAGACGGAGTCTCGCTCTGTCACCCAGGCTGGAGTGCAGTGGCGTGATCTCGGCTCACTGCAACCTCTGCCTCCCAGGTTCAAGCTATTCTCCTGCCTCAGCTTCCCGAGTAGCTGGGACTACAGGCGCCCACGACCACGCCCAGCTAATTTTTGTATTTTTACTAGAGACGGGGTTTCACCATATTGGCCAGGCTGGTCTTGAGCTCCTGACCTTGTGATCCACCTGCCTTGGCCTCCCGAAGTGCTGGAATCGCAGGCGTGAGCCAATGTGCCCTGCCAAATGTATTTTGATTCAAAGAATTGATGGAAACTCCTGGGTCATGTCCTAGAAGGTGGCCCAAGAGATCAGGGAACACTTAGCATTAAATATTTCTTTCAATCAGCTTCTTTTTTTCTTTGTAATTTTTAGAGATATTTTAAAAAATAATAATTTTCTGAAAAATGTATCTTCTTACAAAATATAAGGAGTCTTTAAGTGGCAAAGGAAAATTCTTGGAATTTTCCTGGATCCAAGAAGCGTCATGGATGCTCTGCCCTTTGCTTAACTTTCTGTGGATCTCCGTCTTTTCAGAAGTGCTGTCTCTTTGTGTCCTTGTGAGACACTTGGCACAGTTGGCTGTGTAGAAAAAGAAAAGCACGGAGGCTTGCGGACCTCTTTTTATCTCCCTGCCAGACTGTAAGCTGTTGGAGGTCAAAGGCTGGTTTCTACTGACCTTTGTGCCCACACAACACCTAACACAGTGTTTTATGCATAATGAGTGGCTGTTGGTTGGCTTGAAATGCATAGCGTTTAATTAAATCTCTAAATTCTTGTGTCTGCCATAGTGACCTAAAACTTGACAACGTGATGCTCGATTCTGAGGGACACATCAAGATTGCCGATTTTGGCATGTGTAAGGAAAACATCTGGGATGGGGTGACAACCAAGACATTCTGTGGCACTCCAGACTACATCGCCCCCGAGGTGAGAGCTGCTGGGCACACGTTCACATTGCGGTGATGTACCCTCTGCTCCCCAGATGGCTGTGTGAGAGCTGGGAAGGGTTGAGGGTGGTACCTTGCAAGGGAACCTCGGACAGATTCTTATTCTATACTCTAAATCCTCCCTTTGAGATCACACATGCAAATTAATTTAGCACACATCCAGAAGCCCAAGCCCAAAATACATCAAGGTTTGGGAGAAAATTTAAATAAAACCCAAAAGAACCATCCAACACACATCAGTAAAATTCTTCGTCAAACTGTTGTGGCTCACGGCCATGTGATACCGCCTAATTATGACATTGAAATGTTTGTTGAGAGAAAAAGAGCATATCCCCTGGGCTGGCATATGACATGGGATCTGTGTCCTGTATATGTCCCTCAGCAGGAAAATGGACAATAGCCCGTGATTTATTTATAGCATGAAATACTACCAGGCACCAATTCAGAAGAGTGAGTTAGATATATATGTAGATGTGAAAAGATCTTCAAGACACATTGTTAGAGAAAAAAATCAAGGTACAGAATGACAAATACAAGGCCAGGTGTGGCAGCTCGCGCCTGTAATCCCAGCACTTTGGGAGGCAGAGGCAGGTGGATCACTTGAGCCCAGGAGTTCCAGACCAGCCTGGCCAACATGGCGAGACCTCGTCTCTACAAAAAATACAAAAATTAGCCGGGTGTGGTGGCACATGCCTGTAGTCCCAGCTACTTGGGAGGCTGAGGTAAGAGAATCACCTGAGCCCCAGGAGGTCCAGGCTGCAGTGAGCCGTGATTATGCCACTGCACTCCAGCCTGCCTGGGTGACACAGTAAGACCCTGTCTCAAAAAAAAAAAAAAAAAAAAGAAGAAGAATGACAAATAACACTATGATACTATTTATGGATGAAACAGAAATACACAGAACACTGTTCTGTTTTCAATGAGTAAAAGCATACAAAAATCTGGAAGATTTCAAACTGATTTTATAACACTGGTTACCTCTGAGGATAAGGGAATTGTAAAGAGAAATTTAGCTATTTCTGTATACTGCTGACATTTTTTACAAGGTAAATGTATTTGGGTATTACTTGAGTAATAAAGTAATTCTTTAAAAATAATAAGGCTTTACTCGGACCCAGTGAAGTTTTCCCTATGTGATATGCTTTGGTCTATTATCATTTTGTTAATTAATTAGATAGGACACAATCCATAACACAACTTCCTGATAGGCCAGGGGTTCCATAATCTCTGGTTCTCAACTCTAACTGCAGTTTAGAGTCGTGAGGGAGCTTTTACAATGTAGGATGCAGCTGGGGCATGGTGGCTCACTCCTGTAATCTCAGCACTTTGGGAGCCTGAGGCAAGAAGATCGCTTGAGGGTAGAAGTTTGAGACCAGACTGGACAACATAGTGAGACCCTAATCTCTACAAAAAAAATTAAAAATTCGCCAGGTGCACTAGGTCACCCCTGCTGTCCTGACTACTCAGGAGGCTAAGGTGGGAGGATCACTTGAGCCCAGCAGGTAGAGGCTGCAGTAAGCAGTGATCATGCCACTGCACCCCACCCTGGGCGACTGAGCGAGACTCTGTCTCAAAAAAAGAAAGAAAGAAAGAAAGAAAGTGTTTCCACACTTTTAAAGTACTTCAAGTCTTATTTGATCCTCATGACAAGCCAACAAGTTAATCCTTTTACAAAGGAAACTAGAGCCTGGGATGTGACAGCAGTTGCCGAAGGTGATGTGGTTAGCTCATGACAAAGCCTGACCTGCTGCTTATCCCTCCCATCTGTGGGCTGGAGGGGAGGCAACTTCACCAGCCACACAGTTGAGGGTTTCTTGTGCTTGCCTGAATCACGACCAGCGAGGAACTTCTGAGAACCACAGATCCTGGGCCTCCACCTGCAGAGATTCTAATGGGATGATGCTTGGGCATCCCACATTGTTTCTTGTGTGTGTGTGTGTGTGTGTGTGTGTGTTTGAGACAGGGTCTCACTCTGTCTACTCACTGCAAGCTCTGCCTCCTGGATTCATGCCATTCTCCTGCCTCAGCCTCCCGAGTAGCTGGGACTACAGGTGCCCATCACCACGCCCAGCTAATTTTTTTTGTATTTTTTTAGTAGAGACGGGGTTTCACCGTGTTAGCCAGGATGGTCGCGATCTCCTGACCTCGTGATCCGCCCGCCTCGGCCTCCCAAAGTGGAAAACACGTTCAATGAGAAGTGTTCTCCTGGAATGCTTTCCCTTCCTTGTCTTGAGGGTTACTTCTCAGAATGCATTTCATTCATTCATAATTGACCAGTAAAATTGTATACATTTATCATGTGCAACATGTTGTTCTGAAATATGCATACATTGTGGAATGGCTAAGTTGAGTTAATTAACATATTTATTGTCTCACATACTTATTTTTTTATGGTAAAAACACTTAAAAATCCCTCTTAGCAATTTTCAAGAATACAATAGATTGTTATTAACTATGGTTACTGTGTTACACGATAAGTCTCTTGAATTTATTCCTGCTACTTAACTGAAATTTTGTATCCTGTAATCAACATCTCTGCATTTCTGATTTTGGAATAGAAATCAAAGTGGGAGATAGAGATCAAGAAACAAACATTCACTTTATAGCCAAGTTTGCTCAAATACCCTTTTTGAGTTAAACAAGCAATAACTGAATTATAAAACATTCTAGGATTAGTTAACATTTTGAGGGCATAATATGTGAAAGCCACCGAGTATCTCATTCATCCTCACATAACTTCATGATATAGAGATTATAGAAGTTAAGTAACTTCTCCTGTGGTCAGACAGCCAACCGGTAGACAGCAGTCAGGATTCAAAGTCAGACTGCCTAACCCTCAGACCTCAGCCTTTAGCCTTTGCTGTATTACCTCTTAACCTCTGACATGGTTAGTTTTACATCCCTGCATACTGAAAGATGGACAATCACATAGCTCTTCTAGACTTTTCCATGTTCTTGCAGTTTGGGAATATGAATTAAAAACTTCACAACCATATATACCATATGATACACCAATTCTACATCTAGGAGTTTATCTTAAGGAAATACTTGGACAGATGTCCAAATGTCTAATTACAAGAATATATGTTACAGCATTGGAAGAAACCTAATCAACTGGAAATTTATAAGATAGATTTTGGTATATCCATTCAACGGAATGCTATGCACAGATAAAAATTGATTATGTTCATATACAAATATTAAATTAGCAAGGAAAACTTAAGTGAATAACTGGCTTTATTAAAGATCTATTGCCCATAATCCCAGTGCTTTGGGAGGCCAAGATGGGAGCTTTGCTTGAGTTTGAGATCAGTCTGGGCAATATAGAGAGACCCCATCCCTACAAAAAATTAAATAATTAGCATGGTGGTGAGCACCTGTAGTCCCAACTACACAGGAGGCTGAGGTGCGAGGATTGCTTGAGCCCAGGAGGCCAAGGCTGTGAGCTGTGAGCTATGATCTCACCACTGCACTCCAGCCTGGGTGACAAAAAGAGACACTATCTCAAAAAAAAAAGAAAAGAAAAAAAGAAAAAAAATCGTCCAAATACTAAAGTGTTTATGTAAAGCACACACATACACACAGAGTTTAATATGTATTCAGAGAAAAGAGTATGGAATGAAGTAGACCAAATATTAGTCATAATTTTTCTCTTAATAAAGGATTATGGGTGATTTTCATGTTATTATCTCAGCTGAGCTATCTTTTATAAAGAAATATTAAAATAGTGACAAATGTTGTTATCTCTTAAACGTTTTTATGTTTAATTATGTTTTAAAAACATGTAACGTAAAATTTACTATTTTAACCAGTTCTAAGTATACAATTTAGTAGTGTTAAGTATATTTACATTATTGTGTAAATGTTGTAACTTTTACAGAGGAGTAAAGACAGTTTTTCCTTTTAAAAATTCCATGCTCACTGTTTTGAAAATAATAATAACAATACACCTTACTTAGTGCTTCGAAAAGGCAATGTGACAGCCACAGGTGTTTGCCCAGCTGCAGGTGCCTCTGCAAAGCATGTCTGTCATTCCCTGAATAGCTAATATAAAGAAACAGTTCAGGTGGGCACTGGCCTTCTTGTAAAAGAAGAGTGAAATCTGTCTCCAGAAGAAACATGAACTGCAAACCTCCCTGATAGGGTGCCTTCTCTTTTCTAGATAATTGCTTATCAGCCCTATGGGAAGTCCGTGGATTGGTGGGCATTTGGAGTCCTGCTGTATGAAATGTTGGCTGGGCAGGTAATTGAATTTTAAGTGATCGATAAGAGAAGTCCTCCCTACCCCCATCCACATGGTTTCTTTAGGAGAATGCATGTTTGGTAACAGCTCATAAATTGGAACCTCTATGACTTTCCCGGCCTTGGGGTCATACAAGTCTGTGGTCATTTGAAAGCCTGGGTGTGTGGCTTCACTGTGGGCCCCAGGGAGGAGGGTCTGCCAGTTGAGGGGAGCTAGGGGGAGGGTTCAAGCAGGGATTCTTCTCCTCCCACCCTCCCCTGTCATACAGGCACCCTTTGAAGGGGAGGATGAAGATGAACTCTTCCAATCCATCATGGAACACAACGTAGCCTATCCCAAGTCTATGTCCAAGGAAGCTGTGGCCATCTGCAAAGGGGTAAGTGCATCTCTTAAAGCTGTGACCAGGACCACCACATAAAGGCATGTGGGCTGTACCTTGCCCAAGAACACCCCACCAGGGGGGAACACAGCCTGAACTCCACCCTTCACTCCATTTGCCAATATGAGAACCCTGATGTGGAGCTGCTACCTCCCGGAGGAGAGAGAGCTTTTTTTCTGATTTGCACAGAAGTGCTGTAGAGAGCTGCCTGCAGCTGCGTCTTGCTGCTGGCTGGGCTGCAGTCTCTGAACCAGCACAGGGGAATGCTTATTGAATGAATGAGGTAGAAAGCACAGAGATTTTGTCAAAGAGCTGGAAGTCATGGGAAAGGGCACAAGAGGTCTTTTGCACAACTCAGGCTATCTTGCCCTGCTCTGCTGTATGTGTTTAGTTAATACTAAGAGCGTGCAACTTTTGTTCTAAAAAATACCACGCCGTGTTGAGGTTAAGGAATTCTCTAGATAAGCAGACTGAAATTCAATGTACTCAAAATCCCACTGTCTCCTCTCCCCAGACACACACACAAATGGCTAAAAGGGCATGCACGCTTGGACATCTACGGTTTATGCACAGGGCACCTGTGAAGAAAGCAGGATGTGTGTTTATGGGGAAGGATTGTTTGTTTTGCATCTTGTGTTGGACCAGGGCATACTCACAGTGACTTCTGTGAGATCCTAAAGATCAGCGACCCTCACCTTTGGAGCCATCAGAATAACCCGAAGTGCCTTACCAGAATGCACATGCTTCTGCCTTACCCCAGAGATTAAGTCTGGGTATGAGTATTTTGGAAAAGTCTCCATTTGGCTTGCAGACCACTGCCTTTAAAAATACTGTCCAAATGAAGTGATTTTTCAACTCTGATGGAAGCCTGAAAGCAATAGAATTAGACGCCCAGAAAATATGTTCTACACATAATATACTAATAAAGGATTTGCTCTCCCTCCACCCAGTGGTACAGGTT
The DNA here is from genome assembly GCF_000001405.40 of Homo sapiens. Classification (NCBI taxonomy): domain Eukaryota; kingdom Metazoa; phylum Chordata; class Mammalia; order Primates; family Hominidae; genus Homo; species Homo sapiens. Next base: position 24,186,532 of record NC_000016.10, read on the forward strand.
AGAACATGGCCGTGCCTTAATCAGTGGGTTCCCACCTGTGTGTCTGAATAAACCAGGGCTGCCAGTCCTAGATCTGTGGGATGCTTGCAGACTTTTCATGCCCTACTTTGTTCTTCCTGACCCCAGCCAGATGCTGGATGCACTGTCTTGGGTGAAGGAAAGCTGGGAAACTCAGGCAGGCCAATCTGAGGCTTGGCCCAGTTTGGAATAGCTGGGCCAGCCTCTCAGCCTAAAAGCGCCTTGTCACACTGCCTAAATTCCCACTCTCAATGAATCACCTAAGGTTTGCACCTCAGCTGCATAGGCTAAGATGCATGTATCCCTGGGGAAACCACCTGTGAATTAGTCTCAATCCCGAACATCTAAAGTGAATTGCTTGAAAATATTTTCTTTGAGGGTGTGAGGCAGGGAGAAAGAAAGTGAAGAATAGAGAGGGGAGTCCCAGAGGTGCATTAGGAACCCAAGCAAAGCCCATAAAGAAAAAAAAGGCACACACGAAGGCCTCCACAGGCCCCCGTAGACAAGTTATTGAAGGGTGGGGGCGGGTAGAGAGAAGGTGGTACCTGGAGCTTTTAGTTTGTTTAATAATTACCAGCATATAAGGATCCAGAGATTTCTCAAAAACATTCAGCTTTCAGGTTTCTCTTGAAAAATCAGATCTTGCCACATTGGCCTGTCATTCTTACAAAGCACCAGTCAGCTGGATTGGAAACCATGGCCCTCTGTAGTTGGAGCTTGCCCTCTGTAATTCTCAGACGTTCTCATTTGGCCAATTCTCTCCAAGTTCAAATCCTGGTTCAGGCATTAATTGCCGCAGGACCTTGGGGAAGTTGTTTGACGGCATCTGCAGATTGGGGATAATAATAGCACTCCACATTGGGTTCTTTGATGACTAAACAGCTGAATACTGTAAATCACTTAGAATAGAGGCTGGCACTCTGCTCCAAGCCCCTTGGAAGTTATTATTACTATTACTAGTGCTGACGCTATTGTGTTATCTGCCAGGTTCCTCTTGGCATTTGAGTTTGCATCCCCTGGAATTGCAACTTTTAAAGTAGGGGATTTTGGAGATCAAGGGACCCTTTGCAAATCTTGACCCTTCTACTTTCTAGGCACAAGGTGTTTTTGTTTTGTTTTGTTTTGTTTTGTTTTGTTTTGTTTTGTTTTATCAATGTCTCGCTCTGTCGCCCAGGCTAGAGTGCCGTGGAGTGATCATGGCTCACTGCAGCCTTGATCTCCCAGGCTCAAGGGATCCTCCTGCCTCTGCCTCCCAAAGTGCTGGGATTACAGGCATGGGCCACTGCACCCAGCCTAGGTGCAAGATCTTAAGCCACTTCCTTTGCATCTCTGGGCTTCTGTTTATTTTAAAAAATGGAATAGTAGTACTCATTGAAAAGAGTTTTTGAGAGCATTAAATGAGATAACATAAGAGAAAGCTCCTTGCATGATGTGGGCACATAGTAGGTGTTTAATACATCCACAGGGTCCTCCCCTTCACACGCCCGCCCTGCCTGGACAGCTGGGGGTTCTAAATGGGTCATGGAGGAAAGAGCATTTTCCAGGTCAGCTGCCTTCAGCTCCTGCTCCAATTAGCAGTTTCCCTGGTAGAGCCGTTTTCTATTAATTCAGGACCCATAACCTTCATGATTAACTGGGGTGACTCTCTTACTATTGAGTTTGGGGACCATTATTAATTGAGTGGGCTGAGTCCAATGGGGCTCTTCCTTCAAGGAGGGTACTCCAAAAACGAGTGATGCTCAAGCAAACAGCCAAATGCTTCCTCTGGAACAGCGAGCCCCAGGGGATACGTCTGGGAGGTGATCAGAGATTGGAACAGTGATTAAATCCAGCTGTCTACATGGCTTCGGGCACATTAGAGCAGAGTGCGGGAACTGGGCAGAGACTCCGAATTAATGCTGGATGTTTTTGCAGTACCTTTTCTTTGCTTGGCATCCTCCTGCTTAGACAGAAATTCAGTTGAGCTTTTGAAAACAGTCACCTGTTTAATTGAAGCAGTGTCCTTTATATGTCCATTCCCTTAAAGGCCCGATTTTCTACTAAAAAAAAAAAATTAGTAAAACCTTACTCAGATGGCTATTCCCACTTTGAACAAACTTGAAGCAAACAGAAGCCCAAATAGACAGGACCTTAGGGTGAAAACCAGCAGACACTGAACAGCTGAGACTGAACATAAAGCTATAAGAGTCCTGAGCCAGGCAGAGCTGTTCAAAGCCTTGCCCTGCTCCTTAGCTGTTTGACCTTAGGCAGATGACTTTACTTCTCTGCACCCACATCCTTTACCTGGAAAATGGGGGATAATAGTTGCTGAGGCCTTAGAGTATTGTTGCAAAGTTTAAAGAGTAATGGGTAATGGCCGGGAAGCCTTTAGCACGGAGCCTGAACGCATATGATGTTGTCATACTCAGTACACGGAAGCCGTTATTGATGTTATTATCAGTGTGAACCAAAACCTCACTGCCCTTTCTTTCCTCCCATCCTAATCTTACACAAATGTCAAGCCTTGGCTCAATTTCCTCACCCTCCATAAACCTCTCCTGACAAAGCCAGGCCACAAAAATTCCTGAGAAAACCACGTGTGAAATGCACTCCCATTTTTCTTAAAAGCCCAAGTTTTAGAGCTAGGCAGAGGTGGAGTCTGCACCCAGCTCTTACTGACTCTACCACTTCCTCTCTGGAGTCCTTACTGTTCCTCAACTTCTCTGAGTGTTCATTGCCTTTTTATTCAAATGGGAAAAATAGTATACTCACCTCATTGGGTTATTATGATGATCAGGGAAGCTCATGCATGTAAATAAAGAAGTAGCAGCTCGGCGCGGTGGCTCTTGCCTGTAATCCCAGCACTTTGGGAGGCTGAGGCAGGCAGATCATGAGGTCAGGAGATCGAGACCATCCTGGCTAACATGGTGAAACCCCGTCTCTACTAAAAATACAAGAAAATTATTAGCTGGGCATGGTGGTGGGCGCCTGTAATCCCAGCTACTCGGGAGGCTGAGGCAGGAGAATGGCGTGAACCCGGGAGGTGGAGCTTGCAGTGACCCGAGATCGCGCCTCTGCACTCCAGCCTGGGTGACAGAGTGAGACTCCGTCTCAAAAAAAAAAAAAAAAAAAAAGAAGTAGCTAGCTTAGAATGTAAGTGCTCAGTTAATTTCCCCACCCTGGAGGATACACTTTATATGACAAGTACATGCTTGTGTGTGAGACCACAAATTATCTTGCGAGGGGGCAACAGGCTGAGTGACTGTCCAACAGTGTAGGAATGAATTTCTGGGTTCATTCCTTCCCCATCATCAGCAAGTCCTGGGCAGAAGATTCTGCCATCATGGGCTTCTCAATGTGATGTCAACTCTGGAAAGCTTTTGGACTTGTATGCTTCTTTCTTTTTTTTTAATTAATCACCAACTCTTCTGTCTTTACTCCCTGTGCATTTGCTCAAGTCTTGAGATCAGAGATATTTTCATGCTGCTTTGGACTCATTTACAAGAGGAAGCCTGTCTGGTTTCATCTTGGCGCATCTATTCATCTTGTTATTTAGCACTCAGAGACCCAAAGATGGAGGGTTTTGATAATTAAGTAATTTAAACGGAACACCAAAGAAACCTCAGCGGCTTTGTGTGTAATGTATGATACAAGGGAAATGAGCTGGGCTAGGTTTTGACTATTTAATGGGCTTTCAGAAAGTAATTACTTGAAACTTGGGCCCCTTTGACTAATACTTTTTCTTCTGTTTTGTCATTTTTGCAAGTGCTTTACTGAGAAATGCAAATGGTATCTGAATGAATGTAGCCTTTGCTTTTGTCAAACTCCAGTTTTCTTGTTGTGGGAGGAGGGAAGTTTGAAGATATTGAAACTGTCCTAATTAAATGCACTGGTAATTGCACAAAACTTATTCTTAAACCAAAATGGATAAATGGATCATGTGGCATTTATTTTTTTCTTTCTGTTTTTTTTTTTTTGGTTGTTTTTTTGGTTTTGTTTTTTTTTTTTGAGATGGAGTCTCTCTCTGTCGCCAGACTGTAGAGTGCAGTGGCGCGATCTCAGCTCACTGCAACCTCCGCTTCCCGGGTTCAACAATTCTCCTGCCTCAGCCTCCCAAGTAGCTGGGACTACAGGTGTGTGCCACCATACCCAGCTAATTTTTGTATTTTTAGTAGAGACAGGGTTTCACCATGTTGGCCAGGATGGTCTCAATCTCTTGACCTTGTGATTCGCCCGCCTAGGCCTCCCAAAGTGCTGGGATTACAGGTGTGAGCCACTGTGCCTGGCCCTCATGTGGCATTTCTAACTTGAAGTTCACGGCCACATTCAGGCTTCGTTTTGATTAACCATAACAGATGATTGGCAGTGGGTCCTATTATCAGGTCCTCTCCTGCAAATTCCTGGCTGGGATTTTTTGCTGGGATAAAAAGCAAAAAACAAAAATGAGTTGAGATTCTTCATTTGCGCTTTCTTTCCTAATGCATTGGAGTAATAATTTCTGAGTGTCTTACATTTCCTCTTCTGAAACTCAGCAAATTCAATGTTTTTCTTTCTCTCGAAGCTGATGACCAAACACCCAGGCAAACGTCTGGGTTGTGGACCTGAAGGCGAACGTGATATCAAAGAGCATGCATTTTTCCGGTATATTGATTGGGAGAAACTTGAACGCAAAGAGATCCAGCCCCCTTATAAGCCAAAAGCTGTAAGTAGCCCATTCTCTCTGACTGCCGGGTATTCACACACAAGGTATTCTTGCCTGTGCCTCATGTTTTCCAAATGCTCCCTGAGGGGTAGACGTCAATGTGTCTACTGGAACATGGGTGTATGTATTCACACATATGCACAAAATCACTGGTTACTAAGATGGACATTTTCCATTGGCCCAGCTTAGTCTCTATAAAGATGGAAACGACGATGCCTATTGAATTTTTGTTTCTTCGATTCAATTATTGTAACTGTCTTAGCTGACAACTTTCTGAGAATGGTTCTTGGGTGAGCAGAGTTCAGATCCATTTTTGGACTGTGATAAAGGATCTAATTTTGCCCTCATTCTTTCTCTTGGTTCAACTGTGTCATTTTTTCTTCATACTGACATTGAAAAGGTCATGTTGTTTATCTCAACAGTATTTAAATTTAATTCTGAAACATACACTATGTCTGAGTCAGTAAATAAGATGGCAGTTCAGCAGCCAGCTCCCACCCAAGGCAAAACAGAGTGAAGCAGAGACTGAAGTCCTCTTGAACTGAAGACCCCCTCCGGGAGGGTTTGGGTGTGGAGATGGCTTTGACATAAGTTTTATAATGCAAGAATAAAACTCTCACATTTCCCACAGTCCATGTACCAACAGGAAGGTTTTCTATCCCCAAAGACTCAGCAGGAAGTACTTGTCGGCATCAGGAAAGAAGAGTTTACACCTGAATTAATCAAACTGTTATTCTGCTGGGAGGATATTTCCTTGTGAAATTAAATAGAGGGCAGACTTGGTGACTCAATGATGGGTTGTAAAACTACTGACTGAGGCTGAAGAGTGAACATAAACACCATCATTGAAACCTAACGTTGTAAGGGTTTGAGTGTTAAGATGAAGAAGATAATAATGGTAGTTATTTTGATACTAGTATTGTTATTCATTTCTTGAGCACTTACGTGCTAGGCACGTAATGATAATAGTTTTGACATCAGAGGGTTGTTATGATGCATAAAGCACTTTGTACAAGCCTGGTACAGAGGAGGCACTCACAGAGAGCTGATCATGGTTTTCGTTAGCTGTGTCATACATTAATTAATGTCCCGGTGTAGAGTCTTTGAGGGGCAGAATCCTGCTGCTGCTATTCCTTAAGATAACATCTGTGTGTACATTGGGGTCGAAGAGGGCCCCACATGTCATGAGCAGCATCACAGCTTTTATGGGACCATTTGGAAAAAGATGAAAAGGTAACCTGGAAAGGAAGAGTGAGCTCTTTGTTCAGGAAACAGGGAACTCAGAGGTGAGATGCATAACTCATATGGTTTTTGTGGGGTTATTTATGAGATCTTGAAATGTGGACCTCCCTTTCCTCTCTTGGCCAGATGCACACGCTCCCATCCCCACCAGCATAGAACCCAGCGGACATCTGGGGGTCATGTTATAGCTGTAGTGCAGTGGTTTGCAAAGTGTGCTGTCTATCAGTATGCAGTATCAGTATGCAGTGTCAGAGCCAGCGGTATTGACATCTCCTGAGCACTTTAGGAATGAAGTTCTTGGTCTCCACCCCAGACCTCCTGAATCAGACACTCTAGGTGTGGGGCCCAGTGTTCTGTGTTTAATAGGCTCTCCAGGTGACTTGATGAGCTCTCAAGGTTGAGAATCACTGCTGTGGAGTTTGGCATTAGGAGCTCAGCCAGGGAAGCTAGGCAGAGACCAGAGGGAGGTAGCATGGAGAATCATCTCCTTTTTTTTCTTTTTTTAAAGACAGGGTCTTCTTCTGTTACCCAGGTTGGAGTGCAGTAGCGCGATCATAGCTTACTGCAACCTCGACCTCCAGGGCTCATGCGATGCTCTCACCTCAGCCTCCTGAGTAGCTGGGACTACAGGAGTGTACCACCATGTCTGCCTAATTTTTTATTTTTATTTTTAAATAAATGGGGTCTTGGCCGGGTGCGGTGCCTCACGCCTATAATCTCAGCACTTTGGGAAGCCGAGGTGGGTGGATCACCTGAGCTCAGGAGTTCGAGATCAGCCTGGCCAACGTGGTAAAACCCCATCTCTACTAAAAAAGTACAAAAAATAGCTAGGTGTGATGGTGGGTGCCTATAATCCCAGCTATTTGTGAGGCTGAGGCAGGAGAATCACTTGAACCGAGGAGGTGGAGGTTGCAGTGAGCTGAGATTGCGCCACTGCACTCCAGCCTGGGCGACAGAGTGAGACTCCATCTCAAATAAATAAATAAATAAATAAATAAATAAATAAATAAATAAATAAATAAATAAATGTGGTCTTGCCATGTTGCCCAGGCTAGTCTCAAATTCCTGGGCTCAAGTGATCCTCCAAAAACCTCAGCCTCCCAAAGTACTAGGATTACAGGTGTGAGCCACTGCACCCAGCCAAGAGAATCATCTCTTTAAGTGGAAGACACTGGTCCTCCTTCTAGTCAGGGCATGGGGTGATGGCTTCCAGAAGAGGTCACAGACTCAGATGCCTACAGAGGCCAAGCAGATAATATGAATGAGGGAAGAGGGCTGGTGAGATAGAAGAGAAAGTGTTGGAGATCGATGCAAGCCAGAGAGCAGGTGATCTACCTAACAGGCTCAGCTGATGTTCACCTCCCGATGGCCTGCCCCGCAGGATGCAGCCTCCTCAGGGCTGCTCCATCTTCATGGTATTTGGGGCTAGAACTCGGTGCTGTGGGATGCAGCAGACCTGTGAGTTGATTGACAGATCCTGTTACAGTCAGTGTAGTATGTAGGCCCTGTGTAGTAAGGGCTTAGTGAAAGGGTGTATAAAGTTAAGATGTTTATATAAAATCTCACAATTTTGGCTGGGTATAGTGGCTCACACCCGTAATCCCAGCACTTTGGGAGGCTGAGCCGGGCAGATCACCTGAGGTCAGGAGTTCGAGACCAGCCTGGCCAACATAGTGAAACCCCATCTGTACTAAAAATACAAAAATTAGCTAGATGCGATGGCATGCACCTGTAGTCCCAACTACTTGGGAGGCTGAGGATAGAGAATCGCTTGAACCTGGAGGCAGAGGTTGCAGTGAGCTGAGATTGTGCCATTGCACTCTAGCCTGGGTGACAGAGCAAGACTCCGTCTCAAAAACAAACAAACAAACAAAAAAACAAAAAACAACAAAAAAAAAACCTCACAATTTCTTTTATATATCAGAACAAATTTTTGAAAATTAAACACAGTTTGGGGCAAATAAAACACACCCACACCCATATGTATCCCATGCATTGTTGGTTTATAGCCTCAGGGGTAGTGATGGTTCAAAGTCAGGTTGCTATTTAGCCAGCATCTGTTAGCAATGGTTATTTACAACCAGAGTCCATTTTGACCGGTTAAATATTTTGAATAGCCCTGCTAAGCAGTAATGAATATAAGAGGTCTAGCCTCGTGCCTGGCTCATAGAAAGCACTCAGGAAAAGGTAGCTGTTATTATCATTGATAATATAAAAAGATTACAATACTTAGTCATTATCAACGAGATCCCTCAACTGTTCTGCATTTGATATGATTTCCCACTGACCTGTGTCTTGAATTCCTCCATGTGGGTTTAACAATGACTTTCAAAGTACAGTGATCAGGCTGTGCTACATACTTCAAAGTGTTCTGGTACCAGCTCTAAAGGAGCAGGTGCTACCTTCAGTCTCCTTAGACTGAATTAGAAATAATAATAAATGATACATTATCCAGGTACAGTGGCTCATGCCTGTAATCCCCACACTTTGGAAGGCTGAGGCAGGCAAATTGCTTGAGCCCAGGAATTTGAGACCAGTCTGGGCAACATGGCAAAACCCCGTCTCTACAAAAAATACAAACGTTGGTGGGCGTGATAGCATCCACCTGTAGTCCCAGCTACTCAGGAGGCTGAGGTGGGAGGATCTTGATCCTGGGAGGTTGAGGCTGCAGTGAGCCATGATCATGCCACTGCACTCTAGCCTGGGCAACAGAGCAAGACCCTGTCTCAGAAAAAAAAAAAAAGATACATCACCTACCCATTTGATCCAGCCTGCCTGTATGCCTTTTACATTGCAAATGCATTGCATGAGAGCCCTCCTCCCCCCAATCCCAGGATTTTATATTTCTCCTTCCTCACCCCTTCTTAACTGTCTGCCACTTCCAAAAGGCCCATGGTGAGCGTGTGCAGAGTTCCATGTGCCTTGTGGGATGTGAAAAGGCATGCATGTATCTGTCAGCGTTTCTGATTCATGCATGCTATTAAATAGAGTGTGGTGAGAGAAAAAACAAGGAACAATAACAGAGGATTATGTTCAAACATCAGTGAAGGGTGCTATTATTGGAGGTTCATTAAAATAACTTTAAATGGGTTTTTCTAAGTTGTTCTCAATGCCATCTTTTATTGTGGCAAGGAGCTGTTCACAGAGCATTGTTTGAAACTGTATTGAAATACACTAGATTTGGTGTATTGTTGCAGGGAACAAGAGTCATTTCTTTTTTAATGTTCGCCTGGTTGTGTGTTGCTTTTGCTTTAAAACACCCAAATGGCTCTCTGTTGCCCCAGTCTCGTATCTATTGCTCCTTGGCATATATGGCTTTTGAGGTCTTCCAGTGCTAGATCTCTGTCCTCTTCCTAGCTTTAGCTCCTGACTCCAAGAACAGCATTCCTGGGCTTCTTTCAGTCCCTCAAACATGCAGTGCCTTGTTTTCCCTTGCCTGCTTCATCTGTGCAGAGCCATGCACCTGGGATGCCCGAAGCCCTTTCCTATGCTCTCACCAGCCCCCTGATCCCCACCGTGCCTTGCCTTTTCCCCCTCATCAAATCAGTAGAACATCAACCGCTCAGGGAGGCTCTTGTTGATTCCTGAGTAGATATCTGCTACTGTCCCATCAAGAAATTCATCACAGGCTGTAATAACATGTTCAATCTCATGCCTGTCTTTTTGACTACTTTAAGATTGTGACTTTCTCTGTGTCAAATCCCAGTGCCTAGCATAGGGTTTAGCACATTATAGGTGCTCAGGAATTCTTACTGAATGAGTGAATGGCCATAGAACAAGATGCTGTAACACAGTGTGCTGTGGAACATAAAGGAGTCTTTTGGGATATATATTAGAGTGCATGGTGTTTTTCTTATGTACAGCAGGGTATCGCAAATAAATTGGTTGTTGTGTAAGTTACTACCCTATTTATAAAGGACTATAATTTGGCTGCTGATTTTGCAAACTGTCATGGCATCGTGTGGTTTTGCAGTGTGTGCTGGGAGAGGGTGCTGGTGAAGGATCTGAAGAGGCAATGCATTGAATCACAGGACTTTGGGTAGAGAGATCTGCAGCTTCCTGCAGCCTAACCTTGCACAGTCCAATCCAGTGTTACAGATGCCATGATGTAGCCCTGCAGAGTGTCTTAAATTTTAATGTGCATGCACGAGTCACCTGGGTATCTGGCTAAAATTCTTACTCAGCCAGTCTGCGGTGGGGTTTCAGATTCTGCATTTCTCACAAGCTCCCAGGGGATAGGACACTGTGGGGCCAGGGACTCCACCTTTATGTAGCAGGGGCTAGAACTCAGTGCTGCAGGGTGCAGCAGGCCTGTGAGTTGATTGGCAGAACCTGTTGTAGCAGTGCAGTAGGTAGACCCTGTGTAGTAAGGACTGTAGTGAAGGGGTATATACAGTTAAGTATAGAATGTTCTGGTGAAGTTATTGTTCAGGGCACACAGCAGGCTGTTGCTGGCCAGCATGTGGTAGGAGGAAGGTGGTGGTTTGGGTACTAAAGGGCAGACTCTGTCGCTGAGTGCATGATGGAGCAGTGGCTTGGGAAGAAGCGTGTGCTGGTTCTGTCCTCTGGTGGGGATGTTGTCAGATATTGAGTTATCCATTCAGTGGGTGATGAGGTTAGGTAATGTTCTAGGTGATGGAAACATAGCACTAAAAATAATTAACATCCCTGCCTTCATGGAGCTTATATTCTAGGGAGAGTGGGCAAAATAATAAACATAGAAACAAGTAAAATATACGATGTGTCAGAAGTTGATAAACATTATGCAGGAAGCTGAAGTAGGGATGGAGATTGGAAGAGCCAGGTCAGGGAGATGTCCTTATGATAGAGTAGGTGGAGAAAATGACGTTTCAGCAAATACAGGAAGAAGATGAGGGAGGTGGGAGCCATGTATATATCTGGGTGAGGGGGGAGAGTGATTTGGTTGGTAGTAGCAGATGCAAAGGCCCTGAGGCAGGAGCTTGCCTGGCATGGTCAAGGGAGAGCAAGGAGTGCAGGTGCCTGAGCCAAGGGGTTGAGGGAGAAAGGAAAAGGGGGTGTGAGATCAGAGAGGCCAAAGGAAAGCACAGGCCACTGAAGGATCTTTGGCTTTTACACCAACTCATGAGCCAAGAAATAACATGTTCTGACTTTGGGTTTTTAAAGGATCCCTCTGAGTGCTGCAGGGACAAGGGTGAAATCAGGGAGACTGGTTGAGACTCTTGCCATAATCCAGGCAAAAGGTGATAGGAGCTTGGGCAGGTTGGGGCTGTTTGAGAACCCCCAAGTTGGCATCCTCAGGTCCTCCCCAGTTCCTGGCATCTTGTAGGCACTCAGTCATTGTCTCATGGAGACATGAAGGCGCTGATGAACATGAGTCCCTGCAGACTGCCCACATGATTGCTCCTCAAGTATAAAACATGGTAGCCAAGAGTTTGGTCCCAGTAGCAATAGGATGAATGAATGAAATAGATGGTCAGGAAAGCTTCTGTGATACAGAGCGCTGGCTTGCAGGGCATAGAGCAGGAGGACATGGTTGTGCTCTTGGTTGGACTTCCTCCTGTCCATCCTGTTGCAAAGAATGTAGTGATATCGGAGGGTGCAGTGGCTGAGGGCTGTACCCAGGGAGTTGCTTTGTGTCTGGGTGATCCAGCTCAGAATTTTGCTGACTTGTAGCAAAAGGTGCATTGAGCCTTTGGCATGGATGAGCATATTTTATTGCAGAAGTGGTAGTACATGGAGCTATAATGTCACAGGACAAGATATGCTAGGTAATATGTTCACATTGAAATGCCTAATGGAGAGTTTGGTGGCATTCATGTATTGTCACGAATTGGCTTAATGAAGTCCTGTCACTCTTCCTCTGAAAGGCTCCCATAGTGTCCATAACACCTAATGAAGGGCTTACTGTGAAAACTGGGTAGGGGGATGAGCCCAGGGTACAAGGATTCAGCCGCCTCAGAAGACAACCCAGGTAGCAGCATAGAAGCAGTGAGGTGAAGAGGAAGAGAAAGCTAAGTAGGCTTCATTAGAGTCCTTGGAGTCTTTTCTGCTTTTTATTTATTTGTTTTTTCATTGTTTTTAATTAATTGCCCAGGCTGGTGTCAAAATCCTGGCCTCAAGTGATCCTCCCACCTCTGCCTCTGAAAGTGCTGGGGGTTACAGGCGTGAGCCACTGTGCCTGGCACCTGTGGAGTCTTAAGCGCTAAAGTGTGTGTACAATGATCTGCCCAGTAGTAAACATGGCTCTAGTATTCTTTTAAAATATTATCAATCAGATCATCAATTGTTCTAAAATATGGTCAACCAGATTGTCAAGTGTTCTAAAATATGATGCATCTGATCGTCAATGCTCTCTGGGCAGGGCTTGAGGAGTACAACCTGATGAGAAGCAGACGTTAAGATCCCCTTTCCTCCACTCCTGACATTGGAGCAACCATCCAGTCCTGTCTAGACATCACTACAATGCTCATTCCCTCCTTCCTTCCATTCTAGCCTGTGTCAGGCCTCACTAACTCCAAACCCACTTGTATGACAGACTGATTCCAATCATTTCTGCTCTTGTTACCGATTCTTATCTGCACTTTACTTAAAGCCCCATAATTTTGAGGCATCTGGACAGTAGGAAAGGCTGAAAACCTGGCAAGCTTTTATAGCTTGCAAAGGTCCTTGTCCTATGCTCTGTTAGTATCATTTCCAAAATACTACTTGGGCTATCTGATCACATCCCATTGCCCGTATCCTCTGAGAGTCTAAATGCTGAACTGCTTCAGAAACTAAATCATACTCACAGGACTTGGTTTCTCAGCAATTTTATCATCTGAAAACATTGTTTATGTAGCTGAGGTCAAAAGCTTCAAGTACTGCTTTAATGAGCTGCGAATCTGTTCATGTGACATTCTCTTCCAAACCCAATTGCCCTTTACACTGTATGAGTAAGTGCCTCTGTGTGTGTGTGTCTGAATGTGTGTGTTTGATGTGCTGACATTTCTGAATTGAATCCAGAAAGTGTAACCTTTGTATGTTTGCTGTTAAAACTCCAAATTCAAGCCTTAAGAAAAGGATCTAACACTTACTCAATGTGATTTATTTAAGCACAGAACCTAACTCCCCCAAAGTATCAAATACTCAAGAGAACAATTCATTTTTGAAAATTGTGATTTAAAATAATTCTCATAAAACCTTTACTGTTCAAATATATTAGAAAATATATTGCATTTTTGTCTGCATCAGGCACTGTTTTAACTGCCTTCCATGAATTGCCTCATTTAATTCTCTCAACCCTGTAAGGTAGGGTTATCACCACAGTATAGATGAGGAACTAGAGCTTGGAAAAGTTAAGGCATTTGCCCAAGGTCCAGCAACTAGAAAGCAGAGGAGCCAGGACTTGATCCCTGGACTGTACACTGCACAAGACCCTTGTAAAGATTATTAGAAGCACTTGGAGCCCCTGGTAAGGTTTGTGATTGTGCTACCAGGAGAGTCATGATAACACCATCGAATGGTGTCTGTTACATAATAGAAAAAGACTGAGTATTCTTACAATTCAAATGATTTAAATTTATTTTAAAATATTGCAACAAATAAGTAGCATCTTCACAGCTTTTATAATTCGTTGTCAGGATTTTAAAAGATGCAAATCTTATTTGTTCCTTAGGGCTTTGATTTTGAGGCTGACAAAGACGGCATGCATTGACTAACCTCTGAAAGAAGGGCATGGCAGCATTGAAATGAGGCAGCCGAGACAGGCTCATTAAGGAGTAGAGGTTTCCCTGCTCATTTCTGGTTGTTCTTTTGGGGTATCCACTGTGTGGAGTTTGCAGAGATCTTAATAAAAATATCAACCTACATTTATATACTGACAAACAAATAGCCAAGAGCCATTTAGGACACACAGCTTGGAGTCTGTTTATCTCTCTCCACCTATCTACACACCCATGGAGAACCCATTTAAACTTCAGATCAAACCAGGCTCCCTTTAGATGGTTGGAATTGTCAGGTTCCTGAGCCAGGTGAAGTTCCTAAATCAGTTTCTGTCTTAGTCCATGTTGTGTTGCTATGACTGAATACCACAGACTAGATAATTTATAAAGAAAAGAAATTTATTTCTTACAGTTCTGGAGGCTGGGAAGTCCAAGGGTGAGGGGCTTGCATCTGGTGAGAGACTTCTTGCTGTGTCATCCCATGGCAGAAGGTGAAGGGCAAGAGAGAGTATGCGTGCATGTGTGTGCATATATATGCATATGCATACATGTGTGTGCACATGCAGGGGAAAGATACGGAGCCAAACTCATCCCTTTTATTAGGATCCCACTACCAAGATAATGTTGTTAAGTTCTCATGAGGTGCCACCTCTCAACACTGTTGCATTGGAGATTCAGTTTCTAACACATGAACTTTGGCGGGGCAAGTCAACCATAGAACCTACCAGATACATGACTTTGAGTCATGTACTATTATATTATTATTTATTATTATTATTGTTATTTTGATACTGGTCCATGGCCCAGGGATTGGGGATCCCTGCCCTAAATCGTGAGGAAGATTGAGGCCCATGGGTGCCACTGGTTGGTAGCCGTCAGCTTCTTACCACCTACCGGCACCTCCATAGTCATCTTGACCTCCTTGCCCAGCTTCCATCTCTGTCTTAGCAAATATGTTTTCCCTCCCCCAACTCATGTGAGACTTACCCTCACTCCTGCTCTGGACTCCAGCCTCTTGATCCTTCATGCTTATCTCCCCTGTTTAGTCTGTCTACAGCTTCTCTCTGTATCAACAAAACTCCTATGGTTTCAAATAGGAATCTGATTTAAACTGACTTTTAAGCAAAAAATAATGATAGTTAGTATTCAGATGTAGATGGATCATCTACATCTGGTCCCAAACAATGCCAGCAGGGAAACATTTATCTATATCCCTTAGGATTACTTTCCCCACTGTGTTGACTTCATTCTTCATTCTCAGAAGGCTTTCTTGGGCACATAGCAACTCCCAATTTATGTCCCATTATCTCTGCAACTTCTACCAAAGAAAAGGGCTTCCTTTTTATAAAATCCCAGCAGCCTAGGACTCAATCTTTTTGGAAGATTATTGGGTCATATGCCCATCTCTAAGGGAATTGCTCACTGCACCAGGGGGATGGAATGTGCTGATTGACCGGGCCTGGGTCACCAGCCCCTCTTAGCCAGAGAGCTGGATCTAATCCAGACATTTTGAAAAAAGAGAAGGAATGTCCTATCTAAATCAGACATTTTGAAAGAAGAGAAGGAATATCTCCTTTAAGAAAAAAAAGCCACTGTCATGGCCGGGTGTGGTGGCTCACGCCTATAATCCCAGCACTTTGGGAGGCTGAGGCGGGTGGATCATGAGGTCAGGAGATCGAGACCATCTTGGCTAACACGGTGAAACCCCATCTCCACTAAAAAATACAAAAAATTAGCTGGGCGCGGTGGCGGGCACCTGTAGTCCCAGCTACTCGGGAGGCTGAGGCAGGAGAATGGCGTGAACCCAGGAGGCGGAGCTTGCAGTGAGCTGAGATAGCGCCACTGCAGTCCAGCCTGGGCAAAAGAGCGAGACTCCGTCTCAAAAAAAAAAAAAAAGAAAAAAAGAAAAATAAAGCCACTGTCACTAGAAGAAAAGACAATGCCTGCTGGCTGGGCAAAAACAGCAGCTGTCCTTTCTGACTCTATCCTGGCCTTCTCCTTTGTGCATAAACCTGCTATGTCTTTTTCATGTTAAAAATCCCCTACCTCAAACCTGGGAATCCTCCTTACTACTACTCTTACTACTGCTATGATTACTACCCTACCTTACTTTGCATACAAACACACTTTTGAAAGAGTTGCCAGTTCCTGCTATTTCCACTTGATGACAATTTATTGTTTCCTCAGTTTGGTGCAATCTGGCTTCTGCTCCCGCCATCCTATTGATATTTTTCTCATTGAGTCATCAATGACCTGAAAACTGCCTCTTCTCATAAGCTTGTCTCATCTTTCTTGACCTCACCATATTATTAGGTGCTCTAATCCTTTCTCCTTTAAAAAAATGTGAAAAAATAAAATATTCAAGCAGCATCAGAAGCTACAAAGTGAAATTAAGATTCCCCTCACCCATGGCTCCTAGCTAGGCTTCCTGGTTCTCCTTCCCAGAGACACCCATTGCAACCAGGTTCTTGTGTGACCTTCTAGAGAAGATGTGTTCAGGCCCAGAAATAGTCTACATCACACACAAGGATGTTAGCATGCTGTGTACAATTTCTGTATCTTGCATTATTCCCCTCTGTCTTGGAGATTGTTTCTTATCTGCTTATCTAACTCTACATCACCCTTTGAATAACTTCCTAGTTTCCTATATAAGTGAGTTTATCTGTAGGAAAAGTTCAGAGTGCCTTCTTTCTTTTTAAGCCCCTCTTCTCCTTCATTTTTATGACATTGTGTGTCTGTCTTAGTCTGTTTTGTGCTGCTATAAGAATACCTGAAACTGGGGCCTGGTGCAGTGGCTCATGCCTGTAATTCCAGCACTTTGGGAGGTTAACATGGGCAGATCACTTGAGCTTGAGCCCAGGAGTTTGAGACCAGCTTGGGGAACATGGCAAAATCTGTCTTTACACACACAAAAATTACAAAAATCAACCAGGTGGGGTGGCACATGCCTGTAGTCCCAGCTACTTGGGTGACTAAGGCAGGATTGCTTGAGCCTGGGAGGTCAAGGCTGCAGTGTCGTGGTCACAGCTTGCTGCAGACTCGACCTCCCAGGCTTAAGCAATCCTCCTGCTCGAGTGACAGAGTGAGACCCTGTCTCAAAAAAAAAAAAGTGGATAACTTACAATGAAAAGAAATTTATTTGGCTCATGGTTCTGGAGGGTGGGAAGTACAAGATCAGGGGCTGTATCTGGGGAGGACCTTCTTGCTGCATAGTAACCTGATAGAAGGCATCACATGGCAAGAGAACACATGAGGGAGGGTAACTTACTTTTTAAATAAATTCACTCCCACAATAATAACATCAATCCAGTCACCTCCAAAAGTTCCCACCTCTCAACACTGTTGCATTGGGGATTAAGTGTCCAGCACAAGAACTTTGGGAGAACACATTCAAACCATATCACCACATTTGCTGATGTTCTTCCTACCTTCACAGCCACTCCCAATAGAAATTCCAACTCCACAAAGACTTCCAGTGACAGTTGAATTTGGAGGGTTGAGACCAGCTCATGACCCAGAAAGGAAAACAGAAAGCTTACTTTTTGTTTTGTTACAAGTGCAGTCTCTTAAAAATAACCACAAAATGCCCCCCCAAATGGCATATGGAAAACAGCACAGAGATGGTGTGTTAATCTACCTGAAATGTCTTTCTAAGGAAGTGAGGCTTGGATGGGAACGGAAATGCATCCCTTTTTCTTCCCAGGGTACACGTCTTTTTCTCACTTCCTCTAACTGGGAGCCCCAGGGCCTGGCTTTGTCTTGTAGCTTCCTGCCGTGATGCACCAGGCTAAGTGGGAAGGTTTCTGTTCTATGTCTAAAGTAGCACTGGCAGGTCCTCATTCTGCTTGTAATTGGGATGGGAATATGGGTAGGAATTTAGGGTTTGGCAGAGCGTACAGGACCTCTTTCAAGCCAGAGCACAGCCCTGTCAGACTTACTCACTGGACATGAATGGGTCAGTCAGCCCTCAGCAGTAACCACCAGCTACCATGTTAAGTATTTGATGTGAATTTTATCAAGTCATTCTCGCCACACCCTACAAGAAACTTGAGCTTAGGGGACTTAGCTAACTTGCTTGAAGGTTGTATAGCTGGGAATTGTTGGAGCCAGGATTGGTACCCAGGTTAGCTTAACTTTTAAGTCCGTGCCACACAATCAGATACATAGTATGAGGCAATGGGATGTAATGGAAAGCCCATGGGCTTTGGAATTGAACAGATGGGCTCTGGATCTTGGCTCTCCTACTTGACCCTATATGACCCTGAACAAACTGTTAACTCTTAAAATTATCTGTTAAGTAGAGATAATCCTTTTCCTGCCTATCTCACAGCCTTGTGGGAATCAAAGCTATAAAAAGATAGGCAAATAGAAGGGATAATTACTATTTGAGGGTGAGTTTACTTGAAGCCAACAATGTGGGTTTAGGATGAATGGTGAAGAATAGATAAGAAAAAAAATGATATTCTGTTGACATGGGAAGATGTTTAGAGTGTATTTCATCTAGTTTCTTTTAAAAAGCAAGCAAAAGAACAGAGTCATGATTCCACCTTTGTCTAAAAACTAAAAAACATCCATTCATCTATTCATCCAGCCATCTAGGATACAAACCAAGATGTTAACATAATACAGAGATTTGGGGTGGCGGGATTAAGAAGGATTCTTTTGTGTGTTTTAAAATTTTTTATGGCCAGGCACAGAGGCTCATGCCTGTAATCCTAGCACTTTGGGAGGCCAAGGCGTGCAGATCACGAGGTCAGGAGTTCGAGACCAGCCTAGCCAACATAGTGAAACCCCGTCTCTACTAAAAATACAAAAATTAGCTGGGCATGGTGATGGGTGCCTGTAGTCCCAGCTACTTGGGAGGCTGAGGCAGGAGAATCGCTTGAACCCGGGAGGTGGAGGTTGCAGTGAGCCGAGATCGTGCCACTGCACACCAGCCTGGGCGACAAAGTGAGACTTCATCTCAAAAAAAAAATTATTATTATAATTCCTTTTTTTTTTTTTTTTTTTTTTAGAGACAGGGTCTTACTCTGTTACCCAGGCTGAAGTGAAGTGGAACAGTCATAGCTCACTGCAGCCTCCAGTTCCTGGGCTCAAGGGATTCCCCGTGCCTCAGCCTCTTGAACAGCTGGGACCACAGGCATGCACCACCATGCCTGGCCAATTTTTAAAAAATTCTTTGTAGAGACAGGTTCTCTCTATGTTGCCCAGGCTGGTCTCAAACTCCTGATCTCAAGTGATCCTTCCACCTGGGCCTCCCAAAGTGCTGGTATTATAGGCATGGCACCACCATGCCTGGCATCTTGGTGCTTTTTAATAGCTTGTTTGTTTCTGCGATAAATGTAGGAGACTGATAGAAGAGTCTGGATCTCTTGTCAAATCTAGGATCAAATCGTGGTCAGATACTTAAACTAAACCCATTTTCTCATTGCACAGCAAGGACTTCATAGAGCTTTTGGGGGGATTAAAGGAGGTAAAGCTTGCAAAACACTTAACACAGTATCTGGCTCATAGTTAGTGCTTAACATACACTATTATTTGTCCATTTGATTTTTTTTCATCCCTGGGTTCTAGAAACGCAGTGGTGAATAAAACAGATGTGATTTTGCTCTCATGTGGCTTACAGTCTAGATGAGAACATAGACAATCAACAGAGAATGAACATGTATTAATAATTATAGACTGAGATATACCAGATTTTATTTCTGTTAAAGAAATGAACAGGATATCTTGACAGAGAATAACAGGAGGGAAGAATGAGAATCCTCTTTATTTGAAGGTGGTCTGGAACAGCTTCTCTGACAGGGTGCCATTTAAACTGAGATCTGGAGGAAATCAAAACACTGGATGTTATTTTTTAATGAAAATTAAGAAAAGCAAGAGCAAAACAAAACAGACTTAGTATCAAACACAAAAGACCCCTCTCCTACTGACTTCCTCCCTAAATAAACATAAGAGATAAAAGATCCCTGATTGTAAGGGACCTTCATTATTAGCAGAAAAAGGAGACTTAAATCTCTCTTTTTTTCTGCCAAAACCCAGACCACAAATGACTTTTTAAAATGATCAAATATGTATGCAGCTTTGAGCATCTGATTCTCCCTGGAGTGGGTCCCTCCTGTATTCGGCTGTGGGAAACTGGAAGGCATAGGAACGACCCTGCATTTCACTGGATGTGCACATGTGAAAAAGAAAGATGCGCTTGTCTTTTTGCCTAGGCTATGTAGCTTGGATGTCTTTTCATCGTGACCTTCTGGTCTTGTTAACCTGAAGGTGTCCTGGTGTCTTGATGGAGGCTGGGCAGGTAGCTCCCCTGAGCCACTAGCCTCATGTTATCAAAGTCGGCTAGGCAACAGACAGCAGGGAGGAGCCTTATCCTCTCCTCCACCATCTTACCTTGTCCATGCCCTCTTTTTACCTCCATTTCTTCTCCAGGCTCTTTCCTTTCCTCCTCCAAAGAAGCAATGTCTCTCTTGCAGGTCCCACTCAAGTGAGATGTCACTCCCTCCAGACAGAGTTCCTGGCCCTTCTTGGGTTCCTTTCCTCTGTGCTCAATGGCAGCACCTGTCCCATGGTCCCATGCAGTGGCCTGTGTGTGCATCTGTGTCCTCTGCTAGATCTTAAGCTCAACGGGGACAAGAACAGGTACCCTCTTATGTATCGCCAGAGTCCAGCATGCTGCTCGGCAGAGGATCTACAACAGCCAAATATTAGCCTTCCTTATTATCCCTTAGCACCAAAATACACGTCAAAGCAGCCACTTGTTTTAGAGTTTTTTTGCTTCATTTTGTTTTGAGACAGGGTCTCACTCTGTCACCCAGGCTGAAGTGCAGAGGCACGATCATAGCTTGCTGCAGTCTAAACCTCCTGGGCTCAAGTAATCCTCCAACTTCAGCCTTCCAAGTAGCTGGGACTACAGGCATGTGGCGTCATGCCCTGAGAAGTTTTAAATTTTTGTAGAGACAGGGTCTTGCTATGTTGCCCAGGCTGGTCTCACACTCCTAGCCTCAAGCGATCCTCCTGCTGCCTTAGAGTGTTTTACTAAGATGAAGCATGTTAAAGTAGCATCAGGCTAACCTTAACAATTTACCCAAATACTCCCATTCTCTTTATTTCTATTTTTCAATTTCTTCCATGATAATTGCTGTCTCATTTAAAATAGCTTTCACAGCTTCTTTTCTTATTACAAAATAATAATAACAATACCTGATTGTTATGTAAATTTTTAAAATATAATCAAGCATAAAGGGGAAAAGGAAAAAATTAAAACCATCTGTAATTCTTCGAATCTCCATAAGCCTGTGTATAAAATGTGTACAGATATTACGTATACATTTGTGTATATAATTTATAGAATGGGAAGATATTGTACACACTGTTAGTAATTATATAACTATGTCATTTAATATTCTTCTACATCTTCTTTTAATTTTTAAGAATGTTTTGCATGGTAATACATCAAATAGATGTATCATTATTTATTTAACTGTTTTCCCTATTGGCCCATAGTAGATTCCCAATTTTTCTTTCCTCTGACGATTCTTTGATGAACACCCTGTATTTTGATGGGGTAAATCCAGGAGTATAGAGGACAGGTCAGGGAAAACCTCGTGGAGGAAGTGACACTGCTCTGGAGACAGAAAGGATGCACAGGAGATAGCTGGATGAGTGGAGAAGGAGTGGAAGGCAAGTGTTCCTGGCAGAGGAGGCAGCCTGTGCAAGGGCCTGGAGTCACCTCCAAGAGTTCATGAGTGTTCTAGGAACTGGAAATACTTCAGTATGGCTGGAGGGTGTCTCAGGGGGTGGGGGACACAGGCAGGGAAGGGGCCATTGACCAAGTGTCCAGGAACAGGTCCTAAATGGCCCCTTAAGCCATGCTAAGGAGTGTGGGCTTTGGGCAATGGGGAGCTATTGCAGATAAGAGCAGGGAAATGGCATACTCCAGTCAGCGTCTTTAAAAGATCCCTTTAGCTGGCCATGGTGGTGTGCAGCTGTGGTCCCAAGCTACTCACAAGGCCAAGGCAAGAGGATCCCTTGAGCCTTGGAATTCAAGGTGGCAGTGAGCTATGATCACGCCACTGCACCCCAACCTGGGTAAGAGAGCAAGACCTTGTCTCAAAAAACAAAACAAAACAAAACAAAAAAGAGATCCCTGTGGCAGTGGTGACCAAGCCAACTCCACATTCAACAGCAAGACTCTGTTATTAATTCAATGAAACAGAAATTAAAAGAGAAGAGAAAAAGAAAAAGAGCTTACGTGTAACAGGTCACAGATAAGCTTTTCAAACTGTCTAGATTCTTAAATTCAGGAGCGTAATTCAACAAATCAACCTTCTTACTCCTCTCCTTAATCCTGAAAGAGGTGCTTGTGGTTTAAATAACCCAGTTGGTTTCTGGCCCCCATTCCTGTTCCAGGAGCCCCATTGATGTACCCTGATGACAAGGGAGTCGGATTTTCTTTTTTTTTTTAAGCTGAGTGAGGCTGAAGTGTTCACCCAAGACAAGCCAGAGAGGCAGGTGCAATCCATGGTGCGTTTTTAATTAGATCCCAGCCACTGAGCTGCCCATACTTCAAGGACACAGCAGGCAGGAAACTGATCTGGGCTGTGTCTCCCAAGGGCTGACGTCTCCATTTAGGGAGCGCTCCTGAAGCTAATGGTCAGTGACAGCTCCATTTGAAAAACACAGAAACACTTAACAGGGAGGCTGTGATCTGCCAGCCCTGTAAGCTGCTGATTAGCAGGGAAATCACGCTCCCTCTGTATCGCACCCCCTTGGTTAATCCCTGTTCTTGTGTCTCCTCTGTGCTATCTCACTTAAAGATTTCATTGTTCTCTGAGGCAGGAGGGAGTGGGGAGAGGGAGGGGGAGGTTGTGGAGCTGCCAGAAGCTGTTTCACTGTCTCCCATCACAGCCTCTGGGGAGGCCCAGGCGAAGAAACAGCCTTCTGGTGTGGATGGGAAATTGATGGTTTTTAAAGAAAAATGGTCCCTGAAGATGCTCTGTGTCTCAGCAAATGTGCTTCCTAGACTGGCTGGCTTGGGTTCCAACACCCAGGCCAAAGAAAAACACGCACGGGTCTGCCTTATAGTCACACCAGGATGCCATACCAGCAGTCCCTGCCACCATCACCTCTTTGTTGTCTGCTCTGCCTCCCCTTTCTACAGTCCTAAGCCACCATTCCTCTCCTGTGGATGACTGCGGCAGTCTCTCCCCGATGCCACGGCCACCAATCTAGCTCCCCAAACCTCTGCAATCCCCACACTGCAGCTGAGGGGACTCCTTGACGTGTCCTCTGGAATTTTGAACTTATCAAAAAGGAAAGCAAATACTAAATTTCCCCCCTCAAATAGGATCTCCTCCTCGTGTTCCTCTCTTACTAAATAGCTCAGGCCAAAAATGCCAGGGTCACCAACAATGCCTCTCTTCCTCACATACCCCACACCCAATCCATCAGCAAATCTTGTCAACTCTGAATTCAGAATATACCCCACATCCGAATGCATCTTTCCATCCCTCCACCAATCACCTTCCTTCAAGCCCCCATCATTCTTAACTGGATTATCATAACCACCTCCTCACTGGTTGTACTGTTTCCACTATTGTCCCCCGCTCATTTAATCTATCCTTGTACACCACACCAGTGATCCTGTTTAAATGTAAATCAGGGCCAGTCTTGGTGGCTGACACCTGGAATTCCAGAACTTTGGGAGGCTGAGGTGGGAGGATCACTTGAGGATAGGAGTTCGAGACCAGCCTGGGCAACATAGCAAGACCCCACACACACACCCTGTGTCTACAAAAAAAAAAAAATTAGTCCTGCGTGGTGGTGCACACCTGTAGTCCTAGCTACTCATGAGGCTAAAGTGGGAGGATTGCTTGAGCCCAGGAGTTTGAGGCTGCAGTGAGCTGTGATCATGCCTCTGACTCAAGCATGGGCAACAGAGCAAGACCATGTCTCTAAAACAATGAAATATTATAAAAACAAAACATACGTCATCATATCATTCAGGGCTCAACATTCTCCAGCAGTTTCTCATCTAGCTGAGATGAAAATCCACTGTCCTTACATGGCCATCAAGGACCCTGCTCTGGCTCGTGGCCCGCTGTGTGGCCCCTTGGTCACTCTGCTCTGGCCATACCATACTGACCTCATTGCTGCTTGGTGACTGTGCCAGGTGAGCTCTGTCTTGGGGCCTTTGCACTTGCTGCTCCCTCTGCCTAGCATGCCTTTCCTCCCGACATCCAAAGGGCACCCTCTCTCACTTCACTGAGGTCTTGCTCAAAGGCCATTTCCTCCAAGCTGAAAATGGCATCACTCTCACTCCATCCCCTGGACTTTCTTCTTCTTTTTTTTTTTTTTGAGACAGAGTCTCATTCTGTCGCCCAGGCTGGAGTGCAGTGGCTTGATCTCCGCTCACTGCAACCTCTGCCTCCTGGGCTCAAGTGATCCCCCCACCACAGTCCTCCTGAGTAGCTGGGACCACAGGTGTGCACCACCACACCCAGCTAATATTTGTATTTTTGGTAGAGACGGGGTTTCACCATGTTGCCCAGGCTGGTCATGAATTCCTGAGCTCAAGTGATCCACCATCCTCGGCCTCTCAAAGTGCTGGGATTATAGGCGTGAGCTACCCTGCCCGGCCTTGGCTTTATTTTTCTTCACATCACTTATCTCCCTCTGGCACTAAAACATATATTCACATTTACAGTTACAGTCTCGTTTGTTGCTTCTCTTCCCCAGTAAAATGTAAGTTCCATGAAGCATGGATTTTGTATCATTTTCTACTAGCACAGAGCCTGGCATGTAGTGGGTGCTCAGTAAATCCGTCTTGAATGAGAAAATGAATAAACAAATGAATGAATCTGGACAACAATTCTAACCACAGTGAGTTTACCGAGGGGTCATCCTTCTGTGGGAGCTTCCCTCCACTGGCCAGCAGAAAAGACCCCAGGTCTTCATACTATGTCAGAGAGTTCTCATTTTCTGAGACCTGAAGCCAAGATAACAAAAACAGCAGAAACAATTTAGCTTGGAATGACAAATAGGTTTCCTTAAGTCTGACAAGAGTCTTTTAAAAATTCAAGACTGTTTCCTTAGTATTTAAAACTTAAACACCATGCAAATGCCCTATTATAGGAAACATACGCTGTCTGTCTGTAGGGATTTGTAGTAGAAAATGGGAACTAAATAATACTTGGAGCCATGATGCGTTGATCACATACTCAGTACCTGTTACTTGCATTCTCTCATTTTATCCTCATATCACAACCCCAGTGTGATAGGAATTAAAATTGCTCCCATTTTACAAAAGAGGAAACTGAAACTTTAAGGAACTTGCCCAGAGTTGCACAGATAGTGGGTAGCATAATGCCAGGGTTTGAATTCAGTCTACAGACTCACTTTTTTTTTTTTTTTTTTGCGATGGAGTTTCCCTTTTGTTGCCCAGGCTGGAGTGCAATGGTGCCATCTCAGCTCACTGTAACCTCTGCCTCCTGGGTTTAAGTGATTCTCCTGCCTCAGCCTCCCGAGTAGCTGGGATTACAGGCACCTGACACCACGCCTGGCTAATTTTTTGTATTTTTAGTAGAGATGGGATTTCACCATGTTGGCCAGGCTGGTCTCGAACTCTTGATCTCAGGTGATCCACCCGCCTCGGCTTCCCAAAGTTCAGGGATTACAGGCATGAGCCACCGCGCCCGGCCCCAGACTCACTTTTACTCAGATAAGAAGTGAGCAGGAGGCAGAGGCTCTTGGAGACCTAAGTCCCTTGCATGCACAGCAAATACTTCTGCTTCCCTCAACAAAAAGGCTTTGAAGAAGAGCGTGCACCTCTTGACTTTCTCAATGTACCTTCACTCCTCCAGCAACTGAAGTTCAGTGGCAGCCCTCCATTTCTCATCAGTATCACCCCAGTTGCCAATTGCAATGATCCTTTTTCGGCAACTCTCCTATTTGACCTCTGAAAGATATTTTAGTTATACCAATGCCCTTCACCTGGGGTTTCTCCCAGTCCTTAGCTTGGCTGATACTGTTCTCTCCTGGTTCTCCTCCTGCTGTCCTAAGACACTTTAAGGAGCATTTTTATCATGGGCAAATGGAAATAAAACACCTATTTCACAGAGTTTTTACATGAATGAAAAAGGTCATATATTCAAAAACACTTGGCAAATGTCTGTTTCATTGAAAGTGCTCACTGGTTTTTATTACTCTTGTTATCTCTTTCCACTCCCCATATTCTGTGCTTTAAAAAAAAAAAAAAAAAAAAGGTTTTTCAAGACCTCTCTCCTCCTGTGCTTTTTTTTCCTTTTTTTTTTTTTTTTTTTTTTTTTTCCTTTTTGGAGTCAAGGTCTCAATCACTGCCCAGGCTGGAGTGCAGTGGTACAATCCCTGCTCACTGCAACCTCTACCTCGCTGGCTCAAGCAATTCTCTCACCTCAGTTTCCTGAGTAGCTGGGACTACAGGCATGCACCACCATGCCCAGCTAATTTTTTAAAGACAGGGTTTTGCCATGTTGGTCAGGCTGGTCTCAAACTCATGACCTCAGGTGATCTGCCCACCTCGGCCTCCCAAAGTGCTGGGATTACAGGTGTGAACCACCACGCCTGGCCCAGAACCTGTGCTTCTGACTCCCTCTGGTCATCACCAGGACTCTCATTGGCCTCTCAAAGTCGTTATCCAAAATGGAATTAATCATCTTTCTCAGTTTTCACACTTTCTCTGTCTCAGTTCATACAACCACAGTCTCTGTCATTCAAACCAGAGACTTCATCATCCCCATCCTTGTCTTCCCGCTGGCCCCTTCCCCACTTCATTAGTTAGTCAGCCACCAGGCTGCCACCGTACTTGTATATTTATTTATTTATTTATTTATTTATTTATTTATTTATTTATTTTGAGAGAGAGTCTCGCTCTGTCACCCAGGCTGGAGTGCAGTGGCGCGATCTCAGCCGACTGCAACCTCCGCCTCCCGGGTTCAAGCTATTCTCCTGCTTCAGCCTCCTGAGTAGCTGGGACTACAGGTGCCCATCACCACGCCTGGCTAATTTTTATATTTTTAGTAGAGACGGGGTTTCATCATGTTGGCTAGGATGGTCTCGATCTCCTGACTTTGTGATCCACCCGCCTCCTCCTCCCAAAGTGCTGGGATTACAGGCGTGAGCCACTGCGCCCAGTCACTGTACTTGTAAAAATGGAGCCAGGAACTTGGGCTCTGATGTCAGATGGACCTGGTTCATCTTGCTCTGCTATTGGTTTGCTGAGATTATGAACAAATTACATAGTCTCCGTGGTCTCAGTTCCGTCATCTATAAAATGGAGATCATAATAATGCCCACTTCATAGGGCCATTGGGAAGATTAAATAAGGTAATGCAAGTAAAGAACTTTCCAGTAAACAGCATTTTGCACTGGTATATAGCAAATGCATAATAAATATCAGCAGTCATAATTGTTATTACTCCTACTACTATTATACTATTAGGTTGTGGTTACCTCGTAGAGATACTGTGTTGAAAACACATAGAGCTTTTGTGCAAATGGGTTTTGCTGGCAAAGAACAAGGAACCCCAAATTAGCGGTTTGCCCCTTCTCATTAGGTGGGAATTAGCATGTACAGGTGTGAGCACCCATGCATGCATGCACACATTTGCAGACATGTACATACACATATGTGTTATAACTCTGCCTCAGATGGGGGCCTTTTTAATATAGAAACACCAGCAGGATGGGTGAGAAATGGCAATGGTTTTCTCTCTAGAACCTGATTGCTTCACCAAACAATGGTTTGTATTTCCTCCCACATCCCTCCTTCCTAATTGAAGAGGGAATGGCTGAATTTACCTCCTGGCACCTTGCATTTGATGTTCAGTGACTGATCCAGCTAACCAGGGGCCTCGTGGTTGCCCAGGCGTTGCAAGCATCAAACCCAGATCTTCACTGGGATCTTCCTCCAGTGGCTGGAGTTTATAAATTGTATTCTGTTGAGTTGGAAAACATCCACTGCTCCTGATTGAGAGCTGGAGGACAGCACTTTGAGGGGTCTGCTGCTATAAATACTGGGATCTCCCAGGTGATGTATAAATGGGTCACTACTTTGCATCTTGCACCACCTGAAACATCTCAGGTGCCTTAATCCCATGTTTTCCAACAGATGAGCTTGGCTGACTTCTCGGGGTGGGTTGGGGGGACATGCCACATGCCTCTGGCCCCACCATCTCATGCCTTTGCCATCCATCTCCTGACTGGCCAGAAGGACACCAGGAGCAGCTCATGAGCTACAAAAACTGAAGGTCGGGAACCCAAGGTCGTGCACCAAAGGTCATGAGAATTTTGCATTTTATGTTGCTCTCATTTCTGATCATTTGAAACAACCTCTCTGAGTTTCTGAAAGGGAAGGGAATGGAGAAAAGCACACCCAATTATGCTAGGTTCTGTTTTATTTTGGCTTTTGTTTTTGTTTTTTTTCCCACCCACCACAAGTTCTTTTCTTCCCCTCTCATAGTGTGGGCGAAATGCTGAAAACTTCGACCGATTTTTCACCCGCCATCCACCAGTCCTAACACCTCCCGACCAGGAAGTCATCAGGAATATTGACCAATCAGAATTCGAAGGATTTTCCTTTGTTAACTCTGAATTTTTAAAACCCGAAGTCAAGAGCTAAGTAGATGTGTAGATCTCCGTCCTTCATTTCTGTCATTCAAGCTCAACGGCTATTGTGGTGACATTTTTATGTTTTTCATTGCCAAGTTGCATCCATGTTTGATTTTCTGATGAGACTAGAGTGACAGTGTTTCAGAACCCAAATGTCCTCAGGTAGTTTGGAGCATCTCTATGAGATGGGATTATGCAGATGGCCTATGGAAAATGCAGCTGCATAATTAACACATTATCAAAGTCCTCTTACAATTTATTTTCCGCAGCATGTCAGCTAAGTAGACCCAATGGGGAGAGAAAATGCCTGCTTTCTTTCCCTCTTTTTCTGCACTGCCATATTCACCCCCAACCATCCAATCTGTGGATAATTGGATGTTAGCGGTACTCTTCCACTTCCGGGCCTGGAGCTTGGCTTGTATCCAAGTGTATGGTTGCTTTGCCTAAGAGGAATCCCTCTATTTCACCTGTTCTGGAGGCACCAGACCTTGAAAAGAACATGCTCAAAATAAAATGTTATCTGTTATTTTTGTAAACTCAAAGTTAAGATGATCAAAGTTCTAAAATTCCAAGAATGTGC
This sequence comes from Homo sapiens, assembly GCF_000001405.40. Lineage (NCBI taxonomy): Eukaryota > Metazoa > Chordata > Mammalia > Primates > Hominidae > Homo > Homo sapiens. The sequence continues at coordinate 24,215,387 of NC_000016.10, forward strand.
TTTTAGACGGTCTCAATCTAAAAGCACTTCAAGGGGTCAAAGGGCAACCAGCTTGGGTGCTACCTCAGTGTTGTAGTTTCTGATACTTTATGTCTTTGCTCACCCTCATCCCCAAACTACTTGAAAAGGGCATTTGGCACCACTCTCTGAAACAACACAGTCACTCTAGCAAGGCCCCCAAAGGGCCCTGGTTTTACATTACATTTCAAACTTTATTTGCTTTGGGGTTTTGTTTCTGTTGTTGTTCAAATGCAAAAAAAAGAAAAAAAAAGAAAAAAAAAGGTGACTCACATTGTTACACATGCTTTAAAATATGTATTCAAATGTTATTAACCACAATGACGACCTGCTTTGATTTAACCAAGAAGACGGCTGCGGAGCCTAGCAGACTCAGGCCTGTGGGAATGGGATTTGTTACAAATCTAGGTTTGTTACTGGCTTCAGAAAGCTAATTAAGTGCTCTGAAAAAGACACCGTTTCTTGAAACAAAGATGGTTGTATTCCTCACTTTGATGTTGTTTTGCAAGATGTTTGTGGAAATGTTCATTTGTATCTGGATCTCTGTTATGTGCCATTTTTCTTCTAGCATCGAGATACAATAAAAAAAAAAAAAAAGAAAAGAAGAAGAAATACTATTTCAAGGAAAACTGCTCTTTTTGAGAAACGTGGACCTAAACTACAAAGTGGGAACTGAGGAGGGAACTCAGGAGAAAGGAACTAACTGCGGAGCTTTAATCTTGGCCCCAGTGTTCAGCCACTCGGAGGGGCGGGGGCTGTGGCCCATTCAGGGGCTGCTGGTGGGCTGTAGTGGGGTGGGATGACCTGGCCAGAGCCAACGAGGATACTGGAGCCCAAAGTCAAGTTTAGAGACCAGCTGGGAACGTGAATGGGGCTCTTGATTTTCTTATCAAAATCACCACTCCTCCCAGCTTGGACTAAATATTCTTTCTAGCAAGCAGCTTTGTGAGCTCCCTGAAGCCCAAGGAAACCCTTCGGTGGGAGAAATTTCATTTCTGTCTGAGAGGATTAAGGCAGCAGGTGACTCCCCCTCCTCGCCTGCCGTGTCCTGCTATTCTCAGGCAGCTCTAAGGAGAATTCTTATCACAGTTCAAGTGATTTCCAGAAGTTCCAGGGCTTCTGAGAGACCATCAAGGGAACTTTAACAACTTGACAAATGTCCTTGAAGTAAGATGCCTCATCTTTAGGGAAAAATGGGGTTTGGATTTCTGCTTAGGCAAAGTCTCCTGCAGTTCATCCTTCTCTGTCCTCTTCTTGCTTCAGGCTTGGGGACCGTCCCTGCTGTCCCCACTGTGGTGGCAATCAGGACCTAAGGTGAAGCAAACTTGAAGTTCTATCTGACAAGTTTAGGCAGTAAGAGAAGGAGGGAAATCGGAGCAAAGCTCCCTCACTTTATTGTTGAGAAACTGGCATCTGGAAAGAGGAAGGAATTTGCCCAAAGTCAGTCAGCTGGGATAAAAACCTGGGTGTCCTGTCCAGAAAGTGCAGGGTGCTTTCTGCTCTGTAGCAAGGCAGCAGACATCTCTGAGCCAGGCCCACCAACAGGCCCTTATCTGGTGGTTGGATCATGATCCCATTTTGCTTGGACATGCTCTCAGGAAGATAAAAACCATGGAGAAACACTAGGCCATTGACAAATGATCTGAGACAACTTTAGAAAACAATGTAGGATGAATGGAAAGAGAAAGAAAGGAAAGAAAGAAGAAAAAGAAAGAAGGAAAGAAAGAAAGAGAAAGGAAGGAAGGAAAGAAGGAAGGAAAAGAAGGAAGGAAGGAAGGAATATAGTGTTATAAATACTGCACTCAACATTTTCCAAATTCTTGCCATTATTTTTCAAAAGTTTAATAGTTTGCAGAAATAGATACTCAAGCCAAAGTCTGTTTTAGAGAAACTTTCCATGGAAAGTCAGAATTTCTACCACTTCCTTTTCTATCCACATTTCCAGTGCAGAAGAAACTGAGAAACAGAGCTTTTTGAAGAGAGGACAGGGCCATAGCAACAAGGACCTTCTTGGGGGATTAATGGGAGGTCAGTAGAATTAATAACCCTCCTTGGATGAGTGCTACTGTTTTCACATGGCTTCAGATGCTATCAACCTCAAAGAAATGATCTCAACAGAGAAGCTTATTCTCTCCCAACTTCTACGGTAAAATCCAGGAGTATTTTCTCTGGGGATCTGCCCACAGGACAAAGTCCATAAAAGCAAGTCCTGTCTGGACCATGTGGTTATCTGAAGCATTAGCCATCACCAGCACAACAAACGGGGCAGGGCTTTCCAAGGTGGGGCTGGTCAGAAGGGAATCTTTGATAAGAGGCCCACAGGCAGGGAAAGCGAAATAGGGTTGATGAGACCAGGGGAGACCTAAAAAAAAGGCAGCTTTGTGTCTTCTAGCTCCAAATATACCTGCCTTTTAGCTCACACACTGTCCTGGAGTTCTCAGACCTTTAGGGGCCCTAACACAGTTCAGTTCATACAGGGGTTCAAAAGGGACAGTGGCCCATTTGGGAGACCTTTAGGATCAATGGGAATCAATTCCATTGTTTTGCCTCAGAGTAAAGTTTCTGGCTCGGGGACAATTATAAGTTGCAAAAAGGATAGAGGCATATCCCAAGTCTTCCTTCATTCCACAAATAATTACAAACAACCTACTGTGTGCCAGGCACTATTCTTAGCACTGGAAATACACTAGTGAAGAAGCAGATGAGGACCCTGTTTATTGTTTCTCTCCAAGAAATTCTCCAAGAATATTGTTTCTTGGAGAGAAATAATAAATAAACAAGACAATTTCTGAAAGCAATAAGTGCAATCAAGATAATTAAAGGATGCTAAAGTGTGACTTGTGGGGATTGGGAGAGAGATGCACAGACAATATTAAAGAGGAGGCATTCGAGCTTTGTTGTGAACACCGGAAGTAACATGCCGAGCGCCTGGGGGATGGAAACTCCTATAGCACCCCACAGGCTAACAGCAAGCAGGACAAGACAAAAAGGGCAGGTGGGACATGGTAGAGATGGACCCTACCCAGGAAACAGCTCCATCAGCATCTTAGCCTGCCCCACTCTAGCCACACATACCCACGTGTGCTCCTGAGTTCAGTGTGCCCACCTCACTCCCACACCCTCACATAGACTTGGCAAGAGTAAGGAGGGAACTCCATAGAGACATTTTACCTATCTCAGGGGAGCAGCCACAAAGAAGCAAGTCTTGTAAAAGGTCTTTTGCAAAGGAGAGTGAACCCAGCAATGAGAGATCCTTAACAGCTAGTGCCCATTAGGGGGCTAAACCTAAAGCCTGGGTGGTGATGGCTCAAACGCTAATGAGTCAGTGAATCCTTACCGACCCCCTGGCCTTTATAATCTGAGGCAACTTTGGCTGCAGCCCGGGAATGTGCAGGGCACTAGGGAATACAAGGCCTTCTTCCCTGGTTGTCTTGTAATAAAACAGCCATGGGGTTGTCCCTCCAGTCCGAGAGACTGTGATGAGGCCTACATAGCAGCGATGTGGTCAGGTAAAAATCAGGAACCCACTGAAATCTTGGGCAAGCCACCCTGCCTGCTTGTGCCTCGGTTCTCTCATATGTCATATATAGGAGGTGAGGACTCCAGCTCCACCTGCCCCAGGTGGGTGTGGTGATGATGAGGAAAGACAAGAGGCTTGCAAGGACCCTGAAGAGGTCGGAGCATCATACAGATTCCTTTATTAGCCCACATTCTGATGTTCCCTGGTGAGACTTGCCCCAAGCAATTGCTAGTAAATGGGGGTTAATTTCTTCTCCACCTCCCTACTGAACAAAAAAAGAAATGCCAGACTTACTAGGAGAATCGAGTTGCTTTGAGTTTCTTTTGTTTTGTTTTGTTTTGTTTTGTTTTAAGGCTCCCCTTACACACCCTCCTTTAAGCTTTGGGTTTTCTCTCTTATAGTTTGTTGACACATGCTAAAAATGTCTTTGGAGAGAACTTCTGCCTGATAAACACCCAATTCTAGACTGTGGGTGGATTTTCGAGCTGACGGTGGTCAATTCCTTTCATTAAGCAGTGATCTGATTTCTCCACATGGCCATTCTGCCTTCTTGGGGGCAGAGTAGATGGGCAGCAGTTCACCTTTTCAGAGAAAGAGGTCTTCTAGCCACCTGGGCTGCTACTGAATGGTTTTCTCCAGGACGCTCTACCTAATGATTATTTCTATAACATTAAGCATGGTAATAAGTAGCTTCCAATTCAATTCATCCTAAAGCCAAAGAAAATACAGCAACACACACACACACACACACACACACACACACACACACACACACACACCACTTTATGGCAATTCTTAACTGACATTCAATGACTTACTTCTTTTCTTAGAAAATTTCCACCACATTTCTATCCCCAAGCCAACATACAATGTGAAATGAAAGCCAGTGCGTGGAGTGCAGCTGCTAAAAATTTTCAGCACAGGGCTCTTTCTGACTCTGCTCATGAGATGGTATCAGCCACCCAATGACTGGCGTATCTTGGTCCTGTGTCTTTCTTCTTACGCTGTGTTAATGTGTTTACTTTCCATTTGGCAGAGAGACAAGAGAGACACCTCCAACTTCGACAAAGAGTTCACCAGACAGCCTGTGGAACTGACCCCCACTGATAAACTCTTCATCATGAACTTGGACCAAAATGAATTTGCTGGCTTCTCTTATACTAACCCAGAGTTTGTCATTAATGTGTAGGTGAATGCAAACTCCATCGTTGAGCCTGGGGTGTAAGACTTCAAGCCAAGCGTATGTATCAATTCTAGTCTTCCAGGATTCACGGTGCACATGCTGGCATTCAACATGTGGAAAGCTTGTCTTAGAGGGCTTTTCTTTGTATGTGTAGCTTGCTAGTTTGTTTTCTACATTTGAAAATGTTTAGTTTAGAATAAGCGCATTATCCAATTATAGAGGTACAATTTTCCAAACTTCCAGAAACTCATCAAATGAACAGACAATGTCAAAACTACTGTGTCTGATACCAAAATGCTTCAGTATTTGTAATTTTTCAAGTCAGAAGCTGATGTTCCTGGTAAAAGTTTTTACAGTTATTCTATAATATCTTCTTTGAATGCTAAGCATGAGCGATATTTTTAAAAATTGTGAGTAAGCTTTGCAGTTACTGTGAACTATTGTCTCTTGGAGGAAGTTTTTTGTTTAAGAATTGATATGATTAAACTGAATTAATATATGCAAGCTCTTGTTTATATGTCTTTTCTTAAATAGACTATGTTACAGAGGTTACAGACTGAAGATCCAGTTTGTAGCCATTAGATAAGCTTAATTTTACTCACATGGAATTTTACTTAATCAAAACCATTGTGAACATGACAAAATAAGATACTTTATATAAATTCCTGGACTTTTAGATTCCCTTGAAAAAAGAAACAAAAGACTAGCAGCTCTGAGCCTGTATTTCCACATGGAAATAATTCTACAGAACTGAGAAATGCTTCTCCTTTAAAAGCAGTGTATGTTCTCATTTTGCCACAGTCTCCACCACCCCCTATTGTCTTATACCCTCCATCCACTTCCCTGGCTGCTATAGCCACTTGAGGTTGAAACCTCTGTCATTCGTGAGTCACAGGTTTGAGGACCTTAATATTTTCTTGTGCCCCTAATCAGGGTATGTGTGCAGCCACCCACTCAATGTGATTCGTGTTTATTAAGCTATGTATCAAGCACAAGATATGTAAGATTTTATTCCAGCCATGACAAAAGTCAGGAAAGAGGCTGGTGTCAGTGCAGAGAGAATCCTTTGTTTGTTGTCCATGAGGATGTTGCTATTTGTAAAACGACTTACCTTTGACTTATATTCTCCTAATTTAGCTAAGCACCTGCCAAAAAAAGAGGGGGGGGAGTATAAGCCATTTTTTTTTTCAACCGCTTGTCCAGGGAGGCCCAAGAGAAGAGGGAGAAATAAGGGAGACTGCTTCTAAACCCTGCTGGCATGATAAGGACCCGCACTCTCTCAGAGCAGAGTGGCACAGTACTGAGTCACTGGGTGTCAATCTAATACCTTCTTCTCTGAATGAAGTCATGCTTCTATTTTCTTTTCAAAAGATATAGTAATCCAATCTGTAGCACATGCCTTTGTAGCTGCTAAGGCTAGTGGGTAGCAGAAAAGAGCAAATGTGTTCACACTATGTACATTATGACTCTCTACAGAGTGTATTCATCTCTTCCCTTCTTGAAAGAGCCTCAGTAAATGGAGCATTGGAAAGATACAGTGAATCCATTGATCTTACCTAGTGCACTAATCTTTGCAGAATTTTAGAAAGTCTGCCAGTTAAAGTTGGCTGAAGCCCATTTAAACTTCAGGAAGAAACAGTGTTCTAGGCATCACATTTAGAAAACAAAAATACCTGGGATTCTACAGATGTTTGAACATGCATCCCATTTAAGACAGTATTATATAGAAGAGGTTACCATTGCTGCCTCTTATTCCTCCTCATTCCATGCCAGCTTCTCAAACTTTCCCCCTCTGCCAGATATAAACCCATCTTTCATTTAATAAATATTGAGCCCCGACTCTGAGCCAAGCACAGTTCTGGATACTGGTGTTATAGAGACCAATAAGATAGTTCAGGACTCCCCACTTGTAGGGACAACATGGCTGCAGAAATCCTGGCCTCTAATCCTTCTAGGATCATGTCCAGTGAGAAAGAGTGTGAGCTCCTATAAAAGTATTGTAGTTTATTACAGTTGACTCAGCCTGGTCACATGTACATTCTTGAGCCAAGCACTGTGGGTGGAGAGGGGAGACAGGTGAGGTGCTTTAATTGGCCAAACCTGAGTTGTATTAGCTAGTTATTACTGTGTAACAAGTTACCCCAAAACTTTAAAGCAATAAACATTTATGACCTCTCAATGTCTGTGGATCAGGAATCTGGGTATGGCTGAGGTGGTATAAAGTCTGTCATGAGGATGTGGCCAAGCTATTGCCCAGGGTTGCAGTCACATGTGAAGGTTCCACTGGGGGAAGATGGGATTCACTTCCAAGCTTACTCACATGGTTGTTGGCAACCCCAATTCCTCACTTCATAGGTCCCTCCATAGGGCTGCCTCTGGACATGGCAGCTGGCTTCTCCTAGGGCACATGATTCAAGTGAGAGTGCCCAGTTTAGAAACCACAGTCTTTTTGCAATCTAATCTCAGAATTGACATCCTATCATGTTTCTGTTTTCTGTTCCTTACTAGTAAGTCCAGCCCATGCTTAAGGGCAAGGGATTATGCAAGGTGAGACTACTGGAAAGTGGAGGTCTTTAAGGACCATCTTACAGAATGTCTATCACATATAACATGAGCTGCACCTCTGCAGCTAGGGATAGAGTGCCACCCAAAACACAGGAACTGGGAATAGGTGAAGAACAGCTCTCTGAATGAAAATTGAAAGTTGTTCTTGGAACAAAGAGGATGTATGCCCAGGAAGGAAACCACAGTGGTAGATCCTCTGTAGATGGGAATTTGGGGCTACTCCAAAGATTCTTGAAGCTAATGATATATGAGAGATGGGTCAACACTGATAAACAATTAAAGGAGTGGTTCACCTGGCATTGCATTGGTCCACAGTAGTCTCTATTGTTTCATAGCCAAGCTCACACCCAAGGCAAATACCTGAATTGGACCTTCTGATGAGTTATAGTTCTTTGCCTTCAAGATCTCAAAACCCACCAAGGAGATGAGTTGGAGGAAACATACACATGGTGTCAGTCTACGTCAATTATCGGGCACTGAGTAACAAACCACATCACAACCTAATGGCTTAATAAAAACTACCACTTATTTAGCTCACGATACTGGTTTTTCTGGCCTGGCCTCCCCAGTTTGTCTCTGATGGACTTGCTTGTGTATCTTCAGTCAGCTGGAAGGTTATCTGATGACTGGAGCATCGAAGAAATAAAACAGATGGAAATAAATTGCTGGGAATAGACTGGACTTTCCCACAGTCAGATTCTTCAATCTCAACATATAAAGGCATGGTACCGAAGTTTAGGCTTGTCAATTGGATGACCACAGCCAACTTAAGAACTTCAAACCCTTGAGGACAAATTTCTCAAATCCTCAGAGCTTATTCCTGCCATGTTCTTTCTCTAACCTCACATACAAGCTCAGATGCTGGTGAAATCAAGAAGAAATGCAAAGCAAGATAAATAGGAACTAAATCTGGGATACCAATCCAGTTCCACTTGTCATGTCCTTTGCAAGGACATAGATGGAGCTGGAGGCCATTATCCTCAGCAGACTAACACAGGAACAGAAATACCACACATTCTCACTTATAAGTGGGAGCTAAATGATGAGAACACATGGACACATAGAGTGGAACAACACACACTGGAGCCTATCAGGTGGTGGAGGATGGGAAGAGGGAGAGGGTCAAGCAAAATAACTAATGAGTACTAGGCTTAATACCTGGGTGACTAAATAATCTGTACAACAAATCCCCATGTCACCAGTTTACCTATATAACAAACCTGCAGATGTACCCCCTAACCTAAAGTAAAAGTTAAAGAAGCAAAATGAATAAATGCCCTAAAGCCCTGTACCTCAGGTCCTTTATCTTTGCTTGTTTTGATGTGGGACTGCATTGACCTACACAGAATTCTGCTGCTCATTACTTCCTAGACAAGCAATGTTGGCTCCAAAATGGAATCCCAATTTCCAAACACAACAAAGTTTTAGCTCTAGGGGACTTGCCCAATAAGTGAACCACACTCCATCAACTATCGACTTTTTACCATAAATGCTAGTCTCCCTGGCATATGGCCTGCCAAAATCAGGGCAGATGTCAGGGTGAGATGAAAATGGTATTTGGACAAGAGATGCAAGAACATTTAGTTATGTTGTCAACAAGTGACTCCTCCTCACAAGATCCAAGAGAGAAATAAATGCATATAGGACAATGCCTAGAAAATGAAAAATTTATTATGATTTGAAGATTTGACTGCATATTCCAATATCCTAATCCTAAAGTGGTTGGACTCCATAGAGAACTCCTAGATATCATGGGGGTTGTATTAGTTATCTGTTAATAAATTACCCCCAAAATTAGCAGCTTAAAACAATATACATTTATTATCTGTGCTTTCTGTGAGTCAGGAGTCTGGGTACAGCTTAGCTGGGTCTTCAGAGTTTCACGTAAGCTAAAGTTAAGGTGTTGGCTGGGGCTGTGGTCTTATCTGAAGTTTCAGCTAGGGAAGAATCTACATCTAAACTCATTTACATGGCCATTGCCAGGATTCAGTTCCTTGTGAGCTGTCGGACTGAGGTCTTCAGTTTCTCACTGGCTCTTGGCAGGAGGTTGCCCTCAGTTTGTTACCATGTGGGTCTTGCCAAAGTGGAAGCTTGCTTCATCAAATTATACACACTAAGAAGGCAATATAGTGAGAATACCAGTAGTTTGGAAGACCCATTCTTCAGTAACCTAATCATAGAAGTGACATTATATCCTTTTTGCTGTATTTTATTAATTACAAGCAAGTCATTAGGCCCAGTCCACACTCAAGGGGAAGGAATTACACAAGGATATTATGGTATGAAATATATATGTATGTGTGTGTGTGTGTGTGTGTGTGTGTGTGTGTGTGTTTTCATCTACAGTTCCTGGCTCATACCTCCCATAACCCTTGTTATAGTTTTGTTATAATGTTGGGTGCTTTAGACCTCAGGAAATAGAAGCTCTCTGACCTTCTTCTGCCCTCCTTCAGGCAGGACTCTAATCTTCCCTCAGCTTTCTGATTGTGGGTCATAAGACCCTCATTCCAGAGATGGTCCCCTGTTCCCATACTCAGGGGGAAGGAATGCTGACATAATGAAGCTTCCATAAAAACACAAAAGGATAGGGTTGAGTGAGCTTTCAGATAGCTGACCACATGGAGGTTCCTGGAGAGTGGTGCTCCATATTCCTCCCAGTGGAGAGGGCATGGAAGCTCCACGCCCCTACCTGCATACCTCACCCTATGCAAGACATCGTCTTCTGTATCCTTTGTAATATCTTCTATAATAAACCAGTAAATGTAAATGTTTTCCAGAGTTTTGTGAGCCATTCTAGCAAATTAATCAATCTCAAAGAGGGGATTGTAGAAATCTCAACTAGAAGCTGGTTGATCAGAAGTTCCAGGGGCCTGGATTTGTGACTGGTATCTGGTGGGTGGGAAGGGGCAGTTTTGGGGACTGAGTCCTCACCCTGTGGGATCTAATGCTATTTCCAGGTAGATAGGGTAGGAATTGAATTGGAGGATACACAGCTGGCGTCCACTGCTTGTTGATGGGGAAAACCTCCCAGACATTTGGTTACGGAAGTCTTCTGTGTTGATTGTTGTGGTGTGGAGAGCAGAGGAAAATCACAGGCATAAATAGGCAAGATGGAGACTACTGGGAGCCGTGTCTGAAGCTGTCTACCACATAATACGGGCTGGAGTAAGGGAGGGAGGTGTCCTAGCACTGTTTCCAACAAACTTGCTCAATCTTGACCAGCCAGGTCAACCCTCCTCCCTAGAGGTGAAGTCGGGGTGGGGAGCAGGGACTGTGATGATCCCTTCTCTGAGAGTTTCTTAGCTGGTATGAATGATCAGACTGACACAATTAATCCAGATGAAAGAGATTCTTTCAAACATAATGATTTGGGCCTCTCATAAACAGAGAAGACATTAGTATTTCCTTAAACCCACACAACTTAAGGGCCCTTGCTCTCAAAATAAAGGAGTTTCCTTGACTCCCTAAGACATCAGCAGCACCAGATTCACATTTCTGCCCTAGTTAAGCAGCAGAAATCAAAGGGGGACTTTAGCTGATGAGCCCCTGAAGGTATTTGACCCCGAGGTCGTCCTCAGGAAATCCTACTAATTGTAAGTGGGCAAAGCCCAGCACAGGACTTTCAAGGGAAATAGATGAACAAAGAGGAAATACCAGAAAATTATGTTAAGAGGGAAGACTCTCTGAAAATTATGTTAAGGGGGAACAAGCAGAAATGACCTCCAAATCTCATCCCCTATCATCTCATGGCTCAAATCTGGATTGGGGGTGATTTGCTTATTGTTAATATGCCACAGGGGCTGAACCCATGGCAGGGACCCCATGGCTTTGGAGAGAAATCATTGGACATGGAAGGTCTATTTCATTCATTCATTCTACAAATCTCTCTTTAGAATGAATGACTGTTCCAGATGGGAACAAAGCACGGGCCCTTTTCTCATGCAGCTGATGTTTAGGAGGGATGCATATTAAATGCATATTAAATATGGTGAATAACATGATTGGAGACAGCAGGGTTTTGACCTGCTGGGTTGTCAATAAATAGCTGGGTTGTCGACTATTTAACTAAGGCGCCAAGGAGGGTGGCCTTCTTGACAAGGTGATATTTTGAGCTCAAAGATGAGAATCCAGAGCAAAGCATTCCAGACTGAAGGAATGTCAAGAGCCAGAACCTGAGGGCTGGCCTGTCAAGGAGCAGAAAGTAGAACCATGTGGCTAAAGACTGGTAAACATTGGACCAAGTGGTAGAAGATTCCTTCCAAAGAGGAAGTCAGCAGTCTGATCACGTAAGCATTTGTAGACCCTGCTGAGAAGCTTGACTTTGTTCTAAGTTCAATGAGAATCCCTTGAAGACTGTATTACTTTCCTGTTGTTGCTGTAACAAATTGTCACATGCTCCATAGCTTGAAACACCACAAATATATTATCTTATTGTTCTGGAGGTGAGAGGTCCAAAAGCAGCCTTGCTGGACTAAAATCAAGGCATTAGCAGAGCTGGTTCCTTCTGGAGGCTCCAGAGGAGAATTGGCTTCATTTCCTTTCCCACCTTCTAGAGGCTGCCTGCTTCCTTAGCTCATGGCCCCTGTTCATCTTCAAAGTGCATCTCTGCAACTTCTATGTCTGCTTTTCCATCTGTGACTTTTCTGCATCCCTTCTGATTACCTTGGGACCACTTAGATCATCCAGGATAATCTCCCCATCTCAGATTTTTAACACATCTGCAAAGTCCCCTTTGTCACGTAAGGAGCTTATTCACAGGTTTCAGCGATTAGGATGTGAATGTGTTGGGAGGGCCTTTATTCTGTCTCCCTACAGAAACTTTAAGCAAATAATGGCCATGATCTGATTTGTATTAGAGAATATAGTTTGTAGAGAAAAAGGAGGAGCAGGAAGATCATTGGAGGCCATTGTAATAGTGCAGCAAGGAGGCAGAGGTGCAGTTTACCTTGACCACTGCCATCCTTGTGGAGATGAGAGAGTAGAAACACACACACACACACACACACACACAGAGAGAGAGAGAGAGAGAGAGAGAGAGAGAGAGAGAGGCAGGTGACTGCCGCTGACAAATCCAGCCAATCTTGTTTTTACTGACCCCAAGCCCAGGGTTCTTTCAACCATCCCAGCTTTGTTTCTCTAGGGTCTGTGTGACATTTTTGAAGGGAAGAGACTTGGCCAGAAAGGGAGGGAAAGCAGGACAAGATTAGGGCATCTGTAGTGGTGAGTAAGGCCCAGAGTAGTAAGCTGAATAACGACCACCCAAAGATATCAAGTCCTAACCCTGGAATTTGGAAATTTTACCTTATTTTGGGGGTGGGGAGGAAGGTCTTTGCAAGAAGTAATTGAATGGAGGATCTTGAGATGAAGAGATGACCCTGGGTTAACAGGGTGGGCCTTAAATGTCATCACGAGTTTCCTTACAAGGCAGAGGCAGAGGAAGATAACACAGACACACGGAGGAGAAGGCAATGAGAAGATGAGGCAGAGGGAGATGCAGGCACTAGATGCTAAAGGATGCGACAGTCACCAGAAGCTGGAAGAAGCAAGGAATGCATTCTCCCGTAGACCCTCCAGACAGAGCACAGCTCTGCCAACACCTTGATTTCATACTTCTGGCCTTCTGGACTGTGGGAGAACACCTGTCACCATTTAAGGCTACTCAGTTTGTAGTAATTTGTTTCCACAGCCCCAGGAAACTGATACACCTGGTGTGGATCAGATCATAGCCTAGCGTGTGACCCAACTGCTGTGAAATTGACCAAGCTGGGATTTCAAAACCAAGTTCCCGAGTATTGCCATGCCAGCAGGCAAGTGCAGTCAGGGATGAACCCTCACTCCTGGTTGTCCCAGGAAAAGAGATGAGATGACCCTACCAAGGTTGCTCTGACAGCAAGAGGACCTTGATGCCTCTAAACCCCTTTCCCATTGGCACTGTCCCCACCAGCTGGAATAAAGAGCAAGGACCCTGTCTCTGTGGATACAGCCCTCCTGCGGGGCCCCCAAAGACAACGGATGCTTCGTATGGTGCAGGCCTGGGGACAGCTCGCCTCTCCCTCGCAATACACCCACCTGGGGTTGGCTCAAACTCCTTTTTGTCTGTTGCTGCAGAGAGTGGTGGAAAGCTACAGAGAATGGACAAAACTCACAGACCATCTGTTCATCTTCTGTGTTTTGTGAATTTATTTTCAAATGTTAAGCATTCGATAGCAGTCGTCAGGCATCATCTCAAAACTTACCATTTGGGGAAAGGCATTCTTTTAAAAATCTACAAGAATCACTCATAGACCAGTGAGAGTCAGGGTTTGGAATAGGGGGTGAGTCGTATTTTGAAACATCTTCAAATATTATCATATAATTTCATAACCGGAAAAGGAAAATAAGATGTCTTGTTTTTATAATACAGACTTCAGGAAGGAAAGCTTGACAAGATTTCACTAGAAGAGCTCTGTAGAAAATGGAGGGATTTCTTAAGAATGAATCAAGGCTCTTGATCAAGGGTGGGCGTGTGGGGGCTTATTGGAATATCCTGGCCATGGTAAGATTTTATAAATATTTTTCAGGAAGGGACACAGGTTCTCTCTCTCTCTCCATATATATATATATATATATATATATATATATATATATATATATATATATATACACACACACACACACACACACACACATATATATACACACACACATACATATATATCTATCTATCATCTATATATATATACATATATATAGAGAGAGAGAAAGAGCATAACACTTTCAGTATAGAGATGTGTCACTTTGATTCGATTCTAGCATGATCAGAAACTGAATAAAATGGATAGTTTTCAGTCATCTAGGAAGGGATGTGTCTACAGTTGTTAGGGATAAGCAGAATGTACCAACTCCTGAAGATGGGTTTTCTCTCTGTGTCCTGCCTCTCAGGGGCTGAGTTGGGGAGACACCAATGTAGGAAGAGACCCTCACTCTAAGTTCAATGACCTCCAACAGGAGCTTCTATTCTGGGTAGAACTATCCTTGTGCATCAGAGATGAGTCTGGGAGTGTTGAAGGCAATTGGGAAATTAGGCACCTAATTCCCTAAATCACGACCTTTGGCATCCACAACTAAGCCCTCTTGGCCAACACGACGAGAGCTGAATATGGACACCCTGGAGTGTGTTCCCCTTTTATTCATACAACTGCAGAAAACTTGACCCAGGTAGAAATAAGGGGCTACTCTAGAGTAGAGTGTAGGGGCGAGAGCCCAGAGTTGGGAATCAGAGTGTGCAACTCCCAGCTCTGCCACATGCCAGCTGCACAACCTTAGCCCTTCTATGTCCTCTCATCCTTAAAATGAGACAATAACAATACTTCTCCCTTAGGTTTGTTGTGGGGATGGATTGAGATAGTGCCTGAATCATAGCATGCTCTGTGTATGTGTTAGCCATTATTTTCATTATTTCAGGAGCCAGGCAGATAAGGCAAGTGCCTGAAACATTCCCAGGTGTAGAAAAATGGGAGTGTTGTAAACCAGGAGGCTCCTGACCTGGACAGTGTCTGTCCTCTCCACAGTGATCAATCACAGTGGTGTCAACTCCAAATGACAGCCTGAAAGAATGTGTGCCACGGTGCCATCTCTTCCCATTCCTCAGGAGAAGCTGGAAAGCCAGATTTTTATATGAAAGGTCCTGATTTTAAAATATGAGCCATTAGCCAGGCGTTTTGAGTTTTTCTTAAACAGGCATAAATAGGCGAGGTAGACTATTGGGAGCCATGTCTGAAGCTGTCTACCACATAACGTGCACACCTGTAATCCCAGGTAATCAGGAGGCTGAGGTGAAAAGACCGCTTGAGCCCAGGAGTTTGAGACCAGCCTGGGCAACATAGTAAGACCCTGTCTCTAAAGAAAAAATGAGGGCACTGATTCTAATTTTTTGAAACTTGAGGCTGTGCAAGTAAAATATGTCCACTGGATGTGTCTGTCAGATAGGCTATAAGCTTGAAACCTGTAATGTACAAGATCAAGAAACATATTTTTCAGCTCTTTTAAGAGAATTCTAAGGCTATTTGGAAGCATCCCGTTTGCAGGATATATTAGCTGGACATTATCACTTATAAGATAATAATTTCACACTTACAATGTGTCAAGACCTATATTCAGAACTTTGCCATAACAACTCAGTTAATCCTCATGACAATTTATGAAGTAGGTACTATGAGTTTTGCCATTTTACAGTTGAGGAAACTGAGGCTCAACGAGGTTAAGTAATTTGCTCATGATAAAATAGCAGATATTGGAACAAGACTTTGAATGCAAAAAAAATTATTGTGAATTAATTGTACACAAAAAGAATGTGGAATGTTGGCATGGCCAGAGTTTTCACCAAAATTCATAAGGCTGTGTACTGCTGAGTGGTGTTGGGATTAGCAGGACCACAACAGGACCCAAGCAATCAGAATCCAGCATAGCCTTACTGTGCACACAGAGTGGCTTGTGTCCAAGATAAATTAGTGCTTGGCCACTCAACATGTATGTGGTTGATGTGGCACAGTATTAAACACACAGATGATGACTAATCCTTATGTTGTGTCATTCATTAATATTAGCTTACTTAGTATTAAATATTAATTTACTTAATCCCAATGAGGCAGATACTGTTTCTTTTTTGTTGTTGTTTTTGTTTTTGTTTGTTTAAGATGGAGTCTTGCTCTTGTTGCCCAGGTTGGAGTGCTATGGTGCAATTTCAGCCCATGACAACCTCTGCCTCCTGAATTCAAGCAATTCTCCTGCCTCAGCCTCCCGAGTAGCTGGGATTACAGGTGCCTGCCACCACAATCAGCTAATTTTTGTATTTTTAGTAGAGACGGGGTTTCATCATGTTGGCCAGGCTAGTCTCAAACTCCTGACAGGTGATCCACCCGCCTAAGCCTCCCAAAGTGCTGGGATTACAAGCATGAGCCACCATGCCTGGCCGGCAGATACTATTTTTGTCATCCCCGTTTTATGTGGAAACTGAGCCACAGAGAGGTGGAGCCATTTGCCTAAGACTACGCAGCCACTAACAAGGCAGAGTTTGAATCTAAACAGCCCAGTTCCTGAGTCTATGCTCTTAAGGATTACAGTTTGCACGTAAATCAATTGAGAACATCAAGTACCTGTGGCTATATCCACTGCAAAAATGCTTGTGAATAAGGGAGGACAGAACAAAGGGAGAGATTTTGAGTTAAGCTACAGACAAAACTGAGCATTTGCAGGGAAATGCTGTTTGCTTTATAATGATGACAGTTGCTATCTTTCATTGAGTGACTACTAGGTTCCCACCAGTGTTCAGTTTATTTCAGCCTCACATAAACTGTAGGAGCTGAATGTTAGTATTAAACTCATTTTGCAGATAAGAACACTGAGTCTTAGAAATGCCAAGTAACTTGACTGAGGTCACATGGCTGGTAAGTGGCCAAGCCAGGGCTTAAATGCAGGTCTGTCAGACCCTAAATCTTGTGTGGTCAAGCCTCACATTAAAATGTTCAAGAGCTTGCTTCTTCCAGAACCACTTCTGCTAAGGGAAGTGGAGTAAGTGGGAACAGGGACTGATTCTTACTAGGCCATGGAGTGAACTTCCAAAGAGTTTCCAAAGGGTTCACATGACCAAGCAGTGCATGAAAGAGTCAAGGTTTAGGATAGAGCCTCATCCAGGATATTTATCTGACACCCGACAGGCTCCAGCCCTCAAACACCCTGCACTTGGAAACAAGAGGGCCATGTACCCCTGCCAAATATAAGGGATGTCCTTCTGCCTTGCTTTGTCCTGGAATCCAACACCTGCCTTAAATCAAACTTACACATTGGGCCGGGCGTGGTAGCTCATGCCTGTAATCCCAGCACTTTGGGAGGCCGAGGCGGGTGGATTACTTGAGGCTGGGAGTTTGAGAGCAGCCTGGCCAACATGGTGAAACCCCATCTCTACTAAAAATACAAAAAATTAGCTGGGCGTGGTAATGTCTTACAGGTCATGCACCTGTAATCCTAGCTACTTAGGAGGCTGAGGCACGAGAATGCCTTGGACCCAGGAGACAGAGTGAGCCAAGATTGCGCCACTGCACTCCAGCCTGGGCAAGAGAACGAGACTCCGTCTAAGAAAAACAAAACAAAACAAAACAAACAACAACAACAAAAAAAACCCTACATGTTTGACCTTCTTAGGGTCACAAGTGGCAAAACCCACCTCAAACTAAGGCAATTAAAAGGGAAAAATGGTTGTATATTTGTTTAGGTAACTAAAGAGGCCTTAGGTCTTTCTGGCTTCAGGTACAAATGGGTCTATGGACTCACGCAATATGAGAAAGCTGTTACTCTCCACCTTCATCTATTTTTTTCACCATGGCTTTATTTTCTTTGGTGGCTCCCAGAATCTCCAACCACCATCCTCAAGTCTTAGTAATACCAATGGAAGGAGAATTTATTTTTTTCAGTAGTTCCAAAAAAAGTTCTGAGACTGGGTTTTATTGCCTCAGCTTGAATATTTATCTCTAACTTAATTATCTTAGCCCAGAGGATAAATATCAGACTTGCCAAACTTGAGTCACCGTACTTGCCCCTGAAGTAGGGTAGAGGTAAGAGATAATCCCTTTGAATTGCTTGGGAAATGGGCAGTTTCCCAGAAGAAAATGGTGGTGTAATTAAAAGAAGAAAGGGGCCAATGTGGTGGCTCATGCCTGTAATCCCAGCACTTTGGGAGGCCAGGCAGGTGGATCACCTGAAGTCGGGAGTTCGAGACCAGCCTGACCAACATGGATAAACTCCATCTTTACTAAAAATACAAAATTACCCTGGTGTGAAGGTGCATGCCTGTAATCCCAGCTACTTGGGAGGCTGAGGCAGGAGAATCACTTGAACACAGAATGCTGAGGTTGCAGTGAGCCGAGATCGTGTCATTGCACTCCAGGCTAGGCAATAAGAGCGAAACTCAGTCCCTGCCCGCCCCACCCCCCCAAAAAAAAATAAAAAGAAAGGGTAATGGATTCTGGAAAGACAATAATGACAAGTGTTTTCTAAAAGATCAGCACATAGAGTCAACTTCCTCTGGATACTAGGGTTGTAGGAGCAGCCCCATTTAGTGTATGATGTGTTTACCTAATCACCCTTAACGGAAGGTGCTCAAGACCTCTGAAGCCTATAGTAAAGGAAACAAGCTTCTTTGCTAGCTTAGGTAGTGGACATTTTCCCTTCTGGAAAGAACACATCTTTCCTGTTCCATCCCTCATTCTTGCTCACTGTGATTCAGGTGGGCCTAACCCTACCCAAGGCTTCAAGCAGGAGACTATGACCTAAACTCATCTTGTTACAGGAAAGGGGTCCCAATCCAGACCCCAAAAGAGGATTCTTGGCTCTCATGCAAGAAAGAATTCAGGGAGAGCCTATACAGTAAGTGAAAGCTAGTTTATTAAGAAAGTAAAGGAATGAAAGAATGGCTACTCCATAGATAGCATCCCCAAGGGCTGCTGGTTGCCCGTTTTTACAGTTATTTTTTGGTTATATGCTAAAGAAGGGGTGGCTTATTCATGCCTCCCCTTTTTAGACCATATAGGGTAACTTCCTGATGTTGCCATGGCATTTGTAAACTGCCGTGGCGTTGGTGGGAATGTAGCAATGAGGACAACCAGAGGTCACTCTTGTGGCCATCTTGGTTTTGGTGGGTTTTGGCTGCTTCTTTACTGCAACCTGTTTTATCAGCAAGGTCTTTATGACATGTATTTTGTGCCAACCTCCTATCTCATCCTGTGACTTAGAATGCCTTAATCGTTTGGAAATGCAGCCCAGTAGGCTTCAGACTTATTTTACCCAGTCCCTATTCAAGATGGAGTTGCTCTGGTTCTCACACCTCTGACAATCTTATACCTCTGGCCATAATGATTGGTTCTGAGGTGATTATGTCCTTTTTTTCTTTTTTCCTTTTGAGACAGGATCTCTCTTTGTCACCTAGGCTGGAGTGTAGTGGTGCAATCTTTGCTCACTGCAACCTCGAACTCCTGGGCTCAAGCGAGCCTCCTGCTTCAACCTCCCAAGTAGCTGGGACTTACAGGTGCATATCACGAAGCTCACCTAAATTTTTTATATTTTTGTAGAGATGGGATCTTGCTATGTTACCCAGGCTGGTGCTGAACTCCTTGGCACAAGCAATCCTCCCGCCTCAGCCTCCTAAATCACTCGGATTGTAGGCATGAGTCACTATGCCTGGCCACTTGTGTGATTCTATTCTTGTCTGAGTCATCACGCTCTGGGCATTAAATAGATGATAGATAGATAGATAGAGCTATTGGGAAATAAAAGCTCTCTCTTCCTGACTGGGGTGGGTGAGAGGATAGGTTCTTGGCTAGGAGGTACTAGGAACCACTTTGCCACCGCAAGGATAGGTCTGGCCTCAAAATGGTGCAACATAGAGGCAACTGGAGCTGAGAGATGGAGTTTGAACTCCTGGATTCAGGCATGCCTGGACTTCTCAGCTACTTGAGCCAATCGATTGCTATCCTTTTTTTCCCTTGAATTAAACCAATTTGAAGTGCATTTTCTGCCACTTGCAACTGAAACAAAGCCTAAATGATACTACCTGGATCCAAATACCAGCTCTACCATTTTCACAAACCATACTCTTTCAGGTAAGTCAGTTCTTGTGATCCTTAGCTGCCTTCTCTATGGAGTGACGATCCCTCTCTTGTAGGGTTTCTGGGGTAGTAATTGAGGTTATAACTGATAATACACTGGGTGCTCCATACATGTAAGTTTGAGACATTGTAAGAGCAGAGAAAGCACAAAGCAAGTAGGATGCAACCAAACTGAATGTCTATCATTGAAGCCAGGAAAGTATACGATGTAGATGATGAGAGCAGGCTGGACGCAGATAATACGGAGTTCTGGAGCTAACTGGAAAGCCAATGCTCAATTGAAACTCATTTACAATTTAGAATTTAAAATCTCTGTAAGGGACAAACAAAATAAACACCAAGACTGCTAGTTCACAAACCCTGCAAAGCAAATGAAACATTTATGTTTCAGGCGAGACCACAACTGTGAGCCATGAGATGCAGTTGCCCAGTTCTGGGTGTTCCCATGAATTAGGGTTCTGGGGAAAGGAAGCCCCGTGGTGCTCCCCGACCATGTCCCCCCTACTCAGCACCCTCTTCCTCCCAAAGCCAAGAGAATTGAAGGGCCTTTGAGTCCATGCCTCTCTTTTAATTTCAAAACTGAACATGACCACTCTTTATTTTTAATCTTCCCTTCCCCTAGTCTATGCCTTCAAGCAGCTTTTCTGGGGAGAGAGTGTTGGCGCCCACACTGGCAGATCTGAGTCCCTGGCCACGTGCCTGCTGTGATGAGGATGTTGCCATGCTCACCCACCCCAGCAGCCTGGAATCCAGCCTTTAGAGGGGCCCACTTGAGAACTGTCAGCATGATGAGGAGAGTGGAAGTCAAGTCCCACAGGTGACCCAGGTAAGGACAAGGAGCCCTCCATCCTTGCCTCCTCTTTAGAAATAAGCATGCCTTATGTCTGGTTAGAGCATCTGTAACAAAGGACTTGACTTGAGGGAGAAGTAGGAGCTTACAATGGTCATCACCATATATTGAATGCTCCCCATGTGCCAGCACTCTTCATCCACTCTCCAAAGAAGAAACCTGCTTAGAGAGGTCAAGGAACTTGCCTAGAGTCACAAAATTAATAGGTGGATAGCATTTTAATCTTGCTCAGTATAAATTCAGAACTACAACTTAGTCATCATACTATAATGCCTATCAGGAGAAAGAATGCATTGATGAGCTGATATGAATGTCCTGATCCATTTGACAATCATATTTATTATTGTTAATTGTTAAAGAATTACCTGATCCATACATCAATTTTCTATCAATTTGATTGGTATCATGGTCTTAAAACATGTCCAGTTCCTTGATGCTCATCCCATCAAGAGGTAGAGACTAATTTCCCTTCCCCTTGAATATGGTCTGGCTTCTAATGAGTAGAATGTGGCATAAATAATGCATTGTGATGTCAAGGCTAGGTTAGGAAAGGCTTTAGAACTTCTACATGGCTCCATGTCTTGCAATGCTCCTTCTTGAAACCCAGCCACCATGCTGTGAGGAAGCTCAAGCCACACAGAAGCCATGGAGAGGTGCTCCTTCTGATAACCCCTGCTAAAGTCCCACCCAGCAGCCAGCAACAATCACTAGATATGTGAGTGGGAAAGCCTTTGAGATGACCTCAGTCCCAGCACCATCTAACCACAACCAGGGAAGGATTCTGAGCAAGAACCACATAGCTGATCCCAGTTAATTTCCAGAACAGTGAAAGATAACAATAAATGATTGCCATTAGAAATGGTTAGTGTGAATTAGTTCCTGTAAAACTTGATCACTCCTTGAACCCTGGCAAAAAAAAATTAAATTAAAAATTAGCTGCTTGACTTGTCTGATTTGACTCCAAAATGAATAAACTTCACTCTTATAAAACTTTGTCTGGGAGACTTTCCACTTGCCTTTCTGAGAGTGCTTTTACGTTTAAATAATATGGATGATGATGATGATTCGTGGTACTACTTCTTGAGGGCTAAGGTCTCTACCTGCATTATTTTATTTTATTTTATTCTTTTTTTCTTTTTTTGCTCAAAAACAACATAATAGTGTCATTTTCTTTTCTTTTCTTTCTTTCTTTTTCTTTCTTTCTTTTTTTTTTTTTTTTTTGAGATGGAGTTCTGCTCTCGTTGCACAGGCTGGAATGCAGTGGCACAATCTCAGCTCACCACAACCTCCGCCTCCCGGGTTCAAGTGATCCTCCTGCCTCAGCCTCCGGAGTAGCTGGGATTATAGGCACCTGACACCACACCTGGCTAATTTTTTGTATTTTTTTTTTTTTTTTTTTTTTTAGTAGAGACAGGGTTTCTTCATGTTGGTCAGGCTGGTCTTGAACTCCCGACCTCAGGTGATCCGCCCTCCTCAGCCTCTCAAAGTGCTGGGATTACAGGCGTGAGCCACTGCGCCCAGCCAGCAGTATTGTCATTTTCATTTTTGGAACTGAGCTCAAATACTTAAGTTGTCCAGAGGGGTCGGGCATGGTGACTCACACCTGTAATTCCAGCACTTTGGGAGGCAGATAGGGAGGATCACTTGAGGCCAGGAGTTCAGGACCAACCTGGAAAACATGGTGATACCCTGTCTTTATTATTTTTTTAAAATTGTCCAGAACACACAGCTAGGAGGCTGCAAGGGTGAGGTCGTTATTGATTCATTGATTCAACATGTATTTTGGAGCCCCTGCAATATACCACTCTCCATGCCAGGCCCTAAGAAGAAGACAGATGAGGCTTTTGCACTTGTACTCCAGCATAGCAAACAGGTGATAAGAAAACAAACCAGTAAGTAAATATCTTAATCTATCAGGGCTACTATAATTTTAAAAAACCATAGTCTGAAAGGCGTAAACAACAGAAATTTATTTTCTCACAGTTCTAGAGGCTGGGAAGTCCAAGACCAAGGCATTGGGTAATTTGGCTCCCTAGTGAGGGCTCTCTTTCTGGCTTACAGACAGCCACCTTCTCACTGTATCATCAAGGGGCAGAGAAAAAGAGCTCTCATCTCTCTTCACCTTCTTATAATGAATCACATCCCATCATGGTGCACCATCCTTATGACCTCATCTAAACCTAATGACTGCCCAAAGTCCCCACCTCCAACTACCATCACATTGAGGATAAGGGCTTCAATATCTGAACTTTGGAGGAACATAAACATTCAACTCATAGCAATAAAAATGGCATTGCTAATTGTGATCATGAGGAAAAATAGTGATGCACTTTGTGGAATTAACGTAAGTGGCTGTCTTCAGTCTGGTTGTTGGCCACAGCCTCTCTGAGAAAATGGCCTTTGAAGGACATGATGTGGGATCTGCACCATGTGATCCTGGAGAAAGAGCATCCCAGGCAGCAGAAACACTGAGAGGAAAGGTAGGGTTTGGGGAAAGGCTTGGTACCTTCAAGGAACAGCACGTGCACACACACACACACACTCACACACACACACAAAAGAGGACAGCATAACAATGAACAAGAAAAACAGGATATGAGATAAGGTCAAAGAAGGAGGCTGCAGCCAGATCACACAGGGCCTCATTGACCAAGGTAACAAATGTGGGTGTGTTTAAATAAAAATGGGAAATTTGGAAGTTTTTTTTTTAATAGGGTAGTGTTATGGTTTGGCTGTGTCCCCACCCAAATCTCATCTTGAATTGTAGCTCCCATAATTCCCACATATTGTGGGAGGGACCCAGTAGGAGATAACTGAATCATGGAGGCAGTTTCCCCCATGCTGTTCTCATGGTAGTAAAGAAGTCTCACAAGTCTTGTGGTTTTATAAGGGGTTTCCCCTTTTGCTTCTCTCTTCTCTCTTCTCTCTCCTCTCTCATTCTCTCTTGCTTGCCACCGTGTAAGATGTGCCTTTTGCCTTCCACCATGATTGTGAGGCCTCCCCAGCTACGTGGAACTGTGAGTCCATTAAACCACTTTTTCTTTATAAGTTACCCAGTCTTGGATATGTCTTTATCAGCAGCATGAAAACGGACTACTACAGGTAGTGACATTATCTGGTTAACTTTTAAAAAGTATCATTTCTGGCTGTTCCATGGACCAAATCAAGCAGGGGAAAAGTGGACTGAGAGACTCCAGTCAGGGTCACCAAGGAACACATAGCTGGACAATATAACCCCTTAACACAACTGAGCTTACAACACCTAGGATTCAGAGTTTGAGCTGCTTTGCCCAGAGCAATATCTGTCTAGAAGTGATCATCCTTCTACTGCAGGAGCAGGAGATTGACAAGCCAGTACTTAGAAAGGCCAGAATGACTAGGTTCTGAATTCAGGAAGAGGGAGTGGATAGGGGGCCATGAAAAGGAGAGGGCAGCCATTATCATTTCCATTAATTAAAAGAAGAAAAGGAAATTAAATGAAGTAGGCATCTGATTCAAGAAGTTAGGAAAGGAAATGAAAGCACATTGTGAGACTCTATGCTAGCTCACTGGAAAATCTTGATGAAATGGATGCTTTTCTGGGAAATAATTACTAAAATTCCTTCAAGAAATAATATAATCTTAAATAAAGTAGCAGAGGGATTAAGAACAGGCTCTGCCATCAGATGGATATGGGTTTTAATCCATTCTCCATGTCTTACTAACTGTGGGAATTTGGGCAACAGTCAATATCTTCACTTCTAAAACAGGGATAGACTGGATACAGTGGCTCACATTTGTAATCCCAGAATTTTGGGAGGACAAGTTGGGAGGATCCCTTGACCCCAGAGGTTTGCAGCTGCAGTGAGCTATGATGGTGCCACTGAACTCCAGCCTGGGTGACAGAGTGAGACCCTGTCTCAAAAGAAATAAGTAAGTAAATAAATAATCAGGGATAAAGCAGTCCCTGCCTAGAAATAAATGTAACTAGAAATGTGCATAACATATATAGAGAAATAACAAAAGTTCATCAAGGAAATTTAAAACAAGATTAGATAAATGAAATTAAGGAATGATTATTTAATAATGTCAGTTCTTCCTAAATAAATGCATGGGTTTGATGCAGTTCTAATAAAAATCCCCTATTAATTTTATTTTTGTTATATATAATTTCCTTTGATGAGCAGGGGAAGAATTTCACAAAATGATTATAAGATTTGACTAGAAGAATGAATGGACAAAATAGCCAAGAACAATTTGAAAGTCAAGAATAATTAGGTAACTCTATTATTCCGTTTTCATGCCGCTGATAAAGACATACCCAAGACCGGGCAATTTACAAAAGAAAGAGGTTGAATGGGCTTACAGTTCCACATGGCCTGGGGGGGCCTCATAATCATGGCAGAATGCAAACAGGAGCAAGTCACATCTTACATGGATGGCAGTAGGCAAAGAGAGAGAGCTTGTGCAGGGAAAATCCCCTTTTTAAAAACCATCAGGTCTCATAAGACTTATTCACTATCATGAGAACAGCATGGGAAAGACCTGCCCCCATTATTCAATTACTTCCTACTGGGTTCCTCCCATAACACATGGGAATTCAAGATGAGATTTGGGTGGGGACACAGCCAAACCATATCAGGAACACTCTGAATATAGGTATTAAAATGGACTATAATGGTTCAAAGATTAAAGTAGCATAGTAGATAAATACTGTAACATAGATTAATATGATAAATATTGTAGCATAAACTCATGTGCTCTATGGATCTATGGGACTATGTTACAATAATTGCAACATAAACAATGGAATAGTACAGATAGCTCCAAGATAATCTTTCATGTACCTGACTTTATTAGATAATAAAAGTGGTCATACAAGTCTATGGAAAAAGAAGTAGCATTCAATAAATGACCCTGGGACAATTGATTAATATTTGAAGGGAATAAATAAAGCAAAATTAAATCTTCATCTCATACTATAGATCAATGTAAATTCCAGATTAATTAAAGAGTACAAAATAATTTAAAAGTTAATGAAAACTAATAAACAATCCAGACAAACTTCTGGCACCTTGATCACTTAATCACAGGCATCTAATCCTTTGCTGTATCTGTGCTGGAAATTACAGAAGGCTGATACCCATATATTTGAAACTTTAAAATGTTTATACTCAATATAGCATGGATGAAACAAAATTCAAAAATGGATATTTGGTGGGTGTTGGGGATCAATATAAAAGGAAATAAATATTTACTTAATCTGATCAAGGAGCAGTAGAGGGAAAAGGGACCTTTAAGAATAAGAAATAGGCTGAGTGCAGTGGTTCATGCCTGTAATCCCAACACTTTGGGAGGCCAAGGCAGGTGGATTGCTGGAGACCAGGAGTTTGAGACCAGCCTGGCCAACATGGGGAAAACCCTTCTCTACTAAAATACTGAAATTATGTGGTGTTGTGGCGGGTGCCTGTAATCCCAGCTACTCAAGAGACTGAGGCAGGAGAATTGCTTGAACCCAGGTGGTGGAGGTTGCAGTGTGCCGAGATCGTACAATTGCACTCCAGCCTGGGTGACGAAGCCAGACTCTGTCTCAAAAAAAAAAAAAAAAAAAAAAGAAAGAAAGAAATCAGAATGATAGTTAAGAAGAATAAACTAATAAATTAATTTAAAAATAAGAGATTATTATGCATAACTTCATGCTGATAAATTAGAAAATGTTGATGAAATAGATTATTAAAAAACATATATGGCCAAAAAAATGATTCCAAAAGAAGAAATAAAAAATCTGAGTAAAGCCATGGAGAAAACCGAAAAATTATTCAAAGAATGGCAGTGGGCTCAGGTGGTTTCATGGATGAAATCATAATGTTGTTTGGAAAAACTGCTGGGAGTTATTGGAATCTATACTTCAATGTCTCATCCACAAGGCATCTTGGGGACCCATGGGAGCTAGGCAGGTGACTAAGGAGCGATCTTCAGGCAGAAGATCATAAGGTGGGCTGGGGACTGCAGTAAACAGAGGCAGGCATGCTTCATCAAATGCAGATGCTACTCTCCTCCAACCAATTGCCAGCAGGAATGTGGGCCCACATTCAATTCATTTCAGTGTAAATTGCAAAACCAGGCAGGCAAAACAAAACATCAGAACCTGTGAGCTATCAGCTTGCACATTCTCCTGAAGATGCTAAAAATGTGGAAGGGTTTAGGGAAAGGCAACCCCCATAACATTATCTGGAATCACTTGTGAAGCTGTTTCTCCAAAGAGATAATTACCCTAGTCAGTCCTTCAAGGTGGGACATTTTGCTCAATAACTTTGGGTCAGTACTGAGGCAAGCCAACTGAGTAACAAAATATAAATATTTTACCTTGTGATGGGTAGCAAAAAGGAAAAAAAAATAAACATTTTACCTTTTACTTCAATCTGAGCACTTCTCAGATTATGGCAAAGGGAGGCCAGGCTATTTTGAACAAATAATTCATTCAACAAATAATTATCGAGCACCCACTATGTGTTATGTGCTATTATGAGTATAGGGCTAGTGCAGTGAATAAAATAGAAAAATTCTCTACCCTATGGAACTTTATGCTTTAGAGACTGAAAAAAATAAACAAGAAGAACCCAGGGTCTTCCAGTCATTTTCAATGTTAAGAACCTTACTTTAGTAATTAGAACTCATGCGCAGGCATTCAAAAGCCCCATCTGGAGGCAATAGAACGTCTGGCACTTGCTTCAGAATGATAGTTAATGGAGCATAGACATGACAAGATTGGCCATGAGTCAGTCACTGTTGCAGCCAGCAATGGGTACAAGGGCATCCATTCATTCTGCTTTTCTGCCCGTTTTGTATATGTTTGGGAATTTCTCATAACAAAAATATTTTTAAAGTCCAATTTAGTTGAAATCAATACTACAACCTCCCATTCCATTCAAAGCCTTTCCCTCTGTCCAGTTCTAGCCTGACCATCAGTGGAGAGCCTCCACTAGTGGGAATGAGAGGAGGGATGTCCTCTCATTCCCCTTCTTCTGTTGAAGGTTCCCCTGGGGCTGAAATGGGAGGGTGGCATCTGGGGTTTGGTTGAGGGTGAGAGGTGAAAGTCTTACTTAGATGGTGCAATCAGTGGTTCTATTTTGTTTTGTTGTTATTTTGTTTTTTGAGACAGAGTCTTGCTCTGTCACCCAGGCTGGAGTGCAGTGCCGTGATCTTGGCTCACTGCAACCTCCACCTCCTGAGTTCAAGCGATTCTCCTGCATCAGCCGCCCTAGTAGCTGAGATTACAGGTGTGTGCCACCATGCCCAGCTAATTTTTTTGTAGTTTTAGTAGAGACAGGGTTTCCCATGTTGGCCAGAATGGTCTCACAGCCCCAAGTGATCTGCCAGCCTCGGCCTCCCAAAGTGCTGGGATTACAGGTGTGAGCCACCGTGCCCAGCCTGTGGTTCTATTTTGGCTGCTGCTCTCTGACATCCATATGCTGTTCTCTTGTGGGCATGATCCCATGAAGAGAGCTTGAGCTCAGTTACTTTCTCAGCATCTACTTGGTACTCAGCACATCTCTGCTACACGAAATCCTGGAAGTGTAAGCTGCTTTGTGATGCTCTCTCTTCCTGCTCTGCAGTGGAAGGTGGTTCCAACCAACCCCTTGCTATCATAGTTCTACAGGTAGAATCCAGGCACCAGCCTCCATGTTCAGGTGTTCATGTGTGCCCCAAACACCAGACAACACTTGCCAATTTCTCCCCAGTAGTCCCACACAATGTTCTGCTGGAACCCACTGCTCTCTTCTAGGTACCAACCTAGAGTCTCCACAGGTTAGCAAGCATCAGGGAGTAGCATGTCAGTCTCCCCTAATCTCTCCAACAAGCTGATTGGGCCTCCTCTTACTTGCTTGGTGGGCGAGAGCTACTCCCTCTTCTATCATGGG